>NC_000016.10:70623106-70926136 GCF_000001405.40 Homo sapiens | reverse complement strand
TGATTTATAGTCCTTTGGGTATATACCCAGTAATGGGATGGCTGGGTCAAATGGTATTTCTAGTTCTAGATCCCTGAGGAATCGCCACACCGACTTCCACAATGGTTGAACTAGTTTACAGTCCCACCAACAGTGTAAAAGTGTTCCTATTTCTCCACATCCTCTCCAGCACCTGTTGTTTCCTGACTTTTTAATGATTGCCATTCTAACTGGTGTGAGATGATATCTCATTGTGGTTTTGATTTGCATTTCTCTGATGGCCAGTGATGGTGAGCATTTTTTCATGTGTTTTTTGGCTGCATAAATATCTTCTTTTGAGAAGTGTCTATTCATGTCCTTCGCCCACTTTTTGATGGGGTTGTTTGTTTTTTTCTTGTAAATTTGTTTGAGTTCATTGTAGATTCTGGATATTAGCCCTTTGTCAGATGAGTAGGTTGCGAAAATTTTCTCCCATTTTGTAGGTTGCCTGTTCACTCTGATGGTAGTTTCTTTTGCTGTGCAGAAGCTCTTTAGTTTAATTAGATCCCATTTGTCAATTTTGTCTTTTGTTGCCATTGCTTTTGGTGTTTTAGACATGAAGCCCTTGCCCATGCCTATGTCCTGAATGGTAATGCCTAGGTTTTCTCCTAGGGTTTTTATGGTTTTGGGTCTAACGTTTAAGTCTTTAATCCATCTTGAATTGATTTTTGTATAAGGTGTAAGGAAGGGATCCAGTTGACAAACCTGAGAAAAACAAGCAATGGGGAAAGGATTCCCTATTTAATAAATGGTGCTGGGAAAACTGGCTAGCCATATGTAGAAAGATGCCAAGTGTTTTTTTAAAGATAGGGGTCTTGCTTGCCCAGGCTGGTCTAGGACTGCTGGCCTCAAGCAATCCTCCCATCTCAGCCTCCCAAACTGCTGAGATTACAGGCATGAGCCACCATGCCCACCCCAGGTTTTTATCAAGGGCAAGATATTGAACAGAAAAAAACGTTTTGAGGCTCTGGAAGATGTTGTCTCCCTCCAGAGAGAATCACTGTTTGATGCTGGCAGTCAGCTAGGCTAGGAGCACTAGAAACCTTGACTCAATCAGGACTGAGATCATTTTAAACTGAGCTTCAGTCCCTGGGAGGGCGGGGCTATTTCAGGTGGACCTTTTTTTTTCTTTTTCTTTTTCTTTTTTCCACTGTTATTTTAAGTACGGGGGTACACGTGCAGGATGTGCAGGTTTGTTACATAGGTAAACGTGTGCCGCCATGGTTTGCTGCACAGATCATCCCATCACCTAGATGTTAGGCCCAGCGTTTATTAACTATTCTTCCTGATGCTCTCCCTCGTCCTGCCCCCCAACCCCTGACAGACCACAGTGTGTATTGTCCCCTGACCCATGTGTCCATGTGTCCTCATCATTCAGCTCCCACTTATAAGGCAGAACACGTAATATTTGGTTTTCTGTTCCTGCATTAGTTTGCTGAGGATAATAGCCTTCCAGCTTCATCCATGTCCCTGCAAAGGACAGGTTGACCCTTATTCCTAATATGGAGCCTTTCGGAGACCTAACCCAAAGGCCAGGGGATTTACCAGGACCTCTTTTCCTTGGCAGGCCTGGAGTCTTAATTTTTGAACCCCAGCCCCATGAGTCTGTCAGAAGTTTTGCTCAGCTTCTCAACCACACTGTCAGCTACAAATACCCTCGAGGGAAGAGCAGCCCCAAATGCTGGGCCCACTTCTCTGTATTTGTCTCCTCTCCCAGATCTTAGCCTGCAACTCATGACTGCCTTTGTGGCTCTCCAGTGCTTTCAGACACATAGGTTTTCAAAACGTTTTGTAAAGATTTTCTACTTGTGGGTGTGGAATTTTATCAAGTGATTTTTCTGCATCCATTGACATGATTGTATTTCTTTTTCTTCTTTGGTAGGACCACACAGTGGGTTACATATTACATTATTGAATCAGTTTGTTTGGGGCTTAAATGTTTATTCAGCTTTTACCTTTTGCTTTCCGAGTTAATTTGGTCATTCATGATTTTCTGAAAAAGTATTAATTTTTTATCAGATTTTCACATTTATTGGCATGAGGAAATTAATGGTTTTGTCTTACTATCTTTTTAACCTCTTCCATTATTTCTGTTATACTTGTATTATTTCTATTATGTCCTCTCGGACATTTCACATGTTGTTTATTTGTACCTTTCTCTTTGTTTTTCCTCAATCAACCTTACTAGAAGTTTGTCATTTTTATTATCTTTCCAAAGAAACAACTTTTGCCTTTGTGGATTATCTTCATTTTATGTTTTCTGTTTCATTAGTTTCTGTTCTTTTTTTTTTTTTTTTTGAGACAGAGTCTTGCTCTGTCGCCGAGGCCGGAGTGCAGTGGCATGATCTCGGCTCACTGCAAGCTCTGCCTCCCTGGTTCATGCCATTCTCCTGCTTCAGCCTCCTGAGTAGCTGGGACTACAGGCACCTGCCACCACACCCAGCTAATTTTTTTTTTTTTTTTTTTTTTTTGTATTTTTTAGTAGAGACGGGGTTTCACCGTGTTAGCCAGGATGGTCTAGATCTCCTGACCTCGTGATCCGCCCACCTCGGCCTCCCAAAGTGCTGGGATTACAGGCTTGAGCCACCACACCTGGCCTGTTCTTATTTTTTAATAATATCCTTCTTTCTTTTTTTTTTTTTTTTTTTTGGAGATGGAGTTTCACTCTTGTTGCCGAGGCTGGAGTGCAATGGTGCAATCTCAGCTTACTGCAACCTCCACCTCCCGGGTTCAAGCAATTCTCCTGCCTCACCCTCCCAAGTAGCTGAGATTACAGGTGCCCACCACCATGCCTGGCTAATTTTTGTGTTTTTAGTAGAAATGGGCTTTCGTCATGTTGGCCAGGCTGGTCTAGAACTCCTGACCTCAGGTGATCTGCCCACCTCGGCCTCCCAAAGTGCTGGGATTACAGTTGTAAGCCACCGTGCCTGGCCCCTTCTTTCTACTTTATTTGTGTTATTATTCCGTTCTTTTTCTAACTTCTTGAAGTGATGCTTATCTTATTAATTTTCAATCGTTTTTCTTTTGCAATTTATGAAAAGTTATAAAAGGGGCCAGGCATAGTGGCTTATGCCTGTAATCCCAACACTTTGGGAGGCTGAGACAGGCAGATCACTTGAACTCAGGGGTTCAAGACCAGCCTGGGCAACATGGCAAAACTGTGTCTCTACAAAAAAATTAAAAATTAGCCAGGCATGGTGGCACATGCCTGTAGTCCCAAGCTACTTGGGAGGCTGAGGTGGGAGAATTACCGAGCCCAGAAAATTGAGGCCACAGTAAGCTGTGATCATACCACTACACTCCAACTTGTCTAAAAAAAAAAAAAAAAAAAAAGGTTATAAAAGCATTTA
This sequence comes from Homo sapiens, assembly GCF_000001405.40. Lineage (NCBI taxonomy): Eukaryota > Metazoa > Chordata > Mammalia > Primates > Hominidae > Homo > Homo sapiens. The sequence continues at coordinate 70,922,768 of NC_000016.10, read as the reverse complement.
AAGACATATAAACTTCCAAACTGTTTTAGATATAGTCCTCATTTGTTGATATTCAGTGTTTTCATTGTTCAATTCTAAATATTTTCTACTCTCCTTTATGGCTGCTTCTTTAATCCATGAATTATTTCCAAGTATATTTTCTAATTTCCAAATGAACAGCTTCATTTTGCCTTCTCTTTTTAGTCCTGATTTTGATAACTATCCGCAGAGTACATGCTCTATGTCATATTGATCTTTTGCATCTGTGGAGCCTTGCTGTGTGGCCTCATCGGTGACTGGTTTCTGTAAATGTTCCACGTGTGTTTGAATAGTGTGTGTATTTTCTTTCTGCATCTATTTGCCCAAGTCCATTAATCATGTTGTTAAAATTGTCCATATTCTTCATAGTTTACTGCTAGCCTCCAGCTGCTCTACGCTGGGCTCCCACAGTCTTGCAAGTACAAGTCCTTCCCTCACTGGGCCCCATCTTCCGTGCAAACCCAGGTGTCTTGGCAGAGCGTGAAGGAATAGGAGCCAAGTCCCTGCCTCCCCCACATGAGGCACCGTGCCAGCCTGCAGTGTTGCTGCCTCCCCAGGCTGTGTTGGAGATGGAGAAGCAAAGAAGGAGGAAGGGCAGCAAGATGAGGGGAAAAGCCAGCCCCTGGTCGTTCATGTCTCCAAGCCTGATGCTGGCCTGAACTTAGAGAGGAGGAGAGCTAGACCTGGGAAGGGAGACACTGGCTGCACTGCAGATAGCAGTCACTAGACTGGAATGGACTTTGCATAATATCATCAAAGAATGACCCAAAAAACGATGGAGCCTACCCGAGGATTTCATCCAGGGGAGGAGAAAATCAGAGTCCACAAAACAAGTTTAAAAGTGCAGTAAGAAAAAGAATAAAGTTGGTTTCTCTATGCTCAGAGCATTAAATAAATACATATTTTAAAAGCCTGAGGTGCAGCCAAATTCTAAACCCCCATTTGTTCCCATCAATATCCATTGTATACAATACATGTGTGGTTTTAATAACTGAAAAGGCACTGTTGTAAGCTTTTTACATGCATTCACACATTTAATCTTCAGGAGTCCTCTGGAGTAGGTATTAATGTTGCTATCTCCGTTATACAGATGAGGCAGAGAGAGGCTGAGTCCTCTCCCAGGGTCACAGCTACCAAGCAGTGCAGCTGGGATTGGACCACTACACGCTGTGGCCTATCCCAGGGCACCTGAGGCAGGTGCATATGGCTTGCATCTGCTAGTCTTTTCCCCTTGATCCTGCAGAACAGCAGCTCTCAACCAGGAGTACACATCAAAGTCACTCTGCACCTTTTCCAAAATGCACAATGCCAGGACCCAGCCAGATCTCAAACAGAGAAGGACCATGGAATAGATTTTTAGATTTAGATTAAAACCCCCAAGATGATTCCCAGGCACAACCTTAGCGTGCAGGGGAGGTGCCCAGATCCTCGGAGACCTTCTCATGAGACAAAATGTCCTTTTGCTCCTCCTTATGCAATTTACTACCCCGTAAAAAACTGTTTGACGCATCTTTTCTGTGTCATGCCTTCTAGGTTCCTCCGCTCACCAAAGTGGATGTCAAGATGGAGACAATCGAAAGGAAAATATCTGTTAGGGAACAAACAATGTCTGAGAAGGAAGAGCTAAATAAGAAGAAAAGGAACATGGGCGATGTCAGCATGCATGGGCTTCCTCTTGTCCAGGACCAAGAGGACAGTGAAGGGGACAACTCAAAGGACCCCGACAAGCAACTGGCCCCGAAGTTTAAGACCTATGAATTGACACTGAAGGATGTCCAGAACATCCTCATGTACTGGGACCGGAAGCAAGGAGTCCAGCTGCCTCCTGCAGGGATGGAGGAAGCGCCCCATGAGCCCGACGACCAGCGCCAGGTCCCCTTGGGTGGGCGCAGGGGCCGCAAGGACCGGGAGAGAGAGCGCCTGGAGAAGGAGCGCACGGAGAAGGAGCGCCTGGAGAGGGAGAAGGCGGAGCGGGAGCGCCTGGAGAAGCTGCGAGCCCTGGAGGAGCGGAGCGACTGGGAGGGGGAAGGGGAGGAGGACCACGAAGGGAAGAAGGAGAAGGACCTGGGCGTACCCTTCCTAGACATCCAGACACCAGACTTTGAAGGCTTGAGCTGGAAGCAGGCCCTAGAGAGCGACAAGCTTCCCAAAGGAGAGCAGGTATGGACTCTCCTCCAGGGTGGGGAAGTCTCAAGTCAGGCAGCAGGCGCTGTGCTAAGGTCATCAGGGGTGCTTCTCCCTACCTGAAACCCATATCCCCTCAACTGCATGCATCTCTAATGCCCCCTTGGAATTAAGACAATAATGACTAAAGGACCTTTTCTACTTGGCAAGAGAAAATTCATAGGAAATGTCACACATCTAGATTAGTCCATCCAACCTTATGGGAAGCCACCTGTAATGGTTGGTTTTTAATATTGATAATATGGGTGCTACAGAATGGCAAGGCAGGTGAGGCTTTGGGGTGAAGCAGGAGACCCATCCACTCCAAAATCTTCCCACAGACCTCCCACAGTGACAGAAATTATCCTATAAGACAGCTCTTCTTTCCTATAAACAAAAGTATTGTGTATCCAAAAGCCACCTTTGCTAGCAGTTTGGAGGAGAGGCTTATTATAGCCTTTTCTCCAGGGACAGGTTTTTTCTGTAAAGGACCAGAAAGTAAGCATTTTAGGCTGCGGGTGATACCACTTCTATCAAAACTACTCCACTTGGCCTTCAGAGGGTAAAAGTGACCACCAGCAACATGTAAATGAATGGGCATGGCCGTGTTCCAATTCAAGTTTATTTAGAAAAAGTAGCAGGCCAGATTCAGCCAGGGCACCACAGTTTGCTGCCCTCTGGTTTCGTTCATGACAAACTAGATGCAACTTTTTTTCTTTTTTTCTTTTTTTTTTTTTTGAGATGGAGTCTCACTCTGTTGCCCAGGCTGGAGTGCAGTGGCACAATATCAGCTCACTGCAACCTCTGCCTCTGGTGTTCAAGCGATTCTCCTGCCTCAGCCTCCTAAGTAGCTGGGACTATAGGCATGCACCAGCACGACCAGCTAATTTTTTTGTATCTTTAGTAGAGACAGGGTTTCACCATGTTGGTCAGGCTGGTCTTAAACTCCTGACCTTAAATGATCAGCCTCAGCCTCCCAAAGTGCTGGGATTACAGGCATGAGTCAACTTTTAAAAGTAGAGACTAGAGCCTGGGAGGGATATGTGGCAGGTCAGGGATGACGGGAGGATCAGAGTCATCCCTGCAATCCATGTGACTTCCATGTGCCGCGGCCCACAGTAGAAGCCTTGCCACAGTGGTCCCGGGTGGCACCACAGGCGGGAAGGACTGCTGGGGGACACACAACATCAGCTCTACGCCCTTCCCAGTTTCACCTCAGGCCAGCCTTAGCTAAGGAATTGTGATTTTTTCCCTGGAAATGTTTTTTTTTAAAAAAAGGACTATAACAAGAACATCTTCTTGCCTTGTTTTGTACTCTCCACCTTCCAAATCATAGGTTAGACTGCTGCTTGAAGAACTCCCTGGCTCTGGTAATTCAACAATTGCCACAAATCATTCTTGCCTTTCCTCATAGACATTCTAAATCCTGGGAGTTAACTCAGCTGCGTATTTGTCAGGAAATGCCTTTAGCTCCTTGACACACAGGATGAGAAGCACAGGATTACATGAAGATATTTAGTTACTTGCTGGGCCTCACAGGCCCAGTGGTCCACAGGCTGGGCCCTCAGGTGGGCTGTAACCTTTACTGTTGTGATAATGGCTATTAGTCTAGAGGCAACATGCTTATTCTGAGGCAGGAAGTAGCTGTTAAATTTTCAAACCATTTGCTCTGGAAATTGCTCATTCATTATATATGAGAGCAGGATGGGAAAATGCTGGAGGAATAAATGTTTTCTCTCTCAGGTTATTTTTCACTTCTCTCTTCATTCCCATTCTCATCCCCAGTCCCAGAACCTTTGCTTTATTATTTTCTTTGCTGCATTTGACTTGCTCCTATCCCAACTTTCTTTCACCTTGGAAGGAAGGAACATTTAACGCAAAAAGAAAAATTAACATGGAATCTGAAAATAGATGGAAAAACTCTGTACTCTAGATATTAGAACATTAAGAGCTGGCCTCTTCATATTAAACAGAGATTTATTGATTGCCTGCTATGTGCTAGGCTGTGTGCCATATCCACCTGCTAACCATCCTAATGGAGTTTACAGCCCAGTTGCAAAGGCAGACAATTAAACAATTGCCATAAAGTATAACAAAGGCTATGGTAAGAGAGGCATAGGGTTTTGCACAGGAAATTCACAATGGGCCTTTCCTTTAGATCCTAGACATCTTGGGTCTGGGTGCCTCCGGACCACCCATCCCGCCTCCCGCCTTATTCTCAATCGTCTCCTACCCGGTGAAGCGGCCACCTTTGACCATGACAGACGACCTGGAGCATTTTGTATTTGTGATCCCACCATCCGAAGATATATCTCTGGATGAAAAAAAAGAAATGGAAATAGAATCAGACTTTTTGGCCACCACAAACACTACAAAGGTAACACATGAGCAGTTTATTCTCCTAACCTTGGCAGGACTTCAGCAGGCAGGGAGAGAAGGTCACCCTCCACCAGACCAAAAATGGAGCCTGGCATGAGGTGTTCTGCTCGCTGGGTTATTTTCCCTTGACTCGTTGGGGATCCTACCTGAAAACCTCATGTGAGCATCCCTGAACTGCACCTTCCCTGGCTCTGACTTGTCCTACCTCCTAAGAGGAAACGGATAATGATTGATTCTCACCTAACAACCTTTGCAGTCCCCATTGGAGGGTTTAGGGAACTTGTCAAGTTACCCTGCAGCACATCCACAGTAAGAAAATAAGCAAAACTAGCACTCTTAAAAAGATATCTAATCTTTTTTAAAACATAAAAATGTGTTTTGAAGCTAAGGTGATTCGCATAGTGTGTAAGAATATAAGAATCAACACACACAAGTTAAGGGGACATGCGCCACTGCAGAAAGGATAAATTATTAAAGAAATTAGGATGGGAAGATTGGATGTTTGGGGTAAAGTCACTGTTTGTGACACAATACAGTAAAATACATTCCAGCTGGGTTAAAATATAAATAATCAAAATAAAATTGTGCAGAAATAGAAGAAAATATATGCAATTAATAGAATAAATCACAAGAAAAATAAATTTGACCAATAATATGCAGCAAGTGTGTATATTTAAAATTATAGAAGGTTTTTTTATTCCCAGAGGAGAAGGGTGGTCCACAATTTGAATCTCTGCACACAGCCTTCTATAAACCATGCACATCAGCAAAGAGAGCTCGTAACTTCACCTATAAGTCCTGCTTACATGTAAATTGGGGATAGAGACTACCCCAAACCTCAGTTTACAAGGAAGAAGGAAATCAACATCTGAGATCAGTAGCGTCGGTGGGCATGCCTCACCCAAGCAGAGAGTCCCTGGTGACATTTCAAATTGAAAAGATAAAGAAGAAAAACTTTCCATCAACCCCTTATTGTGAAAATCAGCCGGCTGGGCACTGTGGCTCAGGCCTGTAATCCCCACACTTTGGGAGGTTGAGGTGGGCAGATTGCTTGAGCCCAGATGTTTGAGACCACCCTGGGAATATGGTGAAACCCCATCTCTACAAAAAATACAAAAATTAGCCGGGCATGGTGGCATGCACCTGTAGTCCCAGCTACTCAGGAGGCTGAGGTGGGAGGATCGCTTGAGCCCTGGAGTCAGAGTTATAGTGAGTTGAGATGACACCACTGCACTCCAGCCTGGGCAATAGAGTGAGATCCTGTCTCAAAAGAAAAAGAAAAGAAAGACGGAAGGAATAGAAGAGAGAGAGGGGAAAGAAAGAAAGAAAAACAGAGGAAGGAAGCAAGGAAGGAAGGAAGGAAAAAGAGAGAAAGAGAAAAAGAAAAGAAAAAGAAATGGCACTTAAGAATGCTCAGAAGAATTCAGACTATGGAGTATTTTGTAAGAACACAAATCTGGTCTCTCTAAAAAGGCAGTGTGATTGGGAGAGGGGGCAGGAGGGTCTAGATTGAAAGATACTAAAGAAACATAACAGATCATGGCAGACAGGAGGCAGGACTGGATGCAACTCCAACTCGGGTGGATAGAGCAGCAAGTCTCGCATTGTGAATTTTAGCTCCAGAACAACTGCAGGAATAAATCAAGAAACCTGAAGGGAACCACAGACCCTCTGGAGCAAGCAGCAGACTGCTCCTGCAGGACCCAGGAGACACCCCAAATACTGTGAGTGCCCAAACTGCAGAAGTGGGAAAGGAAGATCCTCCGCCCCTGGATACACACCCCAACTGGGGAAACTGAAGGTCTAGTTTAAAGGAGAAGATTCCAACCTTACCTGGAGCTGAGTCAATTTAGAGAGTTGAGCAAAATACAGGGGTAGAGGAAGCAGCAGGAAAGGCCCTGGGAGCTCCCTAGGTCCCCAAGCAGGCCATTCCTGTCTGGCATCACAGGGATCTTTCAGGAGGACAGCCAGAGGCCCAGGGAAAATGCCACAGGGAGAAGGAAGTCTCCAGCTGAACTTTGTAACAATTTGAACTGGACGAGAAGCCTCCTGGCCAGGACTCTGGGAAGGGCACAAATCCAGCATGCAGACTCCACAGGCAGGGGAAGAACTAAAGCCATACTTGCTTTCACAGCTGGGAGGTGGGTAGCCTGGGGCAAGTTCTCAGCCCTGCTTGCCCACTGCCTGGAAACAGACTCAATGCTGTTGGTGGGGGCATGGTGGGAGTAAGACCAGCCCTTTGGATTGCATGGGAGCTGGGTGAGGCCTGTAACTGCTGGCTTTTGCCCACTTCCCTGACAACCTGCACGACTCAGCAGAGGGAGGCATAATCCTCCTAGGTACATAACTCCATTGACCTAGGAACCTCACCCCCATCCTCCACAGCAGCCACAGCAAGACCAGCCCAAAGAGAGTCTGAGCTCAGACATGCCTAGCCCTGTCCCCAACTGATGGTCCTTCCCTACCCACCCTGGTACCTGAACACAAAGGGCATATATTCTTGGGAGTTCTAGGGCACTACCCACCACTGGTTCCTTCCTCTCCATATTACCACAGCTGATGGTCTCTGGAAAGTGCCCCCTCCCATCAGGAAGCCAACCAGCACAGAAATAGAGCATTAAACCACCAAAGCTAAGAATCCTCACAGAGTTCATTTCACCCCCCTGCCACCTCCGCCAGAAGAGGTGCTGGTGTCCATGACTGAGAGACCCATAGATGTTTCACATCACAGGACTCTGTGCAGACAACCCCCGTACAAGCCCAGAGCCTGGTAGACTTGCTGGGTGGCTAGACCCAGAAGAGAGATAACCATCAGCACAGCTCGGCTCTCAGGAAGCCACATCCATAGAAAAAGGGGGAGCATACTACATCAAGGGAACACCCTGTGGGACAAAAGAATCTGAACAACAGCCTTCAGCCATAGACTTTCCCTCTGACAGAGCCTACCCAAATAAGAAGGAACCAGAAAACCAACTCTGATAATATGACAAAACAAGGCCCTTTAGTAGCCCCCCAAAATCACAGTAGCTCACTAGCAATGGATTCAAACCAAGAAGAAATCCCTGATTTACCTGAAAAAGAATTCAGGAGGTTAGTTATTAAGCCAATCAGAGAGTAACCAGAGAAAGGTGAAGCCCAGTTCCAGAAAATCCAAAAAATGATAGAAGAAGTAAAGGGAGAAATATTCAATGAAATACACAGCATAAATAAAAAACAATCAAAACTTCAGGAAATATTGAACACACTTAGAGAAATGCAAAATGCTCTGGAAAGTCTCAACAATAGAATTGAACAAGTAGAAGAAAGAAATTCAGAGCTCAAAGACAAGATCTTCTAATTAACCCAATCCAACAAAGACAAAGAAGAAAGAATAAGAAAACATGAACAAAGCCTCCAAGAAGTCTGGGATTATGTTAAATGACCAAACCTAAGAATAATCAGTGTTCCTGAGGAAGAAGAGAAATCTAAAAGTTTGGAAAACATATCTGGGGGAATAATCGAGGAAAACTTCCCCAGCCTTGCTAGAGACCTAGACATCCAAATACAAGAAGCACAAAGAACACCTGGAAAATTCATCACAGAAAGATCATCACCTAGGCACATTGTCATCAGCTTATTTAAAGTTAAGACGAAGGAAAGAATCTTAAGAGCTGTGAGACAAAAACAACATAATCAACAAAGGAAAACCTATCAGATTAACAGCAGATTTCTCAGCAGAAACCCTACAAGATAGAAGGGATTGGGGCCCTATCTTCAGACTCCTCAAACAAAAGAAGTATCAGCCAAGAATTTTGTATCCAGCAAAACTAAGCATCGTATATGAAGGAAAGATACAGTCTTTTTCAGACAAACAAATGCTGAGAGAATTTGCCACTACCAAGCCAGTATTATAAGAACTGCTAAAAGGAGCTCTAAATCTTGAAACAAATCCTGGAAACACATCAAAACAGAACTTCTTTAAAGCATAAACCTCACAGGACCTATAAAACAAAAATACAATTAAAAAAAACAAAAAAGCAAAAAACCAAGGTACACAGGCAACAAATAGCACAATTAATGGAATGGTACCTCACATCTCAATACTAACATTGAATGTAAATGCCTAAATGCTTTACTTAAAAGATACAGAACTGCAGAATGGATAAGAATTCACCAACCAACTATCTGCTGCCTTCAAGAGACTCACCTAACATATAAGGTCTCACATAAAGTAAAAGGGTGGAAAAAGGCTTTCATGCAAATGGACACCAAAAGAGAGCAGGGACAGCTATTCTTATATCAGACAAAATGAGCTTTAAAGCAACAGCAGTTTAAAAAGACAAAGAGGGACATTATATAATGGTAAAAGCCCTGTCCAACCAGAAAATACCACAGTCCTAAACACAGATGCACCTAACACTGGAGCTCCCAAATTTGTAAAACAATTACTAATAGACCTAAGAAATGAGATAGACAGCAACACAATAATAGTGGGGGACTTCAGTACTCCACTGACAGCACAAGACAGGCCATCAAGACAGAAAGTCAACAAAGAAACATGAATTTAAACTATAACTTGGAACAAATGGACTTAACAGATACATACAGAACATTCCATCCAACAGCCACAGAATACACATGCTACTCAACAGTTCATGGAACTTTCTCCAAGATAGACCATATGATAGGCCGCAAAATGAGCCTCAATAAATTTAAGAAAATTGAAATTATATCAAGCACTCTCTCAGACCACAGTGGAATAAAACTGGAAATCAACTCCAGAAGGAACCTTCAAAGCCATGCAAATACATGAAAATTAAATAACCTGCTCCCGAATGATCACTGGGTCAAAAACAAAATCAAGATGGAAATTTAAAACTTCATAGAACTGAATGACACAACCTATCAAAACCTCTGGGATACAGCAAAGGTGATGCCAAGCAGAAAGTTCACAGCCCTAAATGCCCACATCAAAAAGACTGAAAGAGCACTAACTGCCAATCTAAGGTCACACCTCAAGGAACTAGAGAAACAAGAACAAATCAAACCCAAACCCAGCAGAAGAAAGGAAATAACCAAGGTCAGAGCAGAACTAAATGAAATTGAAACAAAAAAAAAAGCAATACGAAAGATAAATGAAACAAAAAGCTGGTTCTTTGAAGAGATAAATAAAATTGATAGACCATTAGCAAGATTAACCAAGAAAAGAAGAGAGAAAAATCCAAATAACCTCAATAAGAAACAAACAGGAGATATTACAACTGACACCACAGAAATACAAAAGATCATTCAAGGCTACTATGAACACCTTTACACTCACAAACTAGGAAACCTGGAAGAGATGGATAAACTCCTGGAAAAATACAACCCTCCTAGCTTAAATCAGGAAGAACTAGATACCCTGAACTGACCAGTAACAAGCAGTGAGATTGAAATGGTAATTTAAAAATTACCACCAAAAAAAAGTCCAGGACCAGATGGATTCACAGCAGAATTCTACCAGACATTCAAAGAAGAATGGATACCCATCCTATTGACACTATTCCACAAGATAGAGAAAGAGGGAACCCTCCCTAATTCATTCTATGAAGCCAGCATCACCCTAATTCCAAAACCAGGAAGGGACACAACCAAAAAAAGAAAACTGCAGGCCGATATGCCTGATGAACATAGATGCTAAAATCCTTAACATTTAGCTAACCAAAATCCTTAACATTTAGCTAATCAAATCCAACAGCATATCAAAAAGTTAATCCACAATGATCAAGTGGGTTTCATACCAGGGATTCAGGGATGGTTTAACATATGCAAGTCAATAAATGTGATATACCACATTAACAGAATTAAAAACAAAAATCACATGATCATTTCAATAGATGCAGAAAAAGCCTTTGACAAAATCCAACATCCCTTTATGATTAAAACTCTCAGCAAAATCAGCATACAAGGAACACACCTCAATGTAAAAAAAGCCATCTGTGACAAACCCAAAGCCAACATAATACTGAATGAGGAAAAGTTGAAAGTGTTCCCTCCAAGGACTGGAACAAGACAAGGATGCCCACTCTCATCACTCCTCTTCAACATTGTACTGGAAATCCTCGCCATAACAATCAGACAAGAGAGAGCAATAAAGGGTATCCAAATCAGCAAAGAGGAAGTCAGACTCTCACTGTTTGCTGATGACGTGGTCATTTACTTTGAAAACCCTGAAGACTCCCTAGAAAGATCCTAGAACTGACAAAAGAATTCAGCAGTTTCTGGATACAAAATTAATGTACACAAATCAGTAGCTCTTCTATACACCAACAATGACCAAGCAGAGAATCAAATCAATAACTCAACCTCTTTTACAATAACTGCAAAAAAACAAATAAAATACTTAGGAATATACCTAACCAAGGAGGTGAAAGACCTCTGCAAGGAAAACTACAAAACACTGCTGAAAGAAATCATAGATGACACAAACAAATGGAAACATCTCATGCTCATGGATGGGTAGAATCAATATTGTGAAAATGACCATACTGCCAAAAGCAATCTACAAATTCAATGCAATTTCCATCAAAATACCACCATCATTCTTCACAGAATTAGGAAAAAATTATAAAATTCATATGGAACCAAAAAAGAGCCCACATAGCCAAAGCAAGACTAAGCAAAAAGAACAAATCTGGAGGCATCACACTACCTGATTTCAAACTATACTGTAAGGCCATAGTCACCAAAACAGCATGTTACTGATATAAAAATAGGCATATAGACCAATGGAACAGAATAGAGAACCCAGAAAGAAACCCAAATACTTACAGCCAACTGGTCTTCGACAAAGCAAACAAAAACATAAAGTGGGGAAAGGACATCCTTTTCAACAAATAGTGCTGGGATAATTGGCTAGCCACATGTAGGAGAATGAAACTGGATCCTCATCTCTCACCTTATACAAAAATCAACTCAAGATGGATTAAGGACTTAAATCTAAGACCTGAAACTATAAAAATTCTAGAAGATAACATTGGAAAAACCCTTCTAGACATTGGCTTAGGCAAGGATTTTATCACCAAGAACCCAAAAGCAAATGCAATTAAAACAAAGATAATTAGCTGGAACTTAATTAAACTAAAGAGCTTTTGCATGGCAAAGGTAGCAGTCAGCAGAGTAAACAGACAACCTACAGAGTGGGAGAAAATCTTCACAATCTGTACATCTGACAAAGGACTAATATCCAGAATCTACAATGAACTGAAACAAATCAGCAAGAAAAAAACAAATAATCCCATCAAAAAGTGGGCTAAAGACATGAATAGACAATTCACAAAAGAAGATATACAAATGGCCAACAAGCATATGAAAAAATGCTCAACATCACTAATGATCAGGGAAATGCAAATCAAAACCACAATGTGATACCACCTTACTCCTGCAAGAATGACCATAATCAAAAAATAAAAAATAAATAAATAAATAAAAACAGTAGCTGTTGGCATGGATGCGGTGCATCAAGAAACACCCTTCTACACTGCTGATGGGAATGTAAACTAGTACAACCACTATGGAAAACAATGTGGACATTCCTTAAAGAACTAAAAGTAGAACTGCAATTTGATCCAGCAGATCTGGATCTAGATACTGCATATCTACCCAGAGGAAAAGAAGTCATTATACGAAAAAGATACTTGCACACACATGTTTATAGCAGCACAATTCACAATTGCAAAATGGTGGAACCATCCCAAATGCCCATCAGTCAACAAGTGGATAAAGAAACTGTGGTATATATATACACAAAGGAATACTACTCAGCCATAAGAAGGAATGAATTAACGGCATTCACAGCTACCTGAATGATATCGGAGACTATTATTCTAAGTGAAGTAACTCAGGAATGGGAAACATCGTATGTTCTCACTGATATGTGGTAGCCAAGCTATGGGGACACAAAGGCATAAGAATGATACAATGGACTTTGGGGACTTGGGGGGAAGGGTGGGAGAGGGCAAGAGATAAAAGACTACAAATAGGGTGCAGTGTATACTGCTCGGGTGATGGGTGCACCAAAATCTCACAAATCGCCACCAGAAAACTTACTCATGTAATCAAATACCACCTGTACCCCAATAACCTATAAAAAATAGAAAAATAATAAAAAATTAAAAAAGAAACATAACAAAACACAATATAGGAACTTTGATTAATACTTATTTGGGAAAAAATGTCTATAAATAAAGACATGCCTGAGGCCAGGCGCGGTGGCTCACGCCTGTAATCCCAGCACTTTGGGAGGCTGAGGCAGGTGGATCGCGAGGTCAGATCGAGACCATCCTGGCTAACATGGTGAAACCCCGTCTCTACTAAAAATACACAAAATTAGTCAGGCGTGGTGGCAGGCGCCTGTAGTCCCAGCTACTTCAGAGGCTGAGGCAGGAAAATGGCGTGAACCCAGGAGGCGGAGCTTGCAGTGAGCTGAGATGGCACCACTGCACTGCAGCCTGGGCGACAAAGCGAGACTCTATCTCAAAAAAAAAAAAAAAAAAAAAAAAAGACATGCCTGAGACAAATAGGAAAATTTTAATATAGACTGTGTGCCAGAACGATAGTGTGGAATTATTGTTCATTTTCTTAGGTGTGATGACAGTATTGTGCAGGATTGCAGGAGAAAGTCCTTTCTTGAGGAGGTGTATTTAGAGGCAAGGAGTCATCATGTCTGCAAGGTATCTTCAAATGGCTCAGGAGAAAAAGTGGCAACTGTTAAAACTAGTTATTACTGTACCAGGCCTTCAACTCTTAAAGTTTTCTTTTTTAAAAGATGGTGGAAATGATAAATAAATTAAAGGCAAAAATTTTTTTTTGATCAGGAAACATGAAAATACCACTAGAAAAATGGGAACTTCTTATTAAACACAGCAGATTAAACACATGTTTATCTCTACCTCTCCCAAAACAGTAAGATTTTCTTTTCATGTATAATTCTAAGAATAAAGAGAAGGAGAGAGAGCTGGTGGTGAGGGGTATATGCCAACAAAATATTAGGAAGTAGACAGCAAGCAGATGGGGATAACTGGCTTAGTGGTACCAAGAAGGCTACAATCCCCGCTGTCCATTGTGGGTTCTGCCAGGAGCTAAGACTTGAGTTCCACGCACACCCTCCAGCTTCCAGCTTTCTCTAGGGTTTCATCCTCCTTCTGAGGGACTAGGGTGCCAAGGAATGCACTGGTCTTGTCACTACCCAAGACTAGACCCTGCCCTGCTCTAGCCTTCCTGACCCTGCAGCACCATCTCCCCAGATGACAGACATGTGGCCATCTCTGTCTTCTGTTTGTGTGTACAAAAAGTGAATATTTAAGACCTCATGCTCGTTTTTAATTAAGGCTCAAGAGGAGCAGACCAGCTCATCTAAGGGGGGCAAACAGAAAATGAAAGAAAAGATAGACCAAGTCTTCGAGATTCAGAAAGACAAGCGTCACATGGCCTTAAACAGGAAGGTCCTTTCTGGGGAACCTGCTGGAACCATTTCCCAGCTGTCAGATACAGACCTGGACAACTTCAACGGGCAGCACTCCCAGGAGAAATTCACCAGGTGGGCCTTCCAGCAACCCAGGGAGGGGAATCTGGGCCAAAGCCCACACTGAGGGTGTGACTGTCACAGCACTGGAGGGGAACAGAGCTGTCCTGTCTGTGGGGCTCCAGGGGCCACCATGCCCACCCCAACAGGACAGGACTTCCAGGCAGCTCTCCTGTCTTCTCTTGGCCAGAGGGGAGCACTCTCACTTTATAAACCTGTGTGGTCATTTGCAGACTGAATCACTTCCGGTGGATCGTGCCAGCCAATGGCGAGGTAACGTTGCAGGTGCACTTCTCTTCTGATGAGTTCGGGAACTTTGACCAAACCTTTAACTTTGAGATCCTAGGAACTTGCTGCCAGTACCAGCTCTACTGCCGAGGCATCTGCACTTACCCATACATTTGCCAAGACCCAAAGTAAGTGTGTTTCATTTTAAAAGAAAAGGTTGACAGATGTGTTTTCATTTTCCTCCATGGCACTTTGAACAAGGTGGCTCTTACCATAACGTGGAGCTGGGGCAGCACCCCAGCCCCTCTTGTCATATCAGCTTCCATGTCTTGAATATTGACCAAGAGCCACAGGGAGGACATGATACTACCAGGATTCCTAGACTGCAATAAAGAGAATGATCATAGGTGCAAAGGGGGAGGAAAAAAGTCTTCCTTTGGCAAATTAGTTTGCTCATTTAACTATTAAGCAAATTTAAAGCAGTTCTATCCTGTAGTATAGAAACCATGTGTGACTCTGCATGGGTGAAATTTTTCCAAGCTACTGAACACCACTGTAGAGCTCCTACACTACAGAAAAGCACCTGGCTGAGCAACTGGCCATATTAGACCAAGGGACTCAGAAGCTAATTCATATCTCCCAGAACCAATTTTCCATAGGGATTCTCAGGAATGTTTTCAGCTGGGTGCACTGGGACAGAATATCTGACTCAGCTCTGTCACTGCTCCTCATTATAGAAGACACCACTGGGAGTCTTTTTTTTTCAAGTTCATTTCATACTGTCTTCTCTGGTGGTGGGAAGGAGCTGGGACAAAGAAGAGTCACTCTGTCTCCAGATGCCCGGATCCCGTGTTGAGCAGGGAATATTGGGTTTATGTAAACATCACGTGGCAGCATCAAACTTCTGTTCAGGCAGCCTCTCCTCACCTTTTCCCCTCCTGTGTTCAGAGTGGTATTTCCTCAGCGGAAGATGGACATGAAGACAAATGAGGTCATCTTTAAGAAGTATGTTATGAGCACGGAGACGTACTACTTTGGGCCACTACTTTGTGGAAAATCAAGAGATAAGTAAGTGTTCCATTATTTTAAAGCAGATTTCAGACTGCTGGGTTGGGCTCATGAACAGTGCAAGTAGGATTCCTGTGTACATAGATGTAGCTTTTACTAATGCTGCCTCTCTTAGCCCCAACCACAAATCAGGAGAACTGGGTTCTTGTGTCCCAACTCCCTGCTGGACACCCAGAGGAATGAGGGTGCCATGTTCCCATATGGGAAAGCCTAGGAGAGGTTTCAGGCTTGATCAGGGTAGGATCAAGAGTTTGCTTTAGCTTATGTTCAGTTTAAGAGGCTGGGAAGATATTTCTGTAGTTACATGAAGCAGAGAATAGGTTATACAGCTTTGGTTCTCAAAGGAGAGATCACTCTTCAAGGCAACAAAAGCCACAGACGTAGATGAGATTGCCTGAGAGAGGACTGTACAGGTAAGAAGAAAAGAAGCCCTGAATAACTCCAATATGCACAAAAGGAGGAGCAAGGAGATGAGAAAGAGAGCTAGCGCTATTGGGGAAACCAAAAAGACCAGTGTTATGGAGCCATGAAGAGAGGACATGGTTGCTACACTGAATACTGAGGAGAGGGCAGAAGGATGAGGGCATAGATGTCCACAGGGTTCAACAACATGGAGGTCACTAGGGGCCTTAGCAAGAGTTCTGTGCCCAAGCAAAGTGAAGTGAGAAGTCAGATGTGAAGAAGATAACTCTTTGGAGAAGCTTGGCTCTGAAGGGAGATGGGAGGAAAGCCTGGAGCGCAGGGCAGGCTGTTCGTGCGCTGTTATTCTTATGAGGCTTGCATGCTGAGAGGAAATGGAAGGAAGAGGTTGGAATTTCAGGAGATGGGAAGGGCCATCAATGGCATAGCTCCTTGAGACAACACAGTGGGATGTGGGGAGGCTGGCTTGTGCCAGGAAGAGGGACTGTCACTGCATGCCAACGGGGAGAAAGGCGAGATGGCATTGCAGAAGGTAGGTTTACAATTTGATTGGAAGGGTGAGGAGACTCCTACGCAATCATGTCTTTTTCTCCTTGACAAATGATGTGTGGTCATCCATTGCAAGTGAGGGGAGTGGCGAAAGTTTAAAATCTTGAGGAAATAGAGGGGGTATGAAAAACAGTTTTTGTGGAAAGTAGGAGAGGGAGCATGTTAGAGAAACAGACTGAGATTTTTAGGCAGAATTGGGGACCCACAGGTGAGACTGATGATCAGCCATTCTTAGCAATTCTAGTTTTTTTTCAGTTATATACAAATTTCTTATCATATAGGCAGGGAGTGAAACCAAAACTGGAACCAAGGTCTCCACCATGTCTTCATTCAATACAATGTTTCTTGTGCTAAGTAGAGGGTGTTAATTTCTGGGCTTTCTCGGTGCAGCTTATGGGCCATCTTTGTCCTCCATTCCCTTATTACCTCCACTTTATTCCCTGAGATGCTGGATTAAAAATTGAAGATGAAGGGAATTTGCTGATGATGGAGAAGATCTTCAAAGCCAGACAGGAGGGCTTAGGAGGGAAAAGTATGGTCAGGTTGATGGACATGAGGTACAGAACAGTCTGGGAGTAGGAGTCAGGGAAATGATGGTTGTTCAAAGAGGCACATGTTTGGGGCAGCATTGGAATTAACCAGGATGTTGGGCGAGATGACACTGATGTGGGAAGGACAGTGACTATGGTAATCCAAAATAAGTTCCAGTACAACTGTGTATTATTCACTCATTCTTTTCTTTTCTTGTCTTTTTTTTTTTTTTTTTTTTTAAGATAGGGTCTTACTCCGTCACCCAGGCTGGAATGCAGTGGTGCAATCTCAGCTCACTGCAGCCTTGAGCTCCCAGGCTCAAGCAATCCTCCCACCTCTGCCTCCCCAGTAGCTGGGACTACAGGTGTGTGCAACCACACCTGGCTAATTTTTGTAGAGATGGGGTTTCACCATGTTGCCCAGGCTGGTCTCGAACTCCGAGCTCAAGCAATCTGCCCACCTCAGCCTCTCAAAGTGCTGGATTACAGGCGTGAGCCACTGTGCCAAGCCTGTTCACTTATTATTTTAAACCGTGCTGAGCCTCAGTGTCCTCATCTGCAAAATGGGAAAGCAACAAATTCGTGAGGACTGAACTGGGTAACGCACCTGGAGCCTTTAGCACAGTGCCGGATGGAAGTGATTAGCGGTTAAGTGAGAAGGCGGCACCCCTTTGGCAGATATTCATACGGAGTGTTCTCTGTTTCACTGACTCTCATTTGGTCTCTGTCATTCTCTCTCCTTTCATCCTCCATCATGGCCTATCTAAAACCTTTTTCAGAGTGTTTCTGCTTTCCTAGCCTGTGCCGTGACCTCTGATGATGTGCCTCTTTTTCCCTTGGGCCTTCTGGTTTGCTTCGCTCAGTTACTATTAACTGAGTCTCCCTCAGTGCCCCCAGTGCTCAACTCTGCAGATCTCTCCTTAAGGTACTAAGGAACAGAAACTGCCTCCTAACAGTGAACAAGGCCAAATGAATTCATGTCAGAACAGTAACATTCTCTGAGGGTTTGGGAGAAGGAGGTGAATGAGGTCATCTCTAAAACAGATGTGAAATAAAAAATTACTCAAGTGAGGCCGGGCACGGTGGCTCATGCCTGTAATCCCAGCACTTTGGGAGGCCCAGGCAGGCGGATCATCTGAGGTCACCAGTTCGAGACCAGCCTGGCTAACATGGTGAAACCCCGTTTCTACTAAAAATACAAAAAATTAGCCAGGTGTGGTGGCATGCACCTGTAATCCCAGCTACTTGGGAGGCTGAAGCAGGAGAATTGCTTGAACCCAGGAGGTGGAGGTTGCAGTGAGCTGAGATTGCGCCACTGCACTCCAACTTGGGCAACAAGAACGAAACTCCCTCAAAAAAAAAAAAAAAAAAAAAAAAAAAAAAAAAAAAAAAAAGTTACTCAAGTGATAATCTCTCTCAGGGATATAAGCAGGTGTAAGGATAGATCTACATATTTCTCAGGATTCTTTGCAATAATCATAGCTAACATTCACTGGGCATTTGCTATCCACAGCTGTCCTGAGAGCTTTAGATGTGTGATCTCACTTCCTACTCAGCAGTCCTAAGTGGTATTATCACCTCATTTTAGAGATAAGGAGACCAAGGCTTGAGGGAGCCAAGTCACAGTGTAGCATTTATTCTCCAAGGCAAGTCTGCACAACTACAGATCTCATGTTCTTAGCCACCATGCCACTGCCTCCATGCAGCCACACTGTCCCTCTGAATTGCCTTTCTCATCACAGCCTTCTTTTCCACCTGCATTCTCATTCAGTCTTCATACCGTTAACCCCATTCTTGTTCATCCCCAGGTACAAGTCATCCTTATTCCCAGGCAACATGGAGACGCTAACAATCCTGAACACTTCCTTAATGGTGGTGGAGGCATCCTTCTATTTTCAGAATGATGTCAAAGCAAACACGTACTTCCTGGAACCCAACACCATGGTCCTGAAACCCAATGAGAAGCAGGTACGGTCATGTGGACACAAGTCACCAGGGCAAGGCTTTCTTGGGAAATTTGAGGCCTTGGCATCCTTGGTGTAAATGTACTTTCTTTTGACTTTTCCTTCCATCAGATATTAAACGTATGGGCCTACCCTACTTCAGTTGGTGTCTTTGAAGACAGCATTGTCTGCTGCATCAATGACAACCCAGAGCCAGCCATCTTCCAATTAAGCTGCCAGGGGATCCGCCCGGAACTAGAGCTGGAACCCAGGCAATTACATTTTGACCGGCTCTTGCTGCACAGGTCAGAGTTCTAGATCATGTCAGGACTGGAAGGGAATTTAAAGAGCGTTTAGTTCTAGGGTAACCAACTCATCCTGATTTACTCCAGACTCTCCTGGTTTTAGCACTGAAAGTTCTGCACCCTGGGAAACTCCTTGGTCCTATGCAAACCAGGATGGTTAGTAAACCTATTTAATTAACAGATTGTTAACTTGGGTTCAGTGGATGAACTTCAGCAGGGCCAAGGACCCCCCTAAGATCAACTACCAAAATATGCGTATGTCTGTGTTTCTGCAGAAGGACCAGCTTTCTTCAGATTCTCAAAGCAGTCTGTTGCCCAAGAGGTTAAGAATCTTTGCTCTAGAAGTTAGAGTAGAAGCAGAACATTAGACCAAAACTAGAACTTACATATTCATTAATTGGAATTATTATTGGAATTGGTATTATTATTCTAAATAGAAAAATGTTTATTTCTGGGGCTTCTGGGAGAGAATATTGTTATGATACGTGTCCTGCATTCTTTAATCACCACCACCAGCCCCATTTCCTGATAAATACTAATTAAAGAACTAAGTAATAACTGAAGTAACCAAAAGTGCTTTTTCTTACCTCCAGTGAGTCATGATCATGCCACTACACTCTAGCCTGGGTGATAGAGTGAAACCTTGTCTCGAAAAAAAAAAAAAGCATAGAGAGAAAAATATTGGTAAAAATGAGCAGAACCCCGGTAAATAGTGGGACAACATCAAGCAGTCTAACTAACATATTTGTGATTGGAATCCCAGAAGGAAAAGAGAGAGAGTGGGACAAAAAAAAAAAAAAAAATATATATATATATATATATATATATATTTAAAGAGTAGATGGAACTTTCCCAAATTTGGTGAAAAAGCAAAAACTTATAGTTCCAAGAAGCTTAGCAAACCTTAAGCTGGATAAATATAGTTATAGCCCAAGTCTTGCCACTAAATCTGTGACTTCGGGGCCATCAATTAACCTCTCTAAGCTTCAGGGATTTTTTTTGTTTCGAGACAGAGTCTCACTCTGTCGCCCAGGCTGGAGTACAGTGGTGCGATCTCGGCTTGCTGCAACCTCTGCCTCCCGGATTCAAGCGATTCTCCTGCCTCAGCCTCCTGAGTAGCTGGGATTATGGGTGGGCATGTGCCACCACACCCAGCTAACTTTTTGTATTTTTGTTTTTAGTAGAGACAGGGTTTTGCCATGTTGCCCAGGCTGGTCTCAACTCCTGAGCTCCGGTAATTCACCCATCCCAACCTCCTGAAGTGCTGGGATTACAGGCTGAGCCACTGTGCCTGGATGTTTCAGGTTTTTTATAGGTCATCTGGGGTTAATAATATCAACTCCACCTATTTTATATAATAGATTAATAACCAAGAAATAACACATTAAGTCAATACATTAAGTCAAAGTTTAGTCCAACTACTTAAAAGCAGAAATTAAGAGAAAATCTTGAAAGCAGCCAGGATAAAATGAAATACAATATGACTGACGCTTCATCAGTAACAAAGGAAGCTGGAAGACAATAGAATGGCATTTTTAATGTGCTAAAGGAAAATACGGTTGACCTTTGAACAATGCAGGTTTGAACTGGGTGGGTCTGCTTATATGTGAATTTTTTTTTCAATGAAACACAAAGTAAAAATATGGTAGACCTAAATAAAACAATTCGAAAAAGGGTTAAGAAATGTTGTTCAGCACCCACACATGAAAGAGAAACTGCAATTTTTAAAAATCATATGCTTGGCCGGGTGCAGTGGCTCACGCCTATAATCCCAGCACTTTGGGAGGCCGAGACGGGCAGATCACGAGGTCAGGAGTTCAAGACCAGCCTGGCTAACACAGTGAAACCCCGTCTGTACTAAAAATACAAAAATTAGCCAGGCATGGTGGCGGGTGCCTATAATCCCAGCTACTCAGGAGGCTGAGGCAGGAGAATTGCTTGAGCCTGGGAGGCAGAGGTTGCAGTGAGCCGAGATCACACCACTGCACTCCAGACTGGATGACAGAGCAAGACTCCGTCTCCAAAAAAAAAAAAAAAAAAGAAAGAAAATATATGCTAAGTATTATGGCCATTATCCTTAGCAAACTAATGCAGGAACGGAAAACCAAATACCCCATGTTCTCACTTGGAAGTGGGAGCTAAGTGATGAGAACCAGTGGGCACAAAATGGGGAGCAACAGACACTTGAGGATGCTTGCGGGTGGAGGGTGGGAGGAGGGAGAGGAGGAGAAAAAATAACTATTGGGTACTAGGCTTAGGACCTGGGTGATGGAATAATCTGTACAGCAAACCCCCATGACATGTGTTTACCTATACAACAAACCTGCACATGAACCCCTGAACCTAAAACAAAAGTTAAAAAAAAAACACATGAAACTACAAAATTTGAAATGAAATTGCAACTTTCCTTTTGTCTCTGCAGACAGGAATCCAGGGTAGTTCTTCTCCGCAATGTCACGCTCCTGCCTGTGGCCTGGCGGATCACCAGCCTGGAGCACTTGGGTGATGATTTCACTGTATCCCTGATGCAGGGGACCATCCCCCCTGAGGCTGAGTACGGCCTGCACCTGTACTTTCAGCCCACCAAGCCTGTCAACATCAAGAAGGCTATTCGGTTGGAGGTGAGGCTTCACACATCCACAGACTTGGTTATCAAAGCATGTACACACACACACACACACACACACACACACACACACACACACACACAGAGGTCTCCCTGTTACATGCTCCTATCTGATCCCCTTTCGATATCCCCAGTCCACAATCTCTTGCTGTGCACACAACTGCAAGCTCCATAGAGGCAATATTGCTTATGGCTGATTCCCCAGTGCCAGGAACAGAGCAATCAATGTGGAAGGAAGGAACAAATAAATGAATGAATGAATGAATGAATGAATGAATGAACAAATGAACAAATGGTGTTGCTATACCTAGGTAAGCATCAGAGTCCTGATTTCACACTCCTAAACCCAGTCACCTATCGGATTCCTATCTGGGGAAATGTCACCCTCCACCCTGTTGCTCCCAACAGACACCTGGGGATCAGCCTTAATTCCCCCTTTTCTTAATGGCCTCCCTTCCGACGCAGGCCTCCAACAAAGGTTGCTAATTTTACCTCCCAATGTATCTTTTTTTTTTTTTTTTTGAGATGGAGTCTCGCTCTGTCACCCTGGCTGGAGTGCAGTGGTGTGATCTCGGCTCACTGCAACCTCCACCTCCAGGGTTCAAGCAATTCTCCTGCCTCAGCCTCCAGAGTAGCTGGGACTACAGGCACGCGCCACTACACCCAGCTAACTTTTTGTATTTTTAGTAGAGACGGGGTTTCACCATGTTGGCCAGGCTGGCCTCAAACTCCTGACCTCAAGTGATCCTCCTGCCTCGGCCTCCCAAAGTGCTGGGATTACAGGCATGGTGCCTCCCGATGTATCTTTCCCATCCACTTCTTTCTCCTCGCTGTTGCCACCACCTTGTCCAGGCCACCTGCAGCTTCTCTCACCTGGACTTCTACAGAGGTTTCCTAACTGGCTTCCCTGTTGGCATTCGCCACAGTGTCCAGAGGGATCTTTACAATGTCATTCAGACAGGTTATGCCCCACCTAACGCACTCTCCTGGCTTCCCACTGCAGTAGGAATAAAGCCCGGGGTCCTCACCTGCCTCTGAGACAATGCCTGCCTCCACATCGCAACTTGCTCCACCCTCGCCCTCAATCATTGGCTCCCACGCACTGTCTTGGCTGTTTCTTGGCTCAAGCCACTGACCTTGTTGCAACCCTGCTGGGAATCTGCCCTTAGGCTCCAGCTTTAGGGTCCCCCAACATTGCTGTTTCAACTGGGCTTCTCTAATCATCCCTTTGAGAGAATCCCTCTTACGTGCAATAACCCACCCCGTCTTCCATCCTTCAGAGCACCACCTCTTCCTAACATTATCCTGCTTCTTTCTTTACTTTCTTATATGAACTGCATCAGGGCAGGATCTCACCTGACTTAACATCTGTCTTAGTTCCCCAAGGCTACTACAACAAATTAGCATATACTGGGTGACTAAAAAACAGACATTCCTCTCTCACCGTTCTGGAGGCGAGATGTCCAAAATCAAGGTGCCGGCAGGGCCATGCTCTCTCTGAAGGCTCCAGGGAAGAACCCTTCCTCTCTCTCCCCTTCAGCTTCTGGGGTCTCCTGCGAGTGTTCTCAGCTTGTGGCTGCATCACTCCAGTCTCTGCCTCTGTCATCATCACAACACCTCTTCTGTCTGTGTCTTCTCTTCCGTCTCTTATAAGAATATTTATCATTGGATTTAAGGCACACTCAGATAATCTAAGACGATCTCATCTCTAGATCTTTGACTTAATTAAATCCACAAATACCCTTTTTTCCAAATAAGGTCATATTCACAGGCTCCAGGAGTTAAGAAGTAGACATACTTTTTGGGGGACCACAGTTCAACTCCCCATACCATCATATTCCCAGTGTCTAGCATGGGATTGGATGAAGTAGGCACTCAGCAGAATCTAATGAATGAATGAATGCCATTGAGTTTTAGTACTTGAACTAGGCCGGGCATGGTGGCTAACGCCTGTAATCCCATCATTTTGGGAGGCCTAGGTGGGTAGATCACTTGAGGTCAGGAGTTCAAGACCACCCTGGCCAACATGGTGAAATTGCACCTCTAAATACAAAAATACAAAATTACAAAAATTACAAATTACAAAAATTAGCCGGATGTGGTGGCGCACGCCTGTAACCCCAGCTACTCGGGAGGCTGAGGCAGGAGAATCACTTGAACCCTGGAGGCGGAGGTTGCAATGAGCCAAGTTCGCACCACTGCACTCCAGCCTGGGCAAGAGAGCAAGACTCTGTCTCAAAAAAAAAAAAAATACTTGAACTGATTCTTTGACATTCACGGGATCATCCCAGCTTCTCTTTGAATGCTTCCAGGAACACAAAATTTACCACTACCGCTTAAAGCAGCCTGTTCTGCCTTTAAACAGGTCTGTCAATTCTTCTTTGGGTTGAGCTCAGAATTCTTCCTGTCAATTACATGCATGAATCATGTTTCTACCTTTTGGGGCCACTCAGTGGATCTAATCTCTCTTATCCCTTATCAATGACAGCCCTTCACTGAAAGGGCTGAAAACAGATATTGATAGATTCATTCACTCCATGAATGTGTAGAAGCCCAGAGGTTCTGGTCAACGCTTTTAGCACCAGCCTCTGCACAGGCACAGAGCTCTGCACCAGGTACCCAGACCCCTGGCTGGTGTAGGGCCTGGAGTCCCACAGCTGTGCCAGCTTCGTCCTCTAGTTGCTGGATCATGGGGAGTCCAGGGGTTCCTGTGGTGGGGATGCACAGGAGGCAGGCAGCAAGGGGATATTGGAGAGGTCATCATGACAGCTGCTTACCAACTGGTACAGAAAGGCTTTTGTTTTTATTATTATTTTGTTTTATTTTTCTTGACACAGGGTCTCACTCTGTTGCTCAGGCTGGAGTGCAGTGGTGCAATCTCAGCTCACTGCAACTTCCACCTCCTGGGCTCAAGCAATCCTCCCACCTCAGCCTCCTGAGTAGCTAGGACCACAGGCGTGCACCACCACACCCAGCTAATTTTTGTATTTTTTGTAGAGATGAGGTCTTGCCATGTTGCCCAGGCAGGTCCCAAACTCCTGAGCTCAAGCGATCTGCCCCCCTTGTCCTCCCAAAGTGCTGGGATTATAGGCGTGAGCCACTGCAACCGGCCACATTTTTGTATTTTCACAACTGTTGTGACCATCTCCATGTGTCCCAGCCAAACAGCAGCCTGATTAGGGCTCTGAACAAAGCAGCGTGGAACTCCGTAGAGCCCCGCAAAGTGAACTTATATTCACTTCCACATCCACAGAAGGAAATGCCTTCATCTCCAGTCCCTTTTGAAAGCCTTTGGTGAACTTGTTTTATTTCATCTGTATAACTCTTCAATTGTCCTTCCTATTTTCCTCAATTCAAAATTCAGCCTCCCCACTGCCTCCGACCCACCCTGGGGAAGCCGAGAAATAGAAGGCTCCAGGCACTTGGCATCCCTCAGGAGGGAGGCACTACACACATCCTGTCAGCCCACCTTGTCATCTGTCAGAGGGCAAGCAGTCAGAGAAAGAAGGCGAAACTCAAGTCGGTCCAGTTTGCTCTGTGAAACATTGGCAAGCATCTAATGAAAGAGAAGATGGAAATTCTGAATTAAAACTTGAGTTTGGTGACAGCTGCAAATTTCCTTCTGGCACCCAAAGCACATGCAATAGGGAGTGGGTGGCTTGGGCTTTCAACTGGAGCAGAGACAGAGGTGGACTCCCCAGAGCAGACCCAGGAGAGCTTCCCCCACTGCCCCCCAGTTCTTTTCCTGGACAGATGGACCCTTTACCGCCTCCTAGTTAGCCTCAAGAGGCAACAGTTGGTTCATGTCATTTACCCACTTTTTGATGGGATTATTTGGGGATTTTTTTGTTGATTTGATTGAGTTCCTTGTATATTCTGGATATTAGTCCTTTGTCAGATGCATAGTTTGCAAATATTTTCTGCCATTCTGTGGGTTGTCAGTCTAACCATTTGTACCCCCAAAAGCTATCAAAATAAAATATATGTATATATAAAGAAGAGGGAAAAAAAGAGTCAGCAATCAGGTCAGGCTGACAGCTGCAGCAGTTTAGAGGTGCCAGAGAACAATGAGGGAGGGACCATCCCCAGGCATGACAACAGAGGGGTCCACGATATTCACAGAAATAAAACATTGGGTATTTCCAAACATTAAACACTTGCTTTCTACGAAAAGTCTAGCACTTTCCCCACAGGCTGAGCCACAAACAAAGAACAGAACGATTCAAATTTATAAAATGAGTAGAGCAAGGATGACCTGGAGCATGAAGGTTTTCCATTTCAACTGTCAGGGCAGTGCTCACTAGGTTCATTTGATTTAGAAGTTAAAAAAAAAAAAAAAAAACAGTTGGGCATGATGGCTCACATCTATAACCCCAACACTTTTGGAGGCTGAGACGGGAGGATTGTTTGAGTTCAAGAGTTCAAGACCAGCCTAGGCAACATGGTGAAACCCCATCTCTATAAAAAACAATACAAAAATTAGCCAAGCATGATGATGCACTCCTGTAGTCCCACCTACTCGGGAGGCTGAGATGGGAGGATGGCTTGAGCCCGGGAGGTTGAGGCTGCAGTGAGCCGAGATTGCGCCACTGCACTCCAGCCTGGGTGACAGAGTGAGAGCCTGCCTCAAAAAAGAAAACCACTTTCCTGTAATGTCTACCCCAAGCCCAAACTTCAGTAATGTAGCAACAATAAAAAAGTCAGTCCCTTTTCCCCATTCTTGTATTCTTTGTACCAGCATTCCCCAGAGTATTAAGAGGAGCACAAATCCTACCAAATGCTTGGCGAAGATAAAATACCTACAGGGGAATACACTTCAAAACGTTCCCTGCCGTATCCCCGTTAGGATATTACATGTTTCAGGCTCCAAGCACCTATAGGTCTTGCTTTTACTGAAGACTTTCCCTTTCCCTGCCAGGTTTTAGATGCAGAAAATCTTCTTGGTGTTGTTCAGATTGAAAATATCATGGTCTTTGCAGAGGCATACGACATCGCCTTGGACATCACCTTCCCCAAAGGTCTGTTGGGCCCTTCAAGGACAGGATGTTTGGAAGTTGGGTCTTTTGTATAGTGTATTTCTGTGTAGAGAAAGGCTAGTGTGTTGTTAGTATTGCAGGGATTGGGCATGGGGCAATTTTAATAAATAATAATGTGAGCCCCAGAGTGATATTAGCAGCATGACTACAAATCGTAATTTCTCCAACCAGAGGTAGAAAGCGGGTGGTCATAGGTGTAAAATTTGCAGAGCTCTTTTCAGAGCAGTCATTTACAGTAAACACCTCTCCTCTTTCCTGTATTAGTTTTCTATCACTGCCATAAAATGTCCCCATAAGCTTTCTGGCTTAAAACAACACAAACATATTGCCCTACAGTTCTGGAAGTCACAAGTGCAAAATGGGTCTCACTGGGCTAAAATCAAGGTGTCAGCAGGGCTGCCTTCCCTTCTGGAAGCTCTGGGGGAGAATCCATTTCCATACCGTTTCCAACTCCTAGAGGCCGCCCACATGGTCCCCTTTCTCCACATTCAAAGACAGCAAGGTTGGGCCAACTCCATCTCACGTTGCCTTTTCTCTGGTTCTCCCACCCTGCCTTCCTCTTTTGCTCTTAAGCCCCCTTGTGATTATATTGAGCTGACCAAGATATTCCAAATTAATCTCTGTATTTGTAGGTCAGTGAATTAATTCCATCTGCTTCTTTAATTCCCCTGTGCCATGTAAGGTAGCATACTCACAGATTCCAGGAATTGGGAGGTGGGGCTGAGGCTGTTATCTGTCCCTGCACTGCCCTAACACCCGAGTTTCAGCTCTCCCTTTAGCCTACAGCTCTGCATTTCCCTCCTTTCCCCAAGAGGTCTCCTCAGCAAAACTCATAGAATGTTAGAGCCACGTGTTTAGATGTCATGAGTCTCATGTACAAAGATCTTTTATTGCAGCATTTTTTATAACAATGAAAAGTTGGAAAAACCTAAATGCCCATCAATAATGAAATAGTAGTATTGTAGGAATAATATCATGAATTATGGAACCACCATATCGTGGGATATTATGCAGCCACAAAGAACACACTTATGAGGAGTTTTTAATTATTTGGGGGAAATGCTTATGAAGTAATACTAAGTAAAACAACATAAATATATGTGTAATATCCCAACTTTATGCAAGACTTTTTTAAATACTGAAAGTTTTAGCTGATGGTAGACATGAAAGGCAATGATCCTAGGATGGAGGGAATCCAGAGGGACCAGCCCTGTAGAGTGCATCAAGAGCAGCATCTGTTGTTTGTTTGCCCAGATTCAATTATAAGAGGCTTTTCTAGCCACAGTACTTTCAGAAAACAAATTCTCTTAAACTGTCACCATGCGTTTTCCATGTGAATTTCAACAGGCACTTCCCCTGCTTCCCACTCTCATGCCCATTCACCCCTCTCTGCCCTGGCCCCTGGTCTCTGCAGGAGCTGAAGGGGGACTGGATTTTGGGATTGTCAGGGTCACAGAGGAGGCGAAGCAGCCCCTGCAATTGAAGAACCGTGGGAAATATGAGATCGCGTTCAGGTAACTGGAATCCCATCAGATGTAAGGCCATCAAGTCCGCCGTGGGGAGGAATGTGGGGAAATATGAGATCGTGTTCAGGTAACCTGAATCCGATAGGGTTTGCGGCCGTCAAGTCCACCGTGGGGAATAGCGTGTCTGGGAAACTTATCAGTCAGTCAAGGAAATCATAAGAACCGTCTCTGCTTTTTTGCCTCCCTTGGCTTCAAAAGAATGGAATTCCACCTGCTAAGGGAGCAGAGATTCTCACACTGCTCTCAACTCTGCAGCTTAACAGGGGCCTTTAAGTGGCCCGGATGTACCTGGCCAGTTGGAACCATAGGTGTCTGGGAATGGAGGAAGAGACTTAGGGGAAGAGGCCGGGAGGGGGAGATTCTAGGGGTGAGAAGAGGTCCCAGGGTGGAGGGAGAGACTGGAGATGGGCGACCTGGCCTCAAGCTGTCCTGCCTTCTGCCAGCTCTTATCTGCTTTACAAGGAGACCTTCTTCAGCAGATTTCATGTGAAGAAAGGGCTTTCCTTTTTCATTACATTCTAAGAATCATGATATTGTACAATCCAAATAGTAGCTTGGTAGAATAGAGCTCTGGCTTGTGCTCATCCCCTGAGATAAAAAATGAAACACAGAGGCTGGGTGTGATGGCTCATGCCTGTAATCCCAGCACTGTAGGAGGTGAAGGCAGGCAGATTGCTTGAGCCCAGGAGTTGGAGACCAGCCTGAGCAAAGTGGCAAGACCCCCCTGCCTCTACAAAATACAAAAAAAGTTAGCTAGGCGTGGTGGTCATATCACTTGTAGTCCCATCTACTTGGGAGACTGGAATGGAAGGATCGCTTGAGCCCAGAGAGGTCAAGGCTGCAGTGAGCCGTGATCGTGCCACTGCACTCCAGCCTCAGCAACAGAGCGAGACCCTGTCTCAAAAAAAAAAAAAGAAAAGAAAAGAAAAGAAAAAGTAACACAAAATCAGGGAGGCTCCTCAGCAAGGAAAGGGTGGCACACGGGAGGAGGGAGGGAAACACCCCTCAGACAGGGCCACACAGCCCTTCATGGCAGTGCCCACACTTTTCATTCCATGGAAAGTTCTCCTTCCCCAAGAATTCACAGATGACAAAGAGACTTTTCCCCTGTCAGTTTGGAATTAGTGCTAAGTGGAATCTTGCCTGTTGGTGAGTTTTCTTTTAGATTAAGACAGGGGCATTAGCTGTGCTCTTTGAGGTTGCATGGAATGGAGTCACTCTCAGGTTGGAACAGGTGATAGAGGGTTTGTTGAAAGAATGCGCAGGGAAGCAAGGAAGCACAGGGGTGCAGGTAATTGGGCAGCCAGGGTCTCCTGGAGCATGGCGGTGACATTCAGAGCCCCACAGCAACTCCGGGCATCCCACCTCTGCCTAGGTGGGATACATCTTGAGCCTACGGCAGTCCCTCTGCCGGTCTCATGAGCCAGCTTCTTCCTGTGGTTCTTGCCTCACCTCCAGTAGGCCATGGGCTTCCCTCCCCAGTACCTCTGTTACAGGACCCCTGCCCCCTCCCTGCTGTCTCTCTCCCCAGGTTCTCTGGTTTCTGTGTCACTGTTCGCTCTGCATGTGCTGAAAGCCAGACAGACACAAACAGAGAAAGAGAGAATTAATTTAGATGGTCCTTTTTCAATATCCAATGTCCCTGTTGGACAGAGATCTCCTGCAATGGCCTCTCTTGACCATGGGATAGAGTATGGCTGTCTTTGCCGTAAGCATCAATTCCTAGCCTGGTCAATCCTGGCTAAGGAGAGGCGATCACGATGTACAAAGCACAGTGGACTCCGCCGGACGTAGTGGCTAAACAGGGCTGGAAACACAGCAGGCACTCAACCATCTAGAGTCTCCTCTCTGGGATCTTGAGTTCCCGGGATAATGACCTAGGCTGACTTCTTATTCTTGTCTTTCAGCTTTTCCGTGGACTCTGTAGGGATTTCAACACCTAATATAAATTCCATGATCTCAGTCCAACCCAAAAAGGGTTCACTGACCCCAACAGAAAAACCCACAAATGTCCAAGTTTTCTTCCATGCAAAAAAGGAAGTGAAGATTGAGCACCAGCCTGTTCTGCGCTGTCAGGTAAGAGAGCTCCAAAGGGAGGGGCTGCCTCAATGGCAGGATCGTACGACTCCTGTTGCAAAGAAGGATACATGACCTAATCCATGCTCCAGGGAGAAAAGGGGAGGGCTGGCCTGGGTGGCAACCAGATAGGATACACCGGGGTTCTGTCCTAACTATCAGGCAAAGTCATCAGAATTAGATCCAGTGAGGAAATGTGCCCCCAGGTCTTTGGGGAGCATCAGAGGCAGGGAAGCTGAGTCCCATCATCAAGTGCAAAGGATGAGCAGGGAACTGAAAACATGAGGAAAAGTTGGCTAAGTTGACCCTTGGCTGGTACACAGTAAGCTCTGTTTTAGTGTTCGCAATAATACGAAGACAGTGAAATAAAGAACATGGCTTCATGTCAATGATGAAAATAGGGAATGGGGTAGATAATCATGGGAATTCTGTAGCTACAGCAGTGGCTGACTTGCTCATTCTTCTTCCCGTTTTAGATTATTGAGCCCAATATTTCAGAAGGAGGTGAGATCATTGCCAGCATCCCAATTAAGTTTTCCGCGAATGCAGTATATTCCAAATACAACATCACCCCCTCCTCTGTCATCAACTTTGGAGCTTTGATCTGTGGCACTCGTAAAAGCACCACCTTCACCATAGAAAATCAAGGTGTTACTGACTTCAAGTTCGCCCTTTATAAGCTGACAGGGGAGAGCCCCATTCATCAAAAGAAAGCGTAAGACAAATATTTACTTAACTCATTCCATTCCCTCTTTAATTTATGCTTTATATTTTATAAAGAGCTTTCGTATATCTTACTTAAATTCACCCAATCCCGTTTTGTGGGTGAGATCAGTAAGATTTAGAAATGGCTCATTTAGATTATGCACAAAAGCTGGGCGCAGTGGCTCACACCTGTAATCGCAGCGCTTTGGGAGGCCAAGGCGGGCAGATCACCTGAGATCAGGAGGTCGAGACCAGCCTGGCCAATGTGGTGAAACCCCATCTCTACTAACAATACAAAAATTAGCCAAGTGTGGTGGCACATGCCTGTAATCCCAGCTACTCGGGAGGCTGAGGCAGGAGAATCGCTTGAACCTGAGAGGCGGAGGTTGCAGTGAGCCGAGATCGCGCCACTGCACTCCAGTCTGGGCGACAGAACGAGACTCTGTCTCAAAAAAATAAAAAATAAAAAAATTTTTTTTTAAATACTATACACGAAATCACCAGTAGATCTTGGTGTGAGCCCACATCTTCTGACTCCAGGTTTCATAGATTTCCTGTAGAATATATCATAAATTTTAGTTGAACAAACACAGTCTTCTGCCTGGAATTTTGTCTGTTGTCCTGGTGCTCCTGGCGTGCTGAAGGACTTGTTAGATCATTGTCCTATGTGTCATTCTGTACAACGCCAAGAAATTATTATCATAGGAAGCTAAATCAAAAGAAATCGTAGCAGTGCTTCATGGTGGGGCTGCTCTGGAAGCGTGGAAGAGAGGAAGTGCGGTGATGCCTTCAGCCTACCAGGGACTATTATTGTTATTGCCTGTTACTATTATTGCCTTCTCCCCATGAAGACACCGTCACAAAGCTACCTTAATAGTTGTTCCAACAGCAAAACTCCATGTTCTTCAAAAGGAGGCTGTCAATCAATTCACCCAAAACAATTTGTCTTTTGAGTGCTTTTGGCTTCTACTGGGCTGCCATACTCTTTTTCGGGCAAATTAAGGATGGTTTTTACCGATTCCTGAGGCACTTCTGATTTAATTTTGACTTTCTAGTTAATTCTTTTAAATAAGATGTATGGCTTTACATTGTAGTTGTTTTATATTTCTGTAGCTATTCTTTTCTGTTTTGACAAAATTTGAACATTTTTTAAAATGTAGAGTTGAATTGTGTAAAGTCTCTTTCTTCCTAGTTTAATTTCAACTGAATTTTTTTACAATTTATAACAATGTAATGTCTATAATGATTATGACTTAATTCTGTTTTGCTTTACATTGGTTTTTATTTATTTGTTATTTTAGCATGCACAAGTTCATACAAAACACACGAAAGGGGGTTGAACTTCACGTGTTCTGGTCATTAAGCAAGTGAATGCTTGAATATATAAAATTCTCAAAAGTTTAAGATGCATTTCAGATACATTTGAATATTTTAGGTGAACTGGTCTCTAGGCAAACTAATTATTGGATAAACTAGTTTCAAGGCAAGTGAACAACTACCAAGACCTATATTTGAACTACTGCTTATACTAAACCTTAAAAACATCACAACTATAAATGTGAAGATACAGAAAAGAGCTTAATTTATTTGCCATTTCATTTTTTAAAATCAGATTAAGTAAAACATTTGACATCCACAAGTAATTTTCTGCACACTGCTTTCCAGTGAACTCAAGTAGGCATTTAAAACTTACTATCTTCTTGCAGTAATTTTCGGTGTCCCTATAAATCATATTTAATAAGTATAATTACCGCCTAGTTTCCTTACAGTTGCTAAATGAGTTTGGTCAGTGATTAACTAGCTAACTATGCCACTCCAGTGTCCTCTTGGGCAAAGAAGGGCCCCTTCCCCCATTCCTGGGAGAAGGGCCCTTGCAAGAAAACAGACAGGTGGTGTCTAATGTTACCCCCGACCCCACAATCTAAGGGTATACTCTTGCTTCTTTAATCAGAGCCAGCCACGTCAGACATGCAAGATCCCGAGAAAGTGAGAGCTTCTACAAAACTGGCTCTTCCAGAGCAGCCAAGTTCTCTGACACGATTCAGAAAGAAGTAACCACCACAGGCCAGGTGCGTGTCCTTTTCCCTGTTCTTACAGATACCCAGTAAGGCCAACTCCCAATTAGCTCTTGACACCAAATACCTCCCTAGGATAACAGGATTTGAATCCATCATGGCAGGAATATGAAATAATTATACTGAAATGTCACTTTCATTTTAAGCTAAGATGTTATGACCTTTAATTTGGATATCCTCTTTTGCTTTAAAACCTTCATTGGCTTGCCACTGCCTTAAAATTGTTTCTACTCTTCATATGTATTTTAATCAAGAATAATTTGCTTATAAGAAAGAGAAGCCCATTCAAACAGGCTTAAATAAAAGGAGATTCAAGGATTTCTGCTTCTGGTAAGATCAACTAGATGTACTTTTCCCTATTCTTCCCAACTAAGTACAACTAAAAACCCTGGGCATCATGTATAAAACAGACTTCAGACTCTGAAAGGTAGAGAGAAGAAACCAGACCAGCCCCAGGGACTTTGGGACCCAAGGAAGATCAAGGTGGTGAGTTCCCAAGTTTTCTTTTTGCCTCATATCTCCCAGACTGGGTGCTGAAGCAGCCAGCAACCCTAAAACATCAACAGACACAGACAAAAAGAAAGCCCCAACAGAAGCCTACTCCTACTTTCTTTCTGCCTTTCTAGGTTGCCCCTAGAAAGACAGAAAACTTCTAGACAGTAACCAAAAGACAACAGTTAACCTAGAAAGACAGAAAACTTCTATATAATAACTGTTCTACCACAGCCAAACACCAAAGAAAAATATTTGGTCCCACGCCACCTCTGCTAGCAAAGGCCAAATAGAGAGTCTAGACTCCACCCTCTCCAAGCTGTCATGAGGTGCCCCACCCCCTTGCCAGGGTGGCGTCGGAGAAGGTCGAATACCAAGCCGAGATTTTCATTCCCATGGGTGGTAACAAGTGTCCCCCACCACCTCCTGTGCTGTTTGTGGAGATACCACATGGGGAACCATGACGTCCACCCCAACCTAGTGATAATGAGACATTCCCCCATCCCCTGCTGGAATGGTGTCAGAGGACCCCTCCATCTCCCATGGCATCAACAGAACAGTAACAGGCACTCACCAATCCCCACCAGGCACGTATCAGTTGAGGACTAGTGGAGAGCTGGGACACCCACCCCTGCCCAGCAGGAATGATGGGTCTGAGTGGGGAATCTGGACTACTGCCCCCATCTGGCAGTAGCAAGGCAGTATACTACCTTCCCCTGCCAGGGCAGTGCCAAAAGAAAGCCAGCCCAAACAGAAGATTTAAATCAGATCCCAAGTCTCATAGCATAACACCCAAAATGTCCAGGTTTCAGTTGAAAATCACTCATCATACCAAGAACCAGGAAGAACTGAAACTGAAGGAAAATAGATAAATGCTAGATGACAACACTGAGATGAGAGAGGTGTTAGAATTATCTGAAAATGTTTCAATGAGCAATTATAAGCATGCTTGGAAAATTTTTAAAATAGTATGTCTCAGCAAAGACAGAAGATGTAGAGAAGAAGCAAATGGAGATTCTGGAATTGAAGATAAATAAACAAATTTAGAACTCAATGGATGGGCTCAACAACACAGAGGGAACAGAGGAAAAGAATCAGTGAACTTGGGCCAGGCGCCGTGGCTCGTGCCTGTAATCCCAGCACTTTGGGAGGCCGAGGCAAGCGGATCACGAGGTCAGGGGATCGAGACCATCCTGGATAACACAGTGAAACCCTGTCTCTACTAAAAATACAAAAAAATAGCCAGGCATGGTGGCAGGTGCCTGTAGTCCCAGCTACTCGAGAGGCTGAGGCAGGAGAATGGCATGAACCCGGGAGGCAGAGTTTGCAGTGAGCTGAGATCGCACCACTGCACTCCAGCTGGGGCAACAGAGTGAGACTCCACCTCAAAAAAAAAAAGAAAAGAAAAGAATCAGTGAACTTGAAGACAGACAATAGGGATTCCTGTGTTTGTTTCTTATTGTTCTCACAACAAATTACCTCAAATTTAGAAGCTTAAAGTATTACACATTTTTTATCTTATAGTTCTGTAGGTCAGAAGTGCTAAAATCAAGGTGTTGGAAGGGCTGTATTCTTTTCTGGAGACACCAGGAAAGAATCCTTTTCATTGTTTTTTTAGCTTCTGGAGGCAGCCCACATTCCTTGGCTTGTAGTCCCCTTCTATCATCCTCAAAGCCAGCAACAGAGGATCGAATCCTTCTCACATCACATTACTCCAACCTCCTCCATAGTCATATCTCCTTCTAACTCTCTTCCATTTCTAAGGACCCTTGTGATTACATTGGGCCCATTATAATCCAGAATAATCTCCTCATCTCAAGGTTCTTAATGTAATCATGTCAACCAAGTCCTTTTGCTGTATAAGGTAACATATTCACAGGTTCCAGAGATTAGGATGTGGACATCTTTCGGAGGCCATTATTCTGCCCAGTCTAAATAAAAGAGAGAAAGTAGACTCTGTTTTGAGTCCCTTGAAAGTCTATTTAAGTCTAATGAGAAAAAATGAATTGATGCTCAGGGATCTGTGGAACCATAACAAAAGATCTAAAGATCTAATGCGCTTGTCATTGGAGTTCCAGAAAGAGTTACAAAAGAGGGTGGGACTGAAAATATACTCAAAGGAATAATGACAGAAAACTTTTCAAATTTGGCAAAAGATGTAAACCTACAGACTCAAGAATCTGAGCAAACCCAAATAGGAGAAACCAAAAGAAATCCTTACCAACACACATCATAGTCAAACTTCTGAAAATTAAAGAAAAGAAAAAAAAATCTTGAACACATCAAGAGAGAAATGAACCTTGAATGACAGCAGATTTCTTACAAAAACCATAGAGACCCAAAAGAAAGTGGCACAATATTTTCAAGTGTAGAGAACCAATAACTGTGGACCCAGAATCTTATATCCAGCAAAAATATTTCTCAGGGATAAATGGAAAATCGACTTTCTCAAATGAAACAAAGCTAAAAGAATTTGTCACCAGTAGACTTACCCTATAAGAATGGCTAAAGGAAGTTCTCAAAACAAAAAGTAAATAACAGAAGATAAAATCATGGGACATCAACAAGGAAGAAAAAAACATGGTAAGCAATAATGTAGGTAAATTCAGTAGACCTTACTTCTCTTCCTGGGTTTTCTAAATTATGTTTGTCAATGGAAGCAAAACTATATAATACTGTCTGATATGGTTTTAAATGGATGTAGAGGAAATATTTTAGACAGAGCGGGGAAAGAATCAGTGAACTTGAAGACAGACAATAGGAATTCTTTATAAAAAGCAGGTGAATGAGCAGTTGTTAAGCAAGATGGTAAATACTATAATTGAGGTGCGTGTACTATAACTGAGGTGCATGTACATGGATAGACTCTAGAAAAATTGAAGAACGAAGTCTTGCTGTTCCGGGTAGCTGTGAAGAGTCATTGAAGGCTTCACAGAGGAGGAGGTGCTTGATTTGTGTATCAGAATCACGTTTGGCTGCAGATAGCAGAAAATCCAACATTAGTGGTTTAAACAAATATGGCATATTTAAATGGGGTAGGCAATTGCTGATGTTGGTTTAATAGTTTATTGTTGCTTGTGATTCTGTTGGCCTTTCCCTCATGGTTGCAAGGTGGCCTCTGCAACTCCAGCCACCACCTCTGCATTGAAGGCAATGAGAGAAGCAGGTATTCTGCACTCTATGAACAGCAATAATTATTGATTGAAGTGAACTGGGTTTTCTACATGTTGGTTTTTATGTCTTTTCAAGTGGTTTCCACTTGTCAAGCAAAGGCTTCTATTTCATTAACAAACATAATTTTCTACATATGTTTCTATAACTCTCATCTCTTCTACAGATTTTTTTTTTCCTTCTTTGCCTACCATATCTTCTCAGCCTTCAGTGAAACAGCCTCTCCAGCACTCTGCCTTTCAGTTGCAATGAACTTATCCTCTCCTCTACATTGGCAACTTATTTTAATGGTCAGAGCCTGGATCTTACATCACAAGAAACTGAGGTGCTTCTGAATCCTTGATTTCCAAGACCTCTTTCTCTGACTGCTTCCATCTCTTCTAGCTTTCTGCTGCCTCAGTTCCGCTCATTTCAGCTGTTCTTTGCCCTCACTATGACCTTGCTCCTTTGAGACAACATCATGCCATTTTCTACTATTCTCCAACCTTCTCTTCTGTCAGGATGGTTTATCTGGGAATCACCAGTGCCCAGGACATCTCCTAGCACATAGTAGGTATTCTGTAAATAGTGACCAAGTCAGTTAATAGCAGCTTCCGTGTATGTCTGTGCAGTCACACTGCACAATGCTAGGGGCTGCATCCACACAGATGCCTGTGTGAAGAGTGCCACTAGACTCAGCACTGATTTCTGCTGTGGTTCCTAGATCTGGCAGGATGTCCTTCACAAACCCCAGCTGCCAGAGGTTTTGCACAAATCCAACTGCCAGGGTATGAGTCCAGTGCAGCAGAACACTCACACAAGTCACGCAAAGCAAGTTATCACTCACGGATAGGTAGCAAGAACCAACAGAAGACTCATATTCATGGACAGCTGGTCCCCCAAGGCTCAAGAAAGCTGCCTCGGATAGATGAAGTCCTGTCAATGCATGCCCCACTTCACACTGCAGCTGAAGCACACCAAAAGCATTCTGCCCTGGATTTTGTGCTCCAGAGGAAATGTGGATCTCTGAGCTGAAGCACTGCAGGACATTCTGTTCTAGGAAAGATGAGAACAGAGCCTGGGCTGTTCCAGACCCTTCCCTTATCTCAGGCCACTGCATTGTCAGCACATTCTACGGTCATCCGGAAAACTACAAGCAGGAGAGAGAAGAGCCGGGACATCTAAGGATTGCACCAACATCCTGTTTTGTTTTGTTTTGTTTTGTTTTGTTTTGTTTTGTTTTGTTTTGTTTTGTTTTAGCACTAATTCCATACCAGATGCTATGCTACATGCTTCACACCTGTTCTTTCATTTAAACCTCCAGCAATCTCTGGGGTCGGGGCTTTAGCCCCATTTTATAGATAAATAAACTGAGACTCAGAGAAGTCATTTGTTTAAGGTCAAACAGTCAATATTTAGCAGGGCTGGGATTCAAACCCAGGCGTGTGTCACTCAAAGGCCCATAACCTCACCCACTACGCCATTCTGCACCCCTCTGCTTCAAGATGCCCAGCTGAATAAGTGCTATATGATGTGGAGTCTATCTGTTCCTTTAAACCCTTAGTTCAAACATGATTGGTCTAAATGAATTTGCATAGAAGGAAGCACTGAGAGAGCAACCTATCACTGAAGACCCCCTTCCCATCCCTGGCCCTCTGTCCCTCCAGGAGGAGAGGAAAGAGGGCCCAGAGAGTGCCTGTGAGAAGAAGCCCCACGTGTCCCTCCCCCTCTCCACACCATCTAACAGCCCCCATAGTCTGGCTGTCACTCACTCTGCCTCCAAGCCTCCTATCCCTCCCACCCTTGTCCTGCAGGCCCGCTTCGCCCATGGCATGTTCACCGTGTACCCTGGGTTTGGCTCCATTCCTTCCGGAGGACAGCAGGTCATCAACGTTGACTGTGTGGCTGACGCCATGGGAAAGTGTGAGGAGTTTATAGCCATCGATATCTCCGGCCGAGACCCTGCAGTCCACCCTGCCGGCATTCTTTACACTTTGCTAGCTGAAGCCTGTCTACCAGGTACTGACCACTCACATTGGACAGCACCACTTAAAAGGTGTTCATCTGAGACCTGGTGCAGTGGCTCACGCTTGTGATCCCAGCACTTTGGGAGGCCAAGGCGGGCAGATCACCTAAGGTCAGGAGTTTGAGACCAGCCTGGCCAACATGGCAAAACCCCGTCTCTACTAAAAATACAAAAAATTAGCTGGGTGTGGTGGCACATGCCTGTAATCCCAGCTACTCAGGAGGCATTTGAACCCAGGAGGTGGAGTTTGCAGTGAGCCGAGATCACGCCACTGTACTCCACAACAGAGTGAGAGTCTGTCTCAAAAAAACAAATACATAAATAAAAGACCTTCATCTGTAACACTTCTACCTTCTTTCTTGCAAGTTTTTCCAAAGATTTCTGGCAGACATGGCTGGGATGCTTCCTTCAGGGTCCTAGAACTTGCTCTAGTGTCTTCAGTTGTATTTTTCCAGGGCATATACCTAAGGGAGGAGGTGCAGCTTCACACTCCCAGGAGGCTGGTCCTGGATTCCCAGATGAATAGTGTTATCTGAGAATCATGATGGGATGGGCTGTGGCACAGGACCCAGGAGCACTGAGTCCCGCTCATGGCCAGGCCACTCCCGGTGGGCAACATGTCCACAGAGAACAATGTTCAGTTACTGAGCATGCAAAATCTGTAACCCAGCAGGAGGGCAGATGAGGTGCAAAGAGAATGCCTCATGCTTTGACGATAGGATCCCTGGAGCCTTGAAGCATAGTGGGCCAGTTGCCTCCTTCCCTCCATAGCACACCCCAGATCTTGGATCTTACCATTGGGAGAAAAATGCTCACTGGAGTGTGGCAACCAGCAAGGACTGTACAAAAGAGGAAGACAAGACAGAATGTTTCCCATCCCTCACACCCCCTTGCATGACTTCGCCTATGTGTCCTCCACAATTCTCCTTTGTGAGAATCCAGAGTTCCAAATTAGGAATCACAGAGTGGGAATCCAGCAATCAGGCAGCATCTCATGGTCTCCCCTTCACTCCCCAGCCTTCGTGACCGAAAACAATGCCTTGATATTTGAAGAGCACCAGATATGTACCAGTGCCAACCTGCACCACATCCTGCAGACCATAGAGAGCGGGGGGCTGTTCGTCGAGGATGAGAACAAGTTCATCTTCTGCAATGTCCTGGTGGGCCGCCAAGCCAAGGCTCGTTTCAAGATCAGCAACGTGGGAAAGATCACCTGTGATGTCAACATTGTAGTCAGGCCTATCTCCAATAAGGTAAGACGCTCCCAATGGCCCCTGGCCCAGCGTGGTTCACATAAAGCTGGAAAAAGGGCTCTCAGCATCCTCTGCTCTGGAGCCTGTATGCGTGAGTGGAAATTATCTGGCCCTGCTGGAAGTTATGTGAAGTAACCGGGGGCTTTCCCCTAGGCCAGTGGTGATACATTTGTCCCAGTGGGTGTCTCCTCCGGGTACCTTTGTGATAAGTACGCATGGACGAGCAAACCGCATTCCTCCATTGAATGCTCACTATGTGCCTAAAATAGACAAAGCATGGTGGGGAGAGGCTAAGGTGAGTGCCAGCTCCAGACAGGCCTACCTCCAGCTGCATATTCTGCTGGTAAGGGAGATTTGGGGGCATCAGATTCTGAGGATAAGGTGAAATGATGAGCATGTTTTAGCCCTTCCCATGTGACAAGCACTGTGCTAAGTGATTTATATTTACTGCCTCCTTTTGCCCTCACAACAACTCTTCCGACTTTGTATTATTATCCCGATTCTACAGTTAGGGAAACTGAGGCTTAAAAAGCTAAATCCTTCCCCTAGGTCCCAGAGCCTGAGAATATAGGGCTGGGCTTAAAGCCAAGCTTCATCCACATACAAGATGAAATAATTGCCCATCTCAGGGGGCTGCCAGGCTCGAAACTGCCTTTTCTCTCTGAGTCAGATCATACTTTTTTTCACAGCAGAACAGAAAATTCAGGATACCAAGAGAGGTCTTAATCAGTGGGTTTCTGTCACCCTTAATTTCCAATCCAATGTGTGGCAAATACTCTAGTTTTATGAAGGCTGCTTCAGTTCTCTGCCTGAAAGTAGAATCTGGGCCCAGGAGGTCCTCAGGCCCCAGAGCTGGCATTGTTCACAGTTGAGGGTGGTGGGGAGGTCACCAAGGGTGTTGGTATCAGCCTAGAGCTACATATGGAGTGTGCATTCCTGGGGAATGTCAATGCAGAGAGGTATGGTTGGGGAGACTACATAATCCGTTTTATGACTTCCTTCAGGCCCTGGTGACTCCCAGTCATTATTCTCTGAGTTTTTTTTTTTTTTTTGAGACGGAGTCTTGCTCTGTCGCCCAGGCTGGAGTGCAGTGGCGCAATCTCAGCTCACTGCAAGCTCTGCCTCCCAGGTTCACGCCATTCTCCTGCCTCAGCCTCCCAAGTAGCTGGGACTACAGGCACCCACCACCATGCCCGGCTAATTTTTTGTATTTTTAGTAGAGACGGGGTTTCACCGTGTTAGCCAGGATGGTCACGATCTCCTGACCTCGTGATCCACCCGCCTCGGCCTCCCAAAGTGCTGGGATTACGGGCATGAGCCACCGCACCCGGCCTATTCTCTAATCTTATTTGGGATACTAAGGGGCAGCTTTCTTCCTCTTCTGTACTAAAAACATAAAAAGTGAGGAAGACTGATTTTTTTTTTTTTTTTTTTTGAGACAGTCTCACTCTCGTTGCCCAGGCTGGAGTGCAATGGCGCCATCATGGCTCACTGCAGCCTTGACTTCCTGGGCTCAAGTGATCCTCCCACCTCAGCCTCCTGAGTAGCTGGGACTACAGGCACGCACCACCATGCTTGGCTAGTTTTTGTATTTTTTGTAGAGACAGGGTTTCACCATGTTGACCAGGTTGGTCTCGAACTCCTGGGCTCAAGCGATCCTCCCGCCTCAGCCTCCCAAAGTGCTAGGATTACAAGAGTGAGCCACCACACCCAGCCACAAGTCTTATTTCTAAAGAGAGACTTTATAAGAGGATTTGCAGATATCACATGTTCTCCTCCACCCTAGTTTGCAGACTTGAAGGCTATCCTTTGGAAAAAGCAAAGAGAAACCTGAGTGCCCTCAGTTTAAGAACAAGAGGGAATAGTCAGTCTTGAATCCCACCTACTTCCCATGAGAATGAAAAATCCTTTTAAGGCCATGCCAGGGCTCCCTACAGTCCCAAAACACTGCCACAAGTTGGGAACAGATAAAGTGCTGTGGGAGGTTGTTCTAGCCAAGGCTCTTGGAGTTACAAGGAGCAGAAACCCTCTCAGATTAACCCAGACAAAGCAAGGCTTACTGCAGTGAATCAGACACCTCAGGCACAGGTCAGAACACATCACGTGGCCGGGACTCCTTGGGACTGGCACCATCACCTGAAGTCCGCCCTTTAGAAGACCAGCGGATGCTCTGTCCATCTCTCAAGAGCCACATGTCTCTCTCACAGGGTTTCCACTGCTCCATTCTCTCATCCAGCTTTCTCATCTTGCATGTGATTCAGCCAGCTCCCAGCTCAGCTCCACATTTTAACAACCAGCACCGGCCCGGCACGGCGGCTTACACCTGTAATCCCAGCACTATGGGAGGCCGAGGCAGGCAGATTACTTGAGCCCAGGAGTTTGAGACCAGCCTGGGAAACATGATGAAACCCCATATGTACAAAAAAAAAAAAAATTAGCTGGGCATAGTGGCACACTCCTGTAGTCCCAGCTACTCGGGAGGCTGAGGTGGGAGGATTGCCTGGGTCCAGGAGGTCGAGGCTGCAGTGAACCATGATCATGCCACTGCACTCCAACATGAGTGACAGAGCAAGATCCTGTCACAGAAAGAATTTAAAAACCAACCAACACCAATCTTTGGGCATCCCAATTTAGTTGACAGGGGTGGGGTAGCAGGGAGAATATCTGGATTCCTGGCTTAGTTCATCAATTTGAGTCAAAAATCATAGGTCTAGCCAAATCTAGCCAGGCATCATTCAGGGGTGGGTCCCAGGCTGTTCCCTCCAGAGCCCCTCACCCTGCAGGCAGTGGAGCATGTCCACCACAGCACTTAGATGAGAGGTGGGGGACTCCTGAAAATAAGGAGTAAGCCTGGTGAGAATACAAAGGCACTGACACACTCTGGTCTCTGCCCCCATCACCAGCCCTTTGCCCGCATCGTCGACATTTTTGAAGTGGAACCCAGCAAGATGTGCATTGCCAGTCATTCCCATGCCTTTGCCACGGTGTCCTTCACCCCGCAGATCATGCAGAACTACCAGTGCATCTTTGAGGCTACCTTGGATGGCTTGCCCAGGTACCAACTCCCAGCTCCCAGCTCCCTCTCCTGCAGCAGGACTGCAGGCCACACTCTGTAGGGAGTGTCATTCCCACCATGCCAGGCTGACAGGCTACAATCTTCCTGTCCCCTACAGCACCCTGGCCAAGAGCCGAGGCCTCGTGTTTGACATCGCTGGTGAGGGGAACCTCCCTCGAGTGACGGTTGTGCGGC
This sequence comes from Homo sapiens, assembly GCF_000001405.40. Lineage (NCBI taxonomy): Eukaryota > Metazoa > Chordata > Mammalia > Primates > Hominidae > Homo > Homo sapiens. Next base: position 70,879,409 of record NC_000016.10, on the reverse strand, counting down.
CAGTTCTTCATAACCAATATGGAAACCCCTTGCTCCTCTTTAAGAGGCTTCTCCTTGGTCATTCAGAGAAGCTGCCTCTCATCCTCAAGAACAATGGTGTCCTCCCTGCCCAGGTAATACTCGAGGGTGAAGCATGAGGCTGAAAGGGAGAAGAATCCAGAAGTTACACTTCTGCCACTGGGGCCTCTGCCATGCCTAATGTATGAGGACTTCTCTGTTGATCCACATACATTAACCTATGTGTCAGGGACATGCAGAGGGGAATCTGGCATGACATTTGTCCTCAAGGAAAGTAAGAAACCAGATTCCACAATATATCATTAACTACTGTCCAAGGTAGTGTGCAGTGATGTGCACCAAGCTGAGTGGGTAGGATTATGGGTGTTCTTAATATCTTCTTTGTTTTTTTAATTGTTTTCTGTAATGAACATTGCATTTGCAATGAGGATAAGATGATAAAAGAAACTTCAGGAGGGGTGAAAAATACAGCATTCAAATGTATTTTGATTCAATGATTAAATTATGGTTTTATTTTACAAAATGTGATGTATTGTGCTCTACAAGGGACTGTAGGACTTTTGAAAAAGATCTATTCCCATCTAGACAATGAAGGGAAAATTCACTGTAAATGACGTTTGAACAGGGCTCATTGTAGGAGTTGGGTTTCAGCAATGCCTTCAGTGGGCATTTGGCAGTCCATGCAAACCAGAAATAGAGAGAAAGCTTCAAAGGTGCAGAAGCCAAAAAACAAAACAAAACAAAACGTGCACACTACTACAGGAGATAGTAAGCACCCAGCTTCATGAGAGCATAGGTATAGGTAGAAGAGCAAGGAAGATAAAAATGAAAGGATACAGTAATGGAGCAACTTGTGGAAGGCTTGGGATTCTCTAAATATTTTAAACCCTACAAGACATTGCCACTATTGTTCTTGCTGCTGTTGTTGTTATTGTTTATACATTTATGGCCCATTTAGGTTTACTCATTTATTAATCATTTTTATTGCTCTTTATTCCTGGGTCTCCAATTTTCCATCTGTATTTGTCAGTTCTCATGCTACCAATAAAGACATACCTGAGACTGGGTAATTTATAAAGAAAAAATAGGACTCACAGTTCCACATGGCTGGGGAGGCCTCACTATCACAGTGGAAGGCAAAGGAGGAGAAAGACATGTCTTACGTGGTGGCAGGCAAGAGAGCTTGTGCAGGGGAACTCCCATTTATAAAACCATCAGATCTTGTGAGACTTATTCACTATCAGGAGAACAGCCTGGGAAAGACCCGCCCCCATGATTCATTTACCTCCCACCAGGTCCCTCCCGCAACACGTGGGAGTTATGGGAGCTACAATTCAAGATGAGACTTGGATGGGGACACAGCCAAACCATATCACCATCTTGGACCCTTTTCCTACCAACTGAAGAATACTCTTCAGTATTTCCTTAATGGGGGTCTGCTGGTGGTGAAGTCTCTATTTCTCCTTCATTTTAAACATCGTTTTTACTGGCTATAGAGTTCTGGTTTGGCAGTTGTTTTCTTTCAGCAAATGGGAGATATTATTCCACTGTATTCCGGTTTCCGTTGTTAACTGCTGAGTTGTCAGCTATAAGCCTAAAATGTTTTAAGAGAGGGGTCCCCAACCCCCAGGCCACAGACTCATGAGCAAAAGCTCATCTGTATTTACAGCCACACCCCATCACTCACATTACCACCTGAGCTCCCTTCCTCTCAGATCAGCAGCGGCATTAGATTCTCATAGGAGTGCAAACCCTATTTTGAACTGCACGTGTGAGGGATCTAGGCTGCGTGCTCCTTATAAGAATCTAATGCCTGATTATCTGAAGTGGAACAGTTTCAACCCAAAACCATTCCCCATTGCCTGGTCCATGGAAAAATTGTATTCCATGAAACCAGTTCCTGGTGCCAAAAAGGTTGGGGACTGCTACTTTAAGGCATTCTTTTTTTCTGACTGCCTTTTACCTTTTCACTTTGTTTTCTACAGTTTTACTATGATATGTCCAGGTGTGGAGTTCTTTTAATTTATCCTTGTTAGAATTCACTAGACTTCTTGATTCTGTGGATTAAAATTAAGTCAATTTTGGAAAATTTCTAGACATGTCTTTAAATATTGTTTCTATTTCATTCTCTCTAATCTCTACTTCTGGGATGATAATTAAATATATAGAAGACCTTCTCACTATATCTTCTGTGTCTCTAGTCTCACTATATTTTCCACTCACTTTTCCTCTGGGCTTCATTCTACATAATTTCTTTTGACCTGTCTTCAGTTTATTAACTCTCCCTTTAACTGTATTGAATCTACTGTTAAAGTTTCCATTAAGTCCTTAAGTTATTATATTTTTCAGTCTTAGAATTTCTATTAGGCTGTTTTAAAAATCTGAATAATTCATGTTTACTGTTTCTAGTTTCTAGCTGAAATTGTCAGACATGACTTTTATTTCTTGAACACAGTAATCATAGGCATTTTACAGTCTATACCAGATAATTCCAAAATCCACAGTCATTGTGGCTCTTTCTGGTATTTCTACTCATCTTTTTCTACTATTTCTACTCATCTTTGCCCATGTTGCCCTGCCTCCTCATGTGCCTGGTTATCTTCTGTTCATGTGTTGGGTATTATATTGTAAAAGTTATTTAGAAATCATTAAACTAAGGATCATATTTTTCTTCAGAGGCAATTTTCATTTGCTTCTGCCCAACACTTGGGGGCACTAGAAATTCAGGATCACTTTAAGCCAGTGTTAGGGTTTGAGATTTTCTGGATTACCCAGATGACTCAGAGCAGGATTGCCACCCTTGGGAAAGCTGGTTTATATCCAGCTCACCTTTCATCTTTTGAGGTCCCAGCCCAGAAGAAAGCATTGTCACCTTCCACAGGCCTTGAACTTTTGCCCTCTTAGCACCAAAAGACCATAAAAAGTACAGACAACGCCTGTAATCCCAGCAACTTGAGAGGCTGAGGTGGGCAGATCAGGATTTTGAGACCAGCCTGGACAACCTGGTAAAATCCCATCTTTACTAAAAACATACAAAAATTAGCTGGGCATGGTGACTCGCGCCTGTAATCCTAGCTACTCTGGAGGCTGAGGCAGGAGAATCGCCAGAACCCGGGAGACAAAGGTTGCAGTGAGCCAAGATTTCACCACTGCGCTCCGGCCTGGGTGACAGAGTGAGATTCCGTATCAAAATTAAAAAAAAAAAAAATGTGCAGACAAGCCTCCTGTCTACCTTTTCCTGACTGGCAAATGCTCTGGGCGGACAAAAACTGCCCAGAAAGTGAGACTGACCTTGCTGGATTTCTATACTCTCACAGATCCTGGTCTATTTACTCCTCATTCTCTTCGTAGCTCTGTTATGCTTTAAAAAAAATTTTTTTATATATATTTAGTCTAGCAATTGTTGTTGCCTTGAGCTCAGGTTACCTAGTTTACCATTACCCTGCATCGTTTCCATTATTGTGGCTTTATAATATGTTTTAGCATCTAGTTCAGTGAATTCCTATCCACCCATTCCCTGTTTTTGCCATTTTTCTTAACAATTTTCACCTATTAATCTCTCAAATAAGCTTTATAATTATTTTATAACGTTCCTTTAAAAATCCCATCGGGAAGCCTCTGAATCTGGTAGGATTTCTGCTTGCGGAGTATTTAGACTCTCCACCAGGAACATTTAGGATTTCCACCCATTTATTTAGATCTTTTATGTCAATATTCTTACATATAATTCTTCCATATAGTTTCTTATTAAAGTTGTTTCTAAATACATAATTTTTTATCTCAGAAGCTTCCCGTGTGATATCACTATTTCTGCCTTCTCCATGCCTCATATTTTGTATTATTCAATCTTTTTCATGATGGTGCCAGCATTACTGTCTTCTAACAATGCCTGCTGATGTCTCATATCCGAAATCAGATGTATGGCTTTAGTCTTATCTTCCTTATAATGGGCCAGAAACCACCACTTTCTCCAAGTAGGTCAAATGCCCACCTTGTTTTTTCTCTTATCGTGGTAGGATGCTCAACATGACACTATCAGGCAACTAAACTAATGCATAGCACCTAGGAGATACTGGTTTTTAGGAATTGACATCAATGCAGGCCCTTATAGAATTACAAGTATTCATTTGCATTTTATTGGCCTAGCGTATATTTTATAACTGCCTCTGTTAATGACAGAGGTGTTGGCAACCACATTTTGACACTACCTACGTGATCTGGAAAGTTCTGCATACTCCTTGGACCTCCAGTTCCTCACTCAGATAACAAGGGCTGATCTGACTGAATGTTCTTCTGTCCTCTCCAGGTCTAATATTTATTATTTATCTCTCTTAAGAAATTCAAAAAAGTGAATACTAGGCATAATACCTTTTTGGGGTCCTGCCCCAAACACAGCACAGTATCTCACCCCAGACTCAAAGCCCATGAGCAGCCTGTAAGCCTAGCACTCATCCCTGCTTTCCTTCTGCCAGCTGCATGTTGACCTGCAGGATGAGCTAGGAGTCTTCTCCCTGAAAGGGAGGCCCACCACCGCGTATATCTACATCACAGAGGAAAATAAACCACATGTAAAAGGTAAGTGTGGGGAGGGTGCTTCTAGAGGGCAATGGATCTCAGTAGCTGCTTCATTAGGGGACCACTCAAGGCCCAGCCAGAGGGGAATGCCCAGTCTCGTCACCACTGGCCTCTAGCTAAGGCTCGTTCCCATTCTAGGGTTACTTTCCCTTCAACAGGGGTCTTTATAGATACACATTTCTTGAAACTAGTTCTAAATCATATCTTCTCTCTTCTCTTTGCAGCAAAGAAAGCTCACACAGCCTCCTTGGTTGTTTCTCCTGGAGATACAGCTGAATTTGATGTCGTTTTCCACTCCCAGAAGGTTGGGAGGATGAGAGGTATCATCCACTTGTCAGTGATCAACAACCAATATGAGGAGACCTCCATCCACATGGTGGGAGAGGGCTATGAGGATGACATCACCTTGGACAACATCCATGGACTGGTGGCCCCCACCAGCCAGGAAGACATAAGTATCTCTGAGTTCACAGAGATCATCGAGGACAATGATATGGAAGACTTGGTGGCAGGTGGGAGAAACAGCAGTGAAGTGTTGGCAAGTGTTGGCTACTGGGTCATTTGTTTTAAATGAGAGTAAATTTAAATAACAGGTTGGTTACCTCCCTGAGAATTTAGGACTGACTCTCCTCTTCATTACTCTATGCTCTGGCATGCCTGGCTCAGTCATGGCATCCATCCTTCCATTTATTCATGTGTTCACTCGATGAATATGTATTGATCACCAAGTACATGTTCCAGGCATGCTGATCCCTGGAGTTTCAAAATTAACAAGGAAGTCTCTACTCTTAAGGAGCTTATAGTTTGATATTCAAATTCTGGTTCAACTAATAAGCAAATAAATGCCTTGCAGTTTTTCCTGTCTGCATTTATTAGCTGGCTTGTGTTGGCATTGTCTGTTTATTAGAGAGAGTATAGGTTTGGGCACTTCTAGAACATCACTCTGCACAGCCCCACTACTCAATGAGCAGTTTGAGATCCTATGGCATCAGCATCACCTGGGAGCTTGTTAGAAATGGGGGTTTCAGACCCCCCTGCCCTACTGAATCAGAATCCACATTTTAACAAGGCCCCAGGTGACGTGTTTTTATACTAAAGCTTAAGACATGTTGTGCTGCAATCTATCAAGCACTAAAGCTTCATTTAGTTGACATTTTTGGGGATTGGAAAAATTTATCATCAAATTGTTATCATCAGAAGGCATTGGTTAAGCGCCCTAATTATGTGGTTGGTTGCTAAAAAGTGAGTTATAAACAGAGTCCCATAGTTTACCTAGAAGCTTAATTAAAGTCCTGGAATGTACCGTTAGGTGGTCTACACAACATGGGTTGAAATCAACACTCCTCATATACCTGGTGTTTCAGCCCTGTTTGAGGCTACAGGGTGACATCTCTCTTACCAAGGCTCAAGCAGGAGCCAGCAGTGAATCTAAGTTCAGAACTCAGATTTCATGCCCATAATAGGATTGCCAGAGTTAGCAAATCAGAATACAAGACTCCTCAATAAATTGGAATTTTGGTTAAACTATGAATAATTTTTAGTATATGTATATCCCAAACATGGCATGGGACATACTTATCCTAAAAATTATTCATTTCTTATCTGTAATTCAAATTTAACCAGGACTCCTATATTTTATCTGGCAATCCCAATCCTTTATAATATTTTCTCACCAAACAAATGGAGTTGGGGACCTATGTTTTCTCTTGTACAAATGGAGGTGAGGGCTAAGGTGGGTGAATGGATGATGGATGGATGGATGAAGGGATAGAGGGATGGATGGGTAGATGATAGATGAATGGGTGGATGGATACATGCATGCATGCATGGATGAGTAGATGATGGATGGATGGGTGGATGATGATGGGTAGATAGGTGAGTGGGTAGGTGGATGATGGGTGAGTGGGTAGGTAGATGATAGATGAATTAATGGATGGATGGGTGGATGATGGATGGATGGATGGGTGGGTGGATGATGGATGGATATATGGATGGATGGCTGCATGGATGGATGGATGATGGATGGGTGGATGATGGATGGATGAGTGGGTGAGCAGGTGGATGATGGATGGATGGGAGGGTGGATAATGGATGGATGGATGGATGGATGGGTGGGTAGGGAGATGATGGATGGGTGGATAGGTGGATGGTGGATGGGTGGATGATGGATGGATGCGAGGGTGGATGGATGATGGGTGGGTGGGTGGATGATGGCTGGATGGGTGGGTGGATGGATGATGATGGCAGGATGGGGGAGGGTGGATGGTGGATGGATGAATGGATGATGGATGGATGGATGGATAGGTGAGTGATGGATAGGTGGATGATGGATGGGTGGATAATGGATGGATGAGAGGGATGGATGGATAGATGATGGATGGGTAGATGATGGGTGGGTGGATGATGGATGGATGGATGGATGGATGGATGGATGGATGGATGGATAGATGGATGGATGGGTGGATAGATAGATTCCTTGAGGATAGAAATCTTGTTACTCAGAGATTCTAGGTTTCTCAAATATAGCCATCCAAGGATGGAAGGACTGCATGTGAGTGAAGCACTATGCCTCCTTAAGGCAGCAGGCCCTCAGGGGAGGCCAGGGAGGACTCACAGCCTTCTGCTTCTAATCCCTAGCTGCTCTGGTGGACCACATCCAATTTGGGGACTGCCACATTGGACACAGCTATAATGCGAGCTTCACAGTCACAAATCACAGCCAAGTGAACTTGATACGGTTTGAATGGCCTGTTTCAGCTACAATTGCTTTCTCCCCACAGGTAAATAAAAGTCATTCATCATTTTTTGGAATCCCTTAGTCCTAAGCCAACCCCAGACTGATTGTCAGCCCTTTCCCGTGGATGCATGGAATGGAATTAATGCATCTCAAGCTGAGAGACAGCCCAGGAATCATCCCTCACTCATACCTAGTAGCAAAGAACACTGTTCATGTCTCTCCTGGTTAAGAGGGGAAGACGGAGAATGAAGTTGACCAAAACTGTTGCTAGGCTGCTGTCAACGGGCCCTGTGGAGGCCTGTATAGATGAATACAGGTCCTAGTCTTCCTATCCCAGATTGTAGAGCTGTGTCCTCCTAGGTGTGTGTCCTTTAGAGTATCAGTCCTTCAAAATGCTTCACCAAAAGCTAGAATGGGGGTGATGGGTTCTGTGGACAAGTGAGATTTAGAAAATGTTCCAAGCTCCATCCTTCCTTAAATATTCCTGGTTCTCTTTGGCATGTTAAAACCTTGTTAACTTTGTTTTACCTGGAATTTTCTAACCTCTTCTTTTAGCATCTCCACAACACACATTTTTTTTTTGAATTGCTGACTAAAGCTTGACATTGAACAAGGCCTAGGATAACGTTCTAGAAGATCGTTGCCTCTGGCCAGTGGTTGCTTTTTGTAGATAGTTCATTTCTGAGTTCCCAGAGCACTGGCACACCCCAGTGTCTTCACTGCCTCCTGCTCTGTTGACACACAGCCAGTGAGTCTGCTCAAGCACAGTACTCGAGGGGGATGGAGCAAAGGCGTTGGGGACTTTGTCATCTTTAAATCTTTGAGCGCTATTAGGGATAAATTTTGCTTTTTGGAGTGATGTAAAGTTCATTAGGACCCTGACCATTCCGTTTCGTCATGGTCCAAATCCAACCCTGAATAGAGCTGGTATACCACTTTATTTGTAAATTGAGTGCTTACTATATGCCAAAAATAGTTCTAAGACCATGGTTAATCCTCTGAACAATGCTATAAGGCAGATACTACTTTTTTTTGTTTTTGTTTGTTTGTTGAGATAGTCTCACTCGGTCACCCAGGCTGGAGTGCAGTGTTACAATCTTGGCTCATTGCAACCTCCACTTCCCAAGATCAAGTGATTCTCCCACCTCAGCCCCCCAAGTAGCTGGGACAACAGATGCACACCACCACACCTGGCTAATTTTTTTGTATTTTTGGCAGAGACAGGTTTCACCGTGTTGTCCAGTCTGGTCTCAAACTCCTGAGCTCAAGCAATCCACCTGCCTCGGCCTCCCAAAATGCTGGGATTATAGGCATGAGCCACTGTGCCCAGCCATAGATACTACTATTATCTGCATTTTGCCTGTGAAGAAACAAACACAGTATAATATAATAGGGTAATCTGCTTTTGTGCATTATTTTTATTACCAAAGCCTTAATCAAAGGAGGCAGAGAGGCTGGGCACAGTGGAGGTTCCCAACCTCAATTCTTGACTTCTGTGCACCCACAGGCTCAACACCACATGGAAGCTGCCAAGTCTTGGGGCTTGCACCCTCTGCAGCCATGTCCTGAGCCACACCTTGGCCCCTTTTAGCCATGACCAGAGTGGCTGGGATGCAGAGCTCTACATCCTTAGGCTGCACACAGCAGGGGGGTCCCTGGGCCACCCACAAAACCATTTTTTCCTCCCAGGCCTCTGGGTCTGTGATGGGAGGGGCTGCCACAAAGGTCTCTGACATGCCCTAGAGACATTTTCCCCATTGTTTTGGCCATTAACATTTGGCTCCTCACTACTTTTGCAAACTTCTGAAGCCCTCTTGAATTTCTCCTCAGAAAATGGGTTTTTCTTTTCTATCATCAGGCTGAAAGTTTTCTGAACTTTTATGCTCTGTTTCCCTTTTAAAACTGAATGCTTTTAAGAGCACCCAAGTAACCTCTTGAACGTCTTGCTGCTTAGAAATTTTTTATGCCAGATAACCTAAATCATCTCCCTCAAGTTCAAAGTTCCACAAATCTCTAGGGCAAGGCCAAATGCCACCAGTCTCTTTGCTAAAACATAGCAAGAGTCACCTTTGCTCCAGTTCCCAACAAGTTTCTCATCTCCAGGAATCATCTCAGCCTGGATTTCATTGTCCATATCATCAGCATTTTGGTCAAAGCCATTCAACAAGTCTCTAAGAAGTTCCAAACTTTCCCACATTTTCCTGTCTTCTCCTGAGCCCTCCAAACAGTTCCAACCTCTGCCTGTTACCCAGTTCCAAAGTCACTTCCACATTTTCAGGTATCTTTACAGCAGTGCCCACTCACTATACCAGTACCAATTTACTATATTTGTTCATTTTCACGTTGCTGATAAAGACATACCCGAGACTGGGTAATTTATAAAGAGGCTAATGGACTCACAGTTCCACATAGCTGGGGATGCCTCACAATCATGGCAGAAGGCAAAAGGCACATTTTACATGGTAGCAGACAAGAGAGAAAAATGAGAGTCAAGCAAAAGGGGAAACCCCTTATAAAACCATCAGATTTTGTGAGACTTATTCACTACCACAAGAACAGTGTGGGGAAAACTGCCCCCATGATTCAATTATCTCCCACCAGGTCCCTCCCACAACATGTGGGGATTATAGGATCTACAATTCAAGATGAGATTTGGGTGGAGACACAGCCAGACCATATCACCATATATCACATAACCTCTAGAAAACTCCATTGTACACTTATGAGAAAATGAGAGTGAAAAAGTCAAATAACATCTTCATATTACTATGAAAATAGTCTTGACCTCATTTATCCCCTGAAAAGGTCTTGGGGATCCCAAGGTCACCAGAACACCTTTGGAGAACTGCTAGTGTACTGTATTCCTCTGTCCATAATTTGTATAGATCATATTGATTAAGAGTATGGCATTTGGAGCCAGATTGCCTGGGTCTGAATCCAACTCCTCAAAAATTAATGACCTCAACCAAGTTACAAGTTTCATTGTCTGTAAAATAAGAATAATAGCTGTACCCCTCATAGGGTTGTTGTAGGGATTCGTAGAATTGTGTAAAGGTTTAGAATAGTGCCTGAAGCAAGTACATTTGATAAATATTAGTTGTTCTTGTTATTATTATTATGTTTCTACCTAAGATCCTCATGTACATATTTAATTCTGTCTACATACACAGGCTTAACATGCATTTTTTGCCAAGACCTTTGGCTCCTTCCCTTCTCTAGAATATCACCAGCAGGTATCAAGAGTCCTCAAGATCGGATTCTCAAAAATACTAATACCAGGCTCTTTCCTAGATGGGCCACCTCCACCCTGGGTGTGCCAAGGACATAGTGGTGACCATGAAGTCAGATGTACCCATCAACCTAAAGAATATGCGGATCAGGTGCAAGCTCTCCAGGATTATGTTTCAGCTCCCTGCAGACCAGGTCCCCGACTGGGATGACCGCATGCACACAGTCAAGTGGGTGGACGTACCCAGAAACATGCCTGGGACTTTCACTACAAAACGAAAAGTAAGTGGGGACATCAAGCACCAATCTGACCAGGCCTCCATGCTTGGATTCCTACTGGTCTCAAGTCCCTCATCATTTCCTTTTTTCACAGTAAAAAGAAAAGGTTCCCATTCTACTTGACCTTGACTCCAAAAGTGACAAACTAAACTTCTACACATGCTGCCTGCCATCAATGCTACACATACCACACATCTTCACTGGTAGACCTTTAGCTTAAGTCTTGATAAGCAGTTGAGCAAGTCCTCCCACCTTTTCCTTCTTCAAAAATGTCAATGCTAATCTTTTAGTTGTTTCCCTTTTCCCTCAGGTGTCCAGAATCACATTTGTAATAATCTTTGGTTCATGACAGGATCTCATCTTTGGTCCATGTGTGCCCTTCTTTTATTCATTCCTTGGTTAGTTTTTTTAAAAACAATATAATACACAGAGACAAACCCACACCCAACACGGGAAGTAGAATATTGACTACCTGTGTAATTCTCAGCCATTCCACTCTCTGCCTTCATCCTAGAAGTAATCACTATCTTGACTTGACTTGTTTACTCCCTTGGTTTTTGTTTTTTGTTCTTTTTTTAACCTATGCACACTAAAAGGTATATCAGGCCAGGCACAGTGGCTCATGCCTGTAATCCCAAAACTTTGGGAGGCTGAGGCAGGCAGATTGCTTGAGCCCAGGAGTTTGAGACCAACCTGGGCAACATGGTGAAATCCCATCTCTACCAAAAATTAGCTGGGCGTGATGGTGCATGCCTATAGTCCCAGCTACTCAGGAGGCTGAGGTGAGAGGATCATCTGAGCTCTGGGAGGTCGAGGCTGCAGTGGGCCGTGATCGCACCACTGTACTCCAACCTGGAATACACAGTGTGAGACTCTTTCTCAAAAAATAAAAATAAAACATATATTATTAGTTGTAGTTTTAACTTTTAAAAAATGTTATTGTATGTGATCATCCATATTGTTGCGTGTGGCTGTAGTGTATCCATTTCACTTCTACATAAAATTCCATTATGATTTCTCCCTTCTCCTTTTGAAAATTATTTGGGGTTTTGCTATCACAGATGTATTATTCACATGGTGTTCATTTGTAAGAGTTTATATTCCTAGAAGTGGAATTGCTGACTCATTGGATATATGAATGTTCAACTTGCCAAGATAATCCCCCAGTATTTTCCAGAGTAGCTGTACCAATTTATACTCCTACAGCAGAGAGCTTATTGATCCATGTCCTCTCCGACACTTGGCATTGTCAGACTTCTTGATTTTTATCATTTGAATGAATGGGAAATGGTCTCATTACGAGCCTATTTTGCATTGTCCTGATCTCTGATCACAAATAAGGCTGAGTATTTCTTCATATGATTACTAGTCATACAAGTTATCCCTTGCAGGAATGCCTTTTCATGCCTTTTGCTCATTTTTCAATTATGATACTTATATTTTGTGTGAGTTGTTTTATTTTTTATAAACTCTTCTGTTCATATTATTTGTCTGCAAATATCCTTACCAAATTTATAGTTTATCTTTTTTTTTTTTTTTTTTTTGAGGGGGACAGAGTTTTGCTCTTTCGCCCAGGCCAGAATACAGTGACACAATCTCGGCTCACTGCAACCTCCACCTCCTAGGTTCAAGAGAGTCTCATGCCCCAGCCTCCCAAGTAGCTGGGATTACAAGCATGCACCACCACACCCGGCTAATTTTTGTACTTTTAGCAGAGACAGGGTTTCACCATGTTGGCCAGGCTGGTCTCAAACTCCTAGCCTCAAGTGATCCACCCACCTCGGTCTCCCAAAGTGCTGGGATTATGGGCCGTGAGCCACCATGCCTGGCCTAGTTTATCTTTTCTGTTATTAATTTTAATATCATCAAGTTTATTAATCCCTTCTTTTATATGTATTACTTTTTGTGTCTTATTTTTAACTCTTTCCTCCCGGAAAGATGTTCACTTATATATTTTTAAGACTTGTTTTTTTGATATTTCAGCTCTTGGCCCACCTGGATTTTATGTATGTTGTGAAGCAAGGATCCAATTTCATATTTTTCATCTAGATGACTAATCTTACTAGATCCCTTTTTCATTTAGCCTGTCTGTTCCCTAGTGATCCACCAGGACTTTATTGTCACATAGTGTACCTAAATTTTATATATGCCTAGAATGTTTCTGGTCTCTCTATTCTATTCCATTGTCAGTTTTTCTGTCCCTGTGCTCTGCATCTCTGAGGACACAGCTGCCTTTGTTACAGGTGATAGAGACGGATCCGGAACCTGCTCACTCAGTACTAGAAGAAAACTACCAAGAACTGCAGCTTCAAATCAGTGCCAATGTGGATTTCGCTTCATACCATTGCCAAGCAAGAGATGTGCGCTTTAAGGAAACCTTGGTTTACCAGACCCGAGTGTTTGAGTGAGTCATCAAAAGTCTCGTGATACTAGATGGAAAAGCTCTTTCATTCCATCATTCACTCACTCACTCATCAAACGTCTATTATCTACAGCAGCATCTACTAGGCATCGTATCTGTGTGGCATGCACCAGAGTGTTGTCTTAGGTCCAATGAAACATTCAGGCCCACAGAGCTATTGAAATTCACACTTGAAATCAAGATATAGGCCAGGAAATGTAGTACACCAGGAGGGCGGCATCAGGCAATCCACTTTAGTGGGAGCAGTCCTTGCAGCAATCTACACAGCCACCCAGGATCTGTTCTTTTTGCCCATGCACCAAGTGGTAACCCAGACAATATCCACACTGGTGGGTATAGGATCCATCTAAGCTTAGAAGCCCAGACCCAAAAGACCATCATTTCTCCTAACCACTCTGCAGATATATCTTCTGGGGTCCCTGCAGAGAATATGCCCAGTTACAAGAGTCACTACACTCAGAGAACCCCACAGCTATGGCTTCCCTCTAGGTGGTCATAGTTCCTCCCAGTGCACATATCATTTACTCATCGGGGCCATTTTTAGTATAAACAATGTCACCTAATAATACAACTGACATTCCTCCCTTATCAAGTCTCCAGGGGAACAGACCTAGAAAGCTATTTCAGAGTCAAATTCATCTTTGAGAAGGAGAAAAGGTTATGTTAACCCTTCACCCACATTCAGACACAGGGACTCAAGGATGCCATGGGCCCTGCCTTCAAAGAGCTCATAATCTGAGGGTGGCAGCCGGGGGACAGATAGAAACAGGAGAATTTTTCATTACAGCATAATGTCATGTGCATGAAGCAAAGGGGTATTTAAAGCAGATCAAGAGAGTCAAGGAAGGCTTCCTGGACAAGGTAGTTCCCCAGCTGAACTTTAGAGGACAGATAGGAGGTAACCAAGTAAAGAAGTGAGAACAAAGTGAGAGTGAAAGAAGTGAGAATGGGGGTAGCCAAGTGAAGAAGCGAGAATGAAGGGCTCTCTCTAGGCAGAGAGAGCAACATGTGCAACACATACAAGGACAAAAATGTAAGCCACTGACATTTCTACTGCATACAAATTAGTAATTAGCTCATTCAACTCATCGTGCATTTGTTGAATTCTAAACATCTTTGCAAATTACGATAGAACCAAAAGATAAATGTCAAGAAATGTGATCTTCTGCTGATGATCATTTCACCTAAAGCAGGGGTCAGCAAACTGTGGCCTGTAGCCTGTTTTTGTAGATAAAGTTTTGCCGGCATGCAGCTATGCCCATTCATTTATGACCTATCTGTGGCTGCGTTCCCACTACAAAGGCAGAGCTGAGTCATTGCAGAGACCGTATGGGACACAAAGACAAAAAACTTACTATCTGGCCCTTTACAAAAGTTTTCCAACCCCTAAACTGAGAACTCTTTTTATAAAAAGTACTCTGTGCCACTGAGATTTCTTCACTTTATAAAAATTATCTTTAGAATAAATACAAGTGCTCATAAATTTACAAAATAAACACAAGCCACTGTGGTCAAAGCACTTGATTTCAGGTGAAACTAGATGGTCTGTCTACCTGGACTAGAGAGTGGAAATCTAATCTCTACGTCCCACTGTAGACCTACTCCTCACCCAAACTCCTAACTCTTACTATTCCCCTAAAACCAGGAAGGGCGTGTGGATTTATTTCATCATCATTTTCTTTTTCTTGTACCAAGGTTTCATCTTTCTGCTGTTAACTGTGATCAAGTTTAATAGTGATTCCAGAAAAAAACTCTGCCTCCCTGTTTTTTTTTTTTTTTTTTTTTTTTTTTTTTTTTTTTTTTTTTTTTTTTTTTTTTTTGAGCCGGAGTCTTGCTCTGTCACCCAGGCTGGAGTGCAATGGTGCGATCTCAGCTCACTGCAACCTCCACCTTCTGGGTTCAAGTGATTCTCCTGCCTTAGCCTCCCGAGTAGCTGGGACTATAGGTGCACGCCACCACGCCAAGCTAATTTTTGTATTTTTAGAAGAGACAGGGTTTCACTATGTTGGCCAAGCTGGTCTCGAACTCCTGACCTCAGGTGATCCACCTGCCCTGGCCTCTCAAAGTGCTGGGATTTCAGGCATGAGCCACCGCACCCAGCCCTGTTCTTGTCTTAAAGCAGGAAAATTTGAGGCAGGAAAAGCCTCTGCTGATTTAGAATTTGAGTTTGAAGTAACTAAAATTCAAATCTGTGCCTCAGTCAGGAAAGGGGTCACAGGCAGGGGTCAAATGGCTTCTGAACACAGGGACTTCCTTCCTTTCTTTTCTTTTCTTTTCTTTCGACAGAGTCTCGCTCTGTGGCCCAGTGGCATGATCTCAGCTCACTGCAACCTCCATCTCCTGGGTTCAAACGATTCTCGTGCCTCAGCCTCCTGAGTAGCTGAGTAGTTGGGACTGCAGGCATGTGCCACCACACCTGGCTAATTTTTATATTTTTAGTAGAGATGGGGTTTCACCATGTTGGCCAGGCTGGTCTCAAATTCTTGGCCTCAAGTGAGCTGCCTGCCTTGGCCTCCCAAAGTGCTGGGATTACAGGTGTGAGCCACCCTGCCCAGCCAGGGACATTGTTTCTGATGGGAGGTGATTCAGAAAGGGAGGGCCTGTAGAATTTGTTCCTGAGGGAGGTGCTGTCTTGTGAAATAGATTTTGTTTCCTCTCTCATGGTGGGGGTTTAGGATTACTGCCATGCATGCTGAGAGCTCGCTGCACAGGGTGTTGGAAGAATGCAAAAGACTTTTAAGTGATAAATATTTTTTATATTTTTACTTTTAATCACTATATATTTTCTTGTTCGAGTATATCATATGCATGATTTCTAATAAAATTACTTAAAATGTGCCTTTTTAAAAATATTTAAGAAACAAAGTGACATGACTTCAAAAGGTTAAGTACAGTATAGATGACATGCAGCCAGGACCAAAACCACCTGCAGCACATTTCTCAAATCTGCTCCCTGATCGATTTGCAGGTTCGATGTGATTAATTCAGGACGTGTCCAGCTGGAATTCAGCTGGGTCTCAGAAGATACCTCAAAGGCAGTCAGCTTTGCAAAACCAGATCACCAAGGTAAATTCAGTGGCAAGTAAAACCCAGGGCCTGGCCTGAGTCACCAATTAGAAGAGCCTTGTTCATGGAGAGGCCAGCACTGCTCAGAGGGTCTCCTAAGTAGCTAAAGAAAAGCAAAGCAGAGACCTTGTGGTGTCTGCAGAGCCAAATGGGCCTGAGGGACTCCAAAACTTACCTCCACCCTCCTGGAGTCTGAACTCTGTCCCTGCACTAGGCCAATGCCCCATCTCAAGATAACTAGGAATCTTGTCTCTTAGGTCTTAACCTTGTGGGAGATTATAGATCCCTTGGAGAAACTTTTGAAAGTTATGAATCATTTTCCCAGGAAGATACACACCCATGCCCAAGTTCTCAGTTGGTACATATGAAGCACTAGAAAAGGAACCAACACTTGGTAGGCAAGTTGCTATCATTATTATTATTATTATTGTTGTTACTTCAACTTTGGAGATGCACAGACCTTTTGAATGGGCCCTTATCCATGGGTCCCCAGATTGTAAACCCCTACTTTAGAACAATGATTCTCAAAAAAATATGTTCACAGCCCATTATTCTAGGGCACAAACATCTTCTTGACCCACCCGCTTGAACCAAAAGGAAACAAATTTGAAAACCCTATGGAATAAATAGAAACATTTTTCATGAGTCTCCTGTAAGCTATATGAGCAATTCCCTACCTCTAATACCCAAGGTTAAGTACAGCTGCTACAAAAGGTGAGTCCATATCCACCATATCCGCAGAGGGCCCCTAAGGACCTGTAAGTGGGCTCCCTTCCACCTGCCTCTCACTGCAAATGCAGAATATCACCCACTCCCTGTCTGTCCCCAGGTTCAGCTCAAAAAGATCAGCTTAGTCAGGGCACGATGCATACAGGCAGCACCCTGGACAGCACCATGGACCACTGGGCCGAGGGTTCCCCACAGCCCTTCTCTGTGGAGCCCTCTTCGGGAATCGTGCCGGTGGGGAAGATTCAGAAGTTCAAAGTAAAATTCTCCCCGTTGGACATTGGAGACTTCGAGAGCAACCTTTTCTGCCAGTAAGAAAATGTGCTCGCCACAACACCCTTCTTGGCAGGCACAAAGCTCTGTGGCTCTTATCCCCTTTTCTGTCCAACCACTGCCACCATCCTTTCTGGCCCTAGATCCCTGCACATCCCCAAATTATCCCTTTTCCCTTTGGAAGGATCTAAAGGGTCCACCCTTTAGAGAACAAGGAGAATATGGTCTTTGTCCTGCTCATCAACCTCTCCAGATGCTTCCCCCTGCTTACTTTCCCCTTCCCAGCTGCATGTAGGATTCCACTGAGCAACAGACTGGTGATAGCCAGGTGGGTTTCAGTCCTTGTGCAAGCATGAACTTAGGAAAGCTTTCTTGTACCTTCTCTGAGACACAGTTTCCTCATACATAAAATGTAAATATAATACCCAGCTGGTGGAATTGTTGGGAAAGTTAAATGAGTTAATTCAAATAAAGTGCTTACAACAGTGCCTGGCACACAATAAGCACGATAAACATTAGGTGGTAGTGGTGGTGGTGGTGGTGGAGTTGGTGGACCTGGTACACAGCAGTGAGAGAAAAGCTAACCCAATGACATCTGACAATGAAAGTCCCTGATGAGGTACTTGCTCCCAGGAAAACTTGAAGGAGTACAATCACCTTACAGAAAAATCCTGTGAGCTGTGGCCTAGGGTGGCAGAGACCTAAGTGAGCTGCTGGGGCCTCCTTGACCTCCTGCAGTCATACCACTGAGACCCCTCCCACACCTAGGCCACCTCAGCTTGGTCCTGGAGCTGAGCATCTGCTCATATCCAGTTCACCTTTTCCGAGGAGCTCAGGATACTTTTTTAGGATTTCCAGGTCACTTTCCATATCCCACTAAATGCCTATGAGAGAGACCAGAGGGTAAGACTGTGCTCATTTTGCAGCAGGAATATTTTCTCAACATTGATGGGGGAAGTAACCTGCGGCCATACTTAGGTACACAGAAGGAGCCAAATTCAGGCTGCTTATGCTCAGCCCAGTCATGCATTCAAGGCACTGAGTGATGCTATTGACCAAGACAGACCCAGCCTCTGCTCCCATAGAGCTCACATTCTGGTGGATATAAGATTCATTTCCAACCAACTAAGAAAGCAACAACTGATGACAAAATAAAACAAATAAAAATAACCTTATCCTCTCAGGATTCCCAACCTGCCACCTGGAGAGCAAGGTCCGGTCCTGGTAGCAAAAGGGCGGAGCACCTTGCCCATCTGCCATTTTGATCTGAAAGACTCGGACTACATAAGTGGCCATCAGCGCAACCCAGAGCTCCGAGGGTCCAGTGGGGGAGCTCTGGATCCAAACACCCGGGTGATTGAGTTCACCACTGTGGGCATAGGAGGGAAGAATCTCCGGTGAGTTGCTTAGGTTTACATTGATTGAATTCACATCGGTCCTAAAGAACTCTAAAAGAATTCAGATAGATGAGCTAGACCTATTCCTATAAGCAGGCTCGATATCCTGGGGTTTGACCTGAGTTTTAGAGGTTTGACTTTAGAGAACTGTTACGTTAAGAAAGCTGAATTCTGTCTCCTTAGTTTTGCCACTGAGGAAAATATGGAAGACACAAAAGTATAATCCCTGACCACCTCCTTAACCACAGAGGATCATTGGCACAGTTGTGCCCTTGGCAGCATTGTTATTCCAAAGTCCAGAACCCTACCCTGACTGTGGATCGCTAGAGGAGATGGAGTTTTTATTTCCACAGTAACAAAGTGCTCTGAACAGTTCTGCTTCCCAGATGGGGGACTGGGTTGGGGCCAGGTTCTAAGAAATTTCTCTTAATCCTCAATCCCCTGTCCCACTCTCTTCTGTCAATTCTCTCCACCCTGGCCAGGACCTTTACCATCCTAAACCCAACCAATAGCACCTACTCCTTCTGCTGGATCTCTGAAGAAATTGAAAGTCTCCAGAACCCTGCAGCATTCACATGCCTTACAGAAAAGGGCTTCATCCACCCTGAAAAGAAAGCCGAGGTATGTGCAGATGAGAACCACTCAACCCAAGGCTTAGATCACTCTAGCCATTGCTGTGTGGAAAGTGTGCCATAGACAGTAAGTGGAATTAGGAAGAACTGCCTGAGGGTGTAGTGCATCAATCAACAAGTATTTAGTGAATGGCTGCCATATGCATTGGGCAATGCTGATGACAAGACAGACCTGAGCTCTCTTGGCTAGCCATGGAGAAGCAGAGAGCTCTAATATTTGCAATTTTTTAAAACTGAGAACATTTAAGCAGCAAAAGGTAACTGGACACCAATGCCTGGGGACCCTAGGACTCATAGAGTAGCATAAAAAGTTATCTTTGTCAAAAGGACCAAAAATGGTGAAAGGACACGATGTGTTTTTACTTGGTTAGGCAAAGGGCAAAGTAGAGTGGAGCCATGTCCCATGGCTTCATCCTAAATGTTTACACAAATGATATGGAGCAGAATTAAAGAAATACAGACTTGCTGGCCAAAACGGATCTGTGAGCCCCATGTCCAGCCAGTTGCAGAGAATCTTGAAGACAGAAATAAATCCGTGAAACAAAAATTAAGAATTCCTGTGCCCTCAGGAGGGTCACACAAGTGAATAGAGTGGGCCAAGGAGACATTTGTGGGTAATACAGGGTACCAGGGCCACTGGCCACAGGGCTTCTCTGGTAGATGACCGCTTTGCAGACAACGGGGGCCAAGGGGGCCAACTCACCCAAACTGTGGAAAAGACAAAATTCCAAATTTCTTTTTTTTGTTTTTGTTTTTGAGACAGAGTCTTGCTCTGTCCCCCAGGCTGGAGTGCAGTGGCGCGATCTCGGCTCACTACATGCTCCGCCTCCTGGGTTCACGCTATTCTCCTGACTCAGCCTTCCGAGTAGCTCGGACTACAAGCGCCCGCCACCACGCCCAGCTAATTTTTTGTATTTTTAGTAGAGACAGTGTTTCACCGTGTTAGCCAGGATGGTCTCAATCTCCTGACCTCGTGATCTGCCCGTCTCGGCCTCCCAAAGTGCTGGGATTACAGGTGTGAGCCACTGCGCCTGACCAAAATTCCAAAGTTCTATGTGAAGCCCTATTTTACATGCTGGTAGCTAGTTCATTTTTTTTTTTTTTTAACAATTCCCAAACCAAACAAAACATATTTGTAGACTCTCCACCTGGTTTTGACCTCTGCATAATGTCAGTACCCAGGCCATCTAGTTAAATGTGACAAGGTCCAGGAGCTGGGTCCACCATAGAGACAATCCTACCTGGATCATGGCCCCCACTTCAGCCCAGAAATGTTTCAAATGTGAGCTCGGTTCCAAGAGGCAAGTTCCAAAATCCATCATCCAAAGTCATGCTGGTCTTTAAGTGACAGTCATATCATTGAGGTGACACACCTCCAGAGCACCTGCCCACATTGTCCTGGCAGTGGTATAGACCATGCATGTTAACCTGTGTGGTTCTTTTTTGGCCAAATGCCGTTATTCTTTCATTCAGTCCTGGTTGATTGATTGCAAAGAGACTCACTCAGGTTAGCTCAAAAAAGAGACAGAGAGAACCAGGAGCAGCTTTTGAGGTTGGACTTTCCTCCTGGGACTGCCTGTTTCTCTCTTCCCATCTACTCCATTCTCTCTCCACTGACCAGTTTCTTCACTCTTGATTGATTGATTTATTCTTCAGTTACTTTGTAATATCACTTAGCTAGTTGGTTATGGCATGCCGTGGCCCAGCTCACCTGCATGGTACCTTTCACCATCAGCTCCACTGCCAGCTGGCCTGGCCACTCATTTCCTAATTTCAAACTTCTGAGGGAGAAATCTGGCTGGCCCGGCTAATCATATTGTCTTTGGCTGTGTGCCCAGCTATTGACAAGTATGGGGATTGTCTTTCCTTGGAATGGGTACCAACTCTTTGGTCCAGTCAGCTATGGCACAGCCATGCCATCCAAAGACATGGCACAAAACACGACAGCTTAGCCAGCAGAAGCTGTGGATGGGGGAGACTCCCTTAGGAGGACATGTGGGCAGGTCAGATAGACATTGACATTTCTGGTACAGCCACACCTACATGCCCTTACATGGACTATAGAAAGGTAGCAATAGCCTGGTAACATCAACTCTCATGACCCTCGTGCTGACAAGTCTCCAGGGACATGTGGAGTAAGCATACAGAAGTGTCTTTTACCACTCTGTTCCAAATTGTCTTGTTAGATCGTGTTCCAGTTCACACCTTTCCATCTGGGCATCACTGAGTCATCATGGACCTTCCTAATTCCCGAGCACAACATCACAGTCCCTTTCCTGCTGGTAGGCAAAACTACCGAACCTCTCATCTCTCTGAACAAGTCACACCTCAACTTCAGCTCTCTCCTCATTGGTAAGGCTGTCCTGATGGTATGTATTTAGAGTTGGCATGATCTGGGCAAGGTCATCAAGAGCTCTGGGAGCAGCCTTGCATAAGAAACCTCTCCTGGTCCCTTCCAGAAGCATATCAGAGGGTCTCAATCAGTTTTTAAAAAGCCACAAAATATTTACTGCTCAATCTAATTTCCACCAAGTATCTTTTAAACCTACAATTAATAGCTTAAGGAAATTTAGGAGCCTTGTTAAAGATCCTACTTGGCAGATTCCTTTAAGGCATGGGCTGACTGTTTATTTCTAGAGCCTCAAGTTGGCCCATCCTTCCTGCATTTGCCCCCAGATTATGGGGGGTATCTGTATGCTTCTTGGTCTGTGCCACAGTGGTCAAATTTCTCTCTCATCCTTTCGTGCATTTATTTGGTTCAACAAATATCACTGAGTCTGTAGAATGCCCTCGGTACTTTTCTATGGGCTGGGATTACGCTAATGGATAAAGCCCAAAGTCCGTACCTTCCTGATGCTTACATTCTAGAAATAAGAAACAGGCTACCAAAAGAAACATAAGGAAACTATACACCATGTCAGATGGTAATAAGTGCTTTAGAGAAGAGGACAGCAGGGTAGGGAGAATAAGGAAGGCCAGGAGGCAGTGGGAAGGTGAAACGAAGTAATTGTCATGTCCCTTATAACCCCATGTATCTTTCCCATGGTTGTGACATCTCTGCTGTGTGTATAAAATACAACTAAAGCCAGAGTATGTTTTAATAATATGTTAGATTTGTATTTGTAAAATAATATTCTTTATAGTAAATCCACCAATGTGGTGTTGCATAAGAAAAAGTTTAATCTCTCCACATTCATCCTGTCTCATCTTTCTCTTTCCACTCCAAAGGAAAGCAGTGTTAACTGCTGGATGTGTATTTTACCGATACACATAATTAGGTGGGAGGGGGAATTATGGCATTTATTAAGATTTTGAACAAATAAGCAATGTAGCATAAGAATAACAACAGTGAGACAGAGTTTAATCCAGGAATTCAACAGTGGTACGTTTCAATATAATCATTACATCAATAGATTAAAGAAGAACAACCATGTGATCATGTTAATATACACTGAAAAGGCATTGCCAAAATTTAGCAGACATTCCCAACAAAAACTCTAATAGCAAAATGGACATTGATGGAAAAAAAGGTTAACCAAAATCAAGAGGCAGATATGATCCTGCAATAAATGACTAAAACTGCTTCAATTAAAATGAGGAATTAGGTAAGGGTGTTCATTATCACCCTTATTATTGAACACTTGCTTAGAGACTTTAGCAAATATGACAAAACAAGAAAATTAAATAATTTGCATAAACATTGGGGAAAAAGGGATAAAGTCATCTTGTTTTGCTTTTACTGATGATTTTGTACACATAAAACCACAAGAGACTCTAGAGAAAAAGCAAAACAAACTACTAGACTCAACAGAATAATGTGGTAAGGTGGGCAGATGCAAGACAAATGTGCAAAAATAGTGTCTTCTTTTTTAGCACTAGCACCTAGAAACAGAAAACCAAAGAAAACATCCACTTGGTACTGGCAAAACCTATAAAATAGCTAAGGATAAATGTAATAAGACATGCACAAAAAAGACCTACATGAAGAAAACTATCAAATCTGATTAAAATCCCCCAAACAAGATCTGATCATTTGTTAGTTGTCCTAAAATTAAATGCAAATTTAATCAAGTTCCAATTAGAATCCCAACTAGGGTTGCCAGATAAAATACAGGATGCATAAATTTTAATTTCAAATAGCAATTAATAATTTTGAGTATGTCCAAATATTGCTCGGGACATATTTATACCAAAAAATTATTTGCTAAATCTGTCAACCAAATCCCAAAAGAATTGGAAGGGGAGAGAATTGGATAAAATGATTCTAAAGTTTATGTGGGAAAATGAATGGTCTAATAGCCAAGAGGAAAGCGTAAGATGATAGTGAGAGAAAATGTATTAGTCAGAGCCCTGGGCAGGAAACTCATGCCAATACCAAAGGTCTATTTTCAAAGAATTCGATGCAAGAATTATTTACAGATACATGGGCAGTTAAGGGGGTCAACCAAGGAGAGTGAAGCCCCCATTAACAAATTCAGGAAGGCATTACAATTCTTGGGTCTAAAGGAGCAAGGGAAGAAAACGGTGTCACCAGAATCCCAGGAGAGCTGTGGCCAGGGCAGAGGAGCCACTCAGCAGAAGCAGGCAACTGATGAAGAAAGACATGGAATCCCCGAAAGAAGGAAGGTGACTTGTAGAGGAAAAGGAAAGAAGAGAGGTAGACAAAGGCGGAAGAGGTTGGGGAATGTCTTCTAAATGTCTTGCCTGTGAAGCGGTGTCTGCTGAGAGACTCCAGCAGGCAGTCAGGAGGCCCCCACTAAGGGCTGGTGTTTCCTCCTCAGGCAGAGAAGCCAGGGAGACTGTGCAGATCATTAACAAGGAGGAGCAGGGGTTCGATTTTTCCTTCCAGGACAACTCCCGCTATTCTGAAGGTTTCAGCAACAGCCTGCTTGTATGTCCCATGGAAGGCTGGATCCCACCACTGTCCAGGTAAACAAAAATGAAGGTCTCATTTTGTTTGCATCCTCCTGACATGCCCAGGACCCCAAGCCTGCCAGTGCTTACAGTGCCCCATTTATATAATTGCTTTCAACTCTAAGATTACATCATAACAATTCCATCTCCATCCTACTTACTCCCTGATATCTGTTTTCCTGATGAATATGGAGCATTGAGAATTCTAAGCCCTTTATCTCAATATTTTCTCTTTGTATTCTTTTCCTTGCTATATTCACTGTATATGTGAATCCACAGTGCAATGTTCAGGCTTGCCTGGCAAGTCTCTTTTTCAATTAAACATTTAATTTTCAGGCCAGGCATGGTGGCTCATGCCTATAATCCCAGCACTTTGGGAGGCTGAGGCAGGCGAATCACTTGAGGTCAGGAGTTTGAGACCAGCCTGGCCAACATGGCAAAACCCAATCTCTATTAAAAGTACAATAATTAAGGCTGCGGCAGGCAGATCATTTGAGGTCAGGAGTTCCAGACCAGCCTGGCCAACATGGTGAAACCCCGTCTCTACTAAAAATACCAAAATTAGCCAGGCGTGTTGGCGGGCGCCTGTAATCCCAGCTACTCGAGAGACTGAGGCAGCAGAATCGCTTGAACCCGGGAGGCATAGGTTGCAATGAGCTGAGATCGCACCACTGCACTCTGGCCAGGGTGACAAGAGCGAAACTCCCTCTCAAAAAAAAAATTAATAAATAAATACAATAATTAGCCGGGTGTGGTGGCACACACCTGTAATCCCAGCTACTTGGGAGGCTGAGGCATGAGAATCACTTGAACCCAGGAGGCAGAGGTTGCAGTGAGCTGAGATTGCACCACTGCACTCCAGCTTGGACAATGGAGTGAGACTCTCTCAAAAACTAATAATAAAATTTAAAAATTTGAAGTAATTGTAAATTCACATGTAGTTGTAAGAAATAATAGGAAGACTGCTGGGCGTGGTGGCTTACACCTGTAATCCCAGCACTTTGGGAGGTCAAGGCGGGTGGATCACCTGAGGTCAGGAGTTCGAGACTAGCCTGGCCAACATGGTGAAACCCCGTCTCTACTAAAACTACAAACGTTAGCCAGGCGTGGTGGCACATTCCTGTAATCCCAGCTACTTGGGAGGCTGAGGCAGGAGAATCGCTTGAACCCAGGAGGCAGAGGTTGCAGTGAGCCAAGATTACCTCACTGAACTCCAGAGCAAGACTTTGTCTCAAAAAAAAAAAAAAAAAGAAAGAAAGAAGAAGAAATAAGACAAAGATAACTCTGTACTGTTTACCAAATTTCTCCCAAGGGTGACATCTTGCAAAGCTTCAGTAAAATGTCACAACCTGGTATTGACATTGACGAGTCAAGACACAGAACAGATCCCTTGCCGCAGGATTCCTCATGTGACCCTTTTGTTGCCACACCCTTTCCCTTCCCCCAAGCAACACCTCCTCACCCTCTGGAATCCAATACTTTCCTCTGTGTCTATCATTTTGTCATTTCAGGAATGTTGTATTCACAGACACATACATTGCTTTTGTGATTGGTTTTTTTCACTCATAATTCTCCAACATACATCCAGGTAGTTTTGAGAGTTTCTTCCTTTTTATGACTGGCTACCATTCCATAGTAGGGATGCACCACAGTTAGTTGAACTATTCACCCACTGGAGGACATCTGGATTGTTCCTGGTTTGGGCTGTTATGAATAAAGCTACTATAAACTTTCATGTACAGATTTTTTGTGTCTTCATGTCACTGGGGAAAATGAGCAAGAGTGCAATTAATGGACATACGATAATGGCATGTTTCCAGAAAAAAAAAAGAAAAAAAACGGTGAAAATGCTTTCCAGACTGGCTGAACCATTTTACATTCCACTAGTTATCTCTGAATGTTCCAGAATCTCCACAAC
Source organism: Homo sapiens (assembly GCF_000001405.40). Classification (NCBI taxonomy): domain Eukaryota; kingdom Metazoa; phylum Chordata; class Mammalia; order Primates; family Hominidae; genus Homo; species Homo sapiens. Next base: position 70,853,224 of record NC_000016.10, on the reverse strand, counting down.
ATCACCAAAATTTAGTGGTGTCACAATTTTTTTATTACTATTCTTAGACAGAGTCTCGCTCTGTTGCCCAGGCTGGAGTGCAGTGGTGTGATCTTGGCTCACTGCAACCCCCGCCTCCCAGGTTCAAGCAATTCTCTTGCCTCAGCCTCCCGAGTAGCTAAGGCTACAGGCACGCACCACTATGCCCGGCTAATTTTTTTTTTTTTTTTTTTTAGTAGAGATGGGGTTTCACCATGTTGGCCAGGCTGGTCTCGAGCTCCTGACCTCAAGTGATCCACCCGCCTTGGCTTCCCAAAGTGCTGGGATTACAGGAATGAGGCTCTGCAACCGGCAACAATTTTTTATTTTAGCTTTTCTGATAGATGTGTAAGGATATCTCATTGTAGTTTTAATTAGCATTTTCCTAATGACTAATAATGTCGGACATCTTTACATGTGCTTATTTTCTGTATGTGTGTTGTCAGGCCTGAGGGCCTCTTCCATCATTGTCAAGGGAAGTGCTAACCTTCTCTCCTTTCATACAACACATATGTGCTTGTTTTCCTTCTATGGATCCTCCTCAGTGAAATGTCTCTTCATGTCTCTTTCCAGTTTCCTGCTCAGCCTGTTTGTTTTTTATTGTTGATTTTTGAGAGTTCTTTACATGTTTAGGTAGTGCTCCTTTGGTGGATACATGATCTGCAAATATCTTCTCCCAGTCTGTGGCTTGTCTTTTGCTCTTCTTAACAAGGTCATTCACAGAGCAAAACCTTTTATTCTTGATGAAGTCCAAATTATCTATTTGTCCTTTTATGGACTGTCCTTTTAGTGTCTGTTCTATATCTCTGAATAGCCCTAGATTCAGAAAATGTCCTTCCATTATTTTTTCCGTAAGTTGTGTAGCTTTACATTTCAGTCTGTAACCCCTTTTTTATTAACTTATAAGGTATGAGATTTACGTCAAAGTTTTGTGGGGTTTTTTCAACTTTTATTTTAGTTTCAAGGGATATGCATGCAGGTTTGCTACTGGATTTACTGTATAGGTTTGGGGTACACATGGTCCCATCACCCAGGTACTGAGCTTAGTACCCAATCGTTAGTTTTTCAATTCTTGCCTCCCTTCCTCCCCTCCCCCTAGTAATCCCCAGCTTCTTTTGTTGCCATCTTTACGTCCATGTGTACCTGATGTTTAGCTGCAACTTATAAATAAGAACATGAGGTATTTCACTTTCTGTTCCTGCATTAATTTGCTTAGGATAATGGCCTCCAGCTGCATCCATGTTGCAGCAAAGAATTACCTCATTCTTTTTGTGGCTGTGTAGTATTCTACAGTGTATATGTACCACACTTTCTTTATCCAGTCTACAGTTGATAGGCACCTAGATTGATTCCATGTCTTTGCTATTGTGAATAGTGCTGCAATGAACATGAGAGTGCATGTTGTCTTTTTGGTAGAATGACTTTGGGTTTTTTGGCTTTTTTGTTTTGTTTTGTTTTGTTTTTTATGAGATTGCTTTGTTTTTTGTAAAGAGATTGCTGTGTTGAATGATAGTTCTGTTTTAAGTTCTTAGAGAAATCTCCAAACTGCTTTCCACAGTGGCAGAACGAGTTTACATACCCACCAATAGTGTATAAGTGTTCCCTTTTCTCTGCAGCCTCGCCAGGATCTGTTGTTTTTTATTTCTTAATCATAGCCATTCTGACTGGTGTGAGATGTTATCTCATTGTGGTTTTGACTTGCATTTCTCTGATGATTAGTAATGTGAAGCATTTCTTTATACGTTTGTTGGCCACTTTTCTGTTTCCTTTTGAGAAGTGTCTATTCATGTCTTTTGCCCATTTTTTAATGGCGTTACTTGTTTTTTGCTTGTTCAATTGTTTAAGTTCTTTAGAGATTCTGGATATTAGACCTGTGTCAGATGCATAGTTTCTGAATAATTCCTCCCATTCTGTAGGTTGCATTTTTTCTCTGTTTGTAGTTTCTTTTGCTATGCAGCAGCTTTTTTCCTTTCTTACTCTTTTTTTTTTTTTTTTTTTTTTTTGCAGGATTGATTGGGTCCCACTTGTCGATTTTTGTTTTTATTGCAAGTGCTTTTGAAGACTCAGTCATAAATTCTTTTCCAAGGCTGATGTCTACGATGGTGTTTTCTACGTTTTCTTCTAGTTTTCGTATAGTTTGAGGTCTTACATTTAAATCTTTGATCCATCTTGAGTTAATATTTGTATATGGTGAAAAGTAAGGGTCCTATTTTATTCTTCTGGCTTATGGCTAGCCAGCTATCCCAGCATCATTTATTGAATAGGGAATCCTTTCCTCATTGCTTATTTTTGTTGACTTTTTCAAAGATCAGATGATTGTAGGTGTGTGGCTTTATTTCTAGGATCTCTATCTTTTTCCATTAGTCTGTGTGTCTGTTTTTATGCCAGTACCACGCTGTTTTGGTTACTATAGCCACAAATCTTAAAATGTCATCATAATTTGGAGTTTCCTTTTCCTCGTAGTGAATCTGCTAATTCAGTAGGCTCATATTTTTTAAGGTTTTGACAAGTTGGCCTAGTCAGGTAATCTGCTGTTTTGTTCCCCAACCAGGTTCCCAATTGATATTTTCTTCACACCAAAGCAGGAAGGAGATGTGAACTTTAATTTGATCTGCAATGTGGAAAAGAAAGTCCACCCTGTGACATTAAATGTCAAGGCCGAGGGCTACACTATGAATGTGGAGATCAAGTGCAAGGACAGGACAGGCTCCATCACTCTGTTGACTCCCAACCAGACTAACATCATCAACTTCTATGAGGTAAAGGTGTAAGAAGACCTTGCTATCTATCTCAGCTTCCATTCTGACTGGGGAAAGTAGTAAAAATGAATATGAGCTGAGTCTTTCTGCTTCAAATGCCAGAGAGACCAGGAAAACAGAAACACTGCAAGAGCAGCTCTATCCCCAGAATGTATGTAGATATGATGTGAATGCTTTTCTTATTTTATTTTCAGGGGGGGGTGGAGAGATGGTGGGGAGAAGAAAGAGTGCTTGTGTTAAACATACAGGAAGGATATTTGACTACCAACAAAGGTCTAAGAACTAAATTGCCACTTTGCTCCATGAGATATTGAAAGAACCCCAACACTTAGTAGCTCCTGCTAGAATATCTGACTCCATTAAGCTAAAGATAGTCAAATCACCAACATCATCTGCCATCCTTATTTCCCAAAGGATATTTTTCATCAACATGTTACAAATGCTGACCCCAGACAAGGGAACTATGGTTTGCATTCACTGCTCTGTTCTCTGTCTCCTAGGTGGAGTTAAATGAATGTGTCCAGTGTGAATTCAACTTTATCAACACTGGAAAGTTCACCTTCAGCTTCCAGGCACAGCTGTGTGGCTCCAAAACCTTGCTGCAGTACTTGGAATTTTCACCCATCGACAGCACTGTGGATGTAGGACAGAGTGTACATGCCACCCTGTCTTTTCAACCATTAAAGAAGTGTGTCTTGACAGACCTGGAACTCATAATCAAGGTGAGTCCATTTAACATTGTCCAAACTCCAAAAGTACTCTCAGCATGCTGCCTTGGCAGGTTAATTCTCCTGTGTGTTCTTTGTCTTCTCCATGTGTCCAGAAGCTCCTAGAGGGTAGCTGTGTTGGACACAGCCTCACAATGTCTAGTACAAAGGCTTCAACAATGGTTAGGTGCCTGGGGAGTAAGTGTGGATTGAAAAGCAATTATATTGTAATACATTCACCCACTAAAATAAATAAAAGTGATAGATGGGGCAGGGAAAGAATATGTACAACGTTTTCTAAGATGGATTATTGAATGAAAAAAAAAAGAATGGTGATGTCAGCAGGAATGGCAGAGAAGGACATCCAAAATGCTGCTTTTCAATAGCAATGAGACCACTGGAAAAAATTTTCGAAATCAACTTTTTCAGAACTCTGAAAATTAATAATAGGCTTGCAACAATTCTCGGAGTATTTATTCAAGAAAAATGGCTGAATACCCATAAAGGCAGTGAGCTTTGTGGTATTTTGATTTGCCCTATTCTCTCCCTCCTCCCTCATCCCAGCTCTGCAGTAGCCTTGAAAACCAACAATTTGGCAATCAAAGTGAAAGTCAGCAATCAATCAGACCCTGGAGGAGGTAGAACAGATTGCAACTCCCCAAAAGCCCCCATTCTAAAAGAGTTGTCTAGAAGTTCAGTGGAACCCCCCCTCATAGGGATAGCTTTTATTTGACCTGACTCCAGGCTTGCTCAAAAACAATCAGTTGTAATTGTTTAACACTGCAGCTGACTGAGGGAGCATTGACCTTAGGAGCAAACAAGAAGTTCATTTAAAAATTTAAAAGGAGAGACTGGGAAGAAGATATTCATGGGGGGCTCTGAAAAGCTTCAGCATATTCCCTGGAATCTAGACAGCCATGCATGTGTAAGATGTGTATACCTCCAGGCTGTTACTGCTCAGGAAAGACCTGAGAAGGCCCTAAGCTCTTACCTCTGACTAACCTTTGGGTCCCAGGAAAGATAAAGCAGAATTGGCAACTGCCTGCCTGAGTGTCAAAGGCATGTCCTGCCACACACACACAGCCCCTCAGCAAAAGCTGGGAGACTTATTGGTTCCAGGCATTTAAGGGAATCTCTGTTCAATCATAAGCTGACCATTAAACTAACTGAGCAGAAACTTTATTGGCCATGCATAAATAAGAATATAGACTTTACTGAAAAAGTTACTAAACAAACTAAGAGTAACAACAGTAACCAACCCTGGGGGAGGGAGGATCTGATTTTCACAGTTGCCACATTTATTATTTTAAATCTCCAGTTTCCGACTAAAAAAATATGAGCCATGAAAAGATACAAGAACATATAACTCATATATGGGGAAAAAAGCAATGAATAGAAGTTGTCTCTGAGGGAGCCCAGATGTTGGACTTAATAGACAAATACTTGAAACCATCTATTTAAAATATGTTCAAAGAACTATAGGACACCATGTCTAGATAACTAAAGCAAAGTATGAGAACAATGTCTCACCAAATAGAGAATATCAATAAAGATATAGAAATTATAAAAATATACATTTTGGAGTTGAAAAACATAATAGCTGAAATGAAAAATTTCACAACAGGGGCTCAATAGCAGATTTGTTATGGTAAAAGAAAATCAGCTGTGGCAGATGGGATAAAATTGTTGAAAAGAAAAAGAAAAAATCAGCAAACTTGAAGATGGAGCAATTGAGATTATCCAATATGAAGAACAAAAAGGAAAAAGAATGAAGAAAAATGAACAGAAGTTCAGATTCCCATAAGAGATTATCAAGCATAGCAAAATACATGTAATGGGAATCTCAGAAGGAGAGAAGAGAGAAAATAAGAGAAAGAATATTTCAAGAAATAACACCCTAAAACTTCCCAAATTTAATGAAAACAATTAAATATCCAGAAAGCTGAATTCTGAGTGGGATAAACTCAAAAAAATCCACACCTAGACACATCATTACCAAACTGTTGAAATACAAAGACAGATCATCTGGAAGGCAGAAGGATTAATGGCTGGTTTCTCATTAGAAACTTCGGAGGCCTGAAGACAGTGTGATGACATATTCAACGTGCTGAAAAAAAAAAATTATCAACAAGGAATTTTATATCTAGTAAAACTATTTCTAAATAGTTCCCATTATTCTGCCGATTTTGGGGAACAATTTAAAAATGAAGGATAAACCAGGACACTCTCAGATAAATAAAACCTGAAAGAATTCATCACTAACAGACTGGCCTACAAGAAGTAATAAAGGGAATCCTTCAGACTGAAATGAAAGGACACTAAAGGATAACTCAAATCCACATGAAGAAATATAGATCACCAGTAAAGGTAACTGCATAGGTTATATAAAATCAGTATAAATGTATTTTTATTTATAACTTTTTCTATCTGATTTAAAAGACAACTGCATATAGCAATAACTATAAATCTGTATTAGTGGGCCTTATATAAAGATGCAATTTGTGTGGTAATAGCACAAAGAAAGAGGAAGTAACAGAGCTATATAAGAGCAAAAGTTTTGCCTATTATTGAAATTAAGTTGTTATTAAATGTAAAGACCATCGAGACTAGGAAGAAACTGCATCAACTAACGAGCAAAATCACCAGCTAACGTCATAATGACAGGATCAAATTCACACATAACAATATTAACTTTAAATGTAAATGGACTAAATGCTCCAATTAAAAGACACAGACTGGCAAATTGGATAAAGAGTCAAGACCCATCAGTGTGCTGTATTCAGGAAACCCATCTCACGTGCAGAGACACACATAGGCTCAAAATAAAAGGATGGAGGAAGATCTACCAAGCCAATGGAAAACAAAAAAAGGCAGGGGTTGCAATCCTAGTCTCTGATAAAACAGACTTTAAACCAACAAAGATCAAAAGAGACAAAGAAGGCCATTACATAATGGTAAAGGGATCAATTCAACAAGAAGAGCTAACTATCCTAAATATATATGCACCCAATACAGGAGCACCCAGATTCATAAAGCAAGTCCTGAGTGACCTACAAAGAGACTTAGACTCCCACACATTAATAATGGGAGACTTTAACACCCCACTGTCAACATTAGACAGATCAACGAGACAGAAAGTCAACAAGGATACCCAGGAATTGAACTCAGCTCTGCACCAAGCGGACCTAATACACATCTACAGAACTCTCCACCCCAAATCAACAGAATATACATTTTTTTCAGCACCACACCACACCTATTCCAAAATTGACCACATACTTGGAAGTAAAGCTCTCCTCAGCAAATGTAAAAGAACAGAGATTATAACAAACTATTTCTTAGACCACAGTGCAATCAAACTAGAACTCAGGATTAAGAATCTCACTCAAAGCCGCTCAACTACATGGAAACTGAACAACCTGCTCCTGAATGACTACTGGATACATAACGAAATGAAGGCAGAAATAAAGATGTTCTTTGAAACCAACGAGAACAAAGACACAACATACCAGAATCTCTGGGACGCATTCAAAGCAGTGTGTAGAGGGAAATTTATAGCACTAAATGCCCACAAGAGAAAGCAGGAAAGATCCAAAATTGACACCCTAACATCACAATTAAAAGAACTAGAAAAGCAAGAGCAAACACAGTCAAAAGCTAGCAGAAGGCAAGAAATAACTAAAATCAGAGCAGAACTGAAGGAAATAGAGACACAAAAAACCCTTCAAAAAATTAATGAATCCAGGAGCTGGTTTTTTGAAAGGATCAACAAAACTGATAGACCGCTAGCAAGACTAATAAAGAAAAAAAGAAAGAAGAATCAAATAGACACAATCAAAAATGATAAAGGGGATATCACCACCGATCCCACAGAAATACAAACTACCATCAGAGAATACTACAAACACCTCTACGCAAATAAACTAGAAAATCTAGAAGAAATGGATAAATTCCTCGACACATACACTCTCCCAAGACTAAAACAGGAATAAGTTGAATCTCTGAATAGACCAATAACAGGAGCTGAAATTGTGGCAATAAACAATAGTTTACCAACCAAAAAGAGTCCAGGACCAGATGGATTCACAGCCGAATTCTACCAGAGGTACAAGGAGGAACTGGTACCATTCCTTCTGAAACTGTTCCAATCAATAGAAAAAGAGGGAATCCTCCCTAACTCATTTTATGAGGCCAGCATCATTCTGATACCAAAGCCGGGCAGAGACACAACCAAAAAAGAGAATTTTAGACCAATATCCTTGATGAACATTGATGCAAAAATCCTCAATAAAATACTGGCAAAACGAATCCAGCAGCACATCAGAAAGCTTATCCACCATGATCAAGTGGGCTTCATCCCTGGGATGCAAGGCTGGTTCAATATACGCAAATCAATAAATGTAATCCAGCATATAAACAGAGCCAAAGACAAAAACCACATGATTATCTCAATAGATGCAGAAAAAGCCTTTGACAAAATTCAACAACCCTTCATGCTAAAAACTCTCAATAAATTAGGTATTGATGGGACGTATTTCAAAATAATAAGAGCTATCTATGACAAACCCACAGCCAATATCATACTGAATGGGCAAAAACTGGAAGCATTCCCTTTGAAAACTGGCACAAGACAGGGATGCCCTCTCTCACCACTCCTATTCAACATAGTGTTGGAAGTTCTGGCCAGGGCAATTAGGCAGGAGAAGGAAATAAAGGGTATTCAATTAGGAAAAGAGGAAGTCAAATTGTCCCTGTTTGCAGACGACATGATTGTATATCTAGAAAACCCCATCGTCTCAGCCCAAAATCTCCTTAAGCTGATAAGCAACTTCAGCAAAGTCTCAGGATACAAAATCAATGTACAGAAATCACAAGCATTCTTGTACACCAACAACAGACAGAGAGCCAAATCATGAGTGAACTCCCATTCACAATTGCTTCAAAGAGAATAAAATACCTAGGAATCCAACTTACAAGGGATGTGAAGGACCTCTTCAAGGAGAACTACAAACCACTGCTCAAGGAAATAAAAGAGGATACAAACAAATGGAAGAACATTCCATGCTCATGGGTAGGAAGAATCAGTATCGTGAAAATGGCCATACTGCCCAAGGTAATTTACAGATTCAATGCCATCCCCATCAAGCTACCAATGACTTTCTTCACAGAATTGGAAAAAACTACTTTAAAGTTCATATGGAACCAAAAAAGAGCCCGCATCGCCAAGGCAATCCTAAGCCAAAAGAACAAAGCTGGAGGCATCACACTACCTGACTTCAAACTATACTACAAGGCTAGAGTAACCAAAACAGCATGGTACTGGTACCAAAACAGAGATATAGATCAATGGAACAGAACAGAGCCCTCAGAAATAACGCCACATATCTACAACTATCTGATCTTTGACAAACCTGAGAAAAACAAGCAATGGGGAAAGGATTCCCTATTTAATAAATGGTGCTGGGAAAACTGGCTAGCCATATGTAGAAAGCTGAAACTGGATCCTTTCCTTACACCTTATACAAAAATCAATTCAAGATGGATTAAAGACTTAAACGTTAGACCTCAAACCATAAAAACCCTAGAAGAAAACCTAGGCATTACCATTCAGGACATAGGCATGGGCAAGGACTTCATGTCCAAAACACCAAAAGCAATGGCAACAAAAGCCAAAATTGACAAATGGGATCTAATTAGACTAAAGAGCTTCTGCACAGCAAAAGAAACTACCATCAGAGTGAACAGGCAACCTACAAAATGGGAGAAAATTTTCGCAACCTACTCATCTGACAAAGGGCTAATATCCAGCATCTACAATGAACTCAAACAAATTTACAAGAAAAAAACAAACAACCCCATCAAAAAGTGGGCGAAGGACATGAACAGACACTTCTCAAAAGAAGACATTTATGCAGCCAAAAAACACATGAAAAAATGCTCATCATCACTGGCCATCAGAGAAATGCAAATCAAAACCACAATGAGATACCATCTCACACCAGTTAGAATGGCAATCATTAAAAAGTCAGGAAACAACAGGTGCTGGAGAGGATGTGGAGAAATAGGAACACTTTTACACTGTTGGTGGGACTGTAAACTAGTTCAACCATTGTGGAAGTCAGTGTGGCGATTCCTCAGGGACCTAGAATTAGTAATACCATTTGACCCAGCCATCCCATTACTGGGTATATACCCAAAGGACTATAAATCATGCTGCTATAAAGACACACGCACACGTATGTTTATTGCAGCATTATTCACAATAGCAAAGACTTGGAACCAACCCAAATGTCCAACAATGATAGACTGGATTAAGAAAATGTGGCACATATACACCATGGAATACTATGCAGCCATAAAAAATGATGAGTTCATGTCCTTTGTAGGGACATGGATGAAATTGGAAATCATCATTCTCAGTAAACTATCGCAAGAACAAAAAACCAAACAGCACATATTCTCACTCATAGGTGGGAATTGAACAATGAGATCACATGGACACAGGAAGGGGAACATCACACTCTGGGGACTGTGGTGGGGTGGGGGGAGGGGGGAGGGATAGCATTGGGAGATATACCTAATGCTAGATAACGAGTTAGTGGGTGCAGCGCACCAGCATGGCACATGTATACATATGTAACTAACCTGCACAATGTGCACATGTACCCTAAAACATAAAGTATAATAAAAAAAAGAATAAATAAATAAATAAATAAATTTATGTAAAAAAAAAGAAATTAAGTTGTTATCAACTCAAACTAGATTGTTTTAAATGTAGATGTTAATTGTAATCTTCCTTGCAACCACTAATACAACAACTCAAAAGAATATAGTAAAACAAATGGCAAGGGAATTTAAATGGTACACTAGAAAATATCTACTTAACACAAAAGAAGGCAGTAATGGAGGAATAGAAGAATAAAAAAGACATAATTGACTAGTGATTTGTTTAAAAAGACATGATATATAGAAAGCAAATAGAAAAAAGACATAAAATTTTACCTTATCAGTAATTACATTAAATTTAAATGAGTTAAACCCTTCAATAGAAAGATAAAAATTGGCAGAATAATGGGAAAAATCATGATCCAACTATGTGCTGTCTACAAGAGACTCACTTTGGATTCAAAGACACAAATAGATTTAAAGTAAAAGGATAGAAAAAGATATAGCATTTAAATAGTAACCAACAAGAGCTAGGGTACCTATGCTAATGTCAAACAAAATAGACTTACAGACAAAAACTATTCCTAGCGATAGATAAAGACATTTTTCAATGATTGAAAATTATTCCTAGAGATAAAGATATTTTATAATGATAAAAGAATCACTCCATCAAGAAGACATAGCAATTATAAACATGCATGTAACGACAGAGTCCCAAAATACATGAAACAAAACTGACAGAATTGAAGGAAGAAATAAACAATTCAACAATCATAGTTGGAGATTACAGTACCTAGTTTTAAACAATAGATATAACTAGACAGAAGGTCAGCAAGGAAATAAGAAGACTTGAATAGCACTATGAAAGCTCTAGGCCTAACAGACATATACAGAACATTTCATCTAACAGCAGGAGAATAGACATTCTTTTCAAGTGAACATGGAACATTGTCCAGGATTGACCAGATATTAGGCCATAAAACATACCTCAATAAATTAAAAGGATTGAAATCGTGCAAAGTATGTTCTTCAACCACAATGGAAAGAAATTTGGGATGCCCAGCCTAACACATCATCTTTATCAAATCCTCAGGAAGAAGGTGATTGATAGAAAGATGGGTGTAAAACCACTGGAACCTGTCTTCATCTGTTTTGTGCTTCTATAACAGAATACCTGAGACTGGGTAATTTATAATGAATAGAAATGTTTCGGCTCATGGTTCTGGACCCTGGGAAGTTCAATATCAAGTTGCCAGCATCTGGTGAGGGCCTTATGGCTGCATCGTAACATGGCAGATGGCATCACATGATGAAAGGGCAATGGTTACGGGAAGAAAGGTCGGGGGTGGGGCAGGAGGAAGAGAGAGACAGAGAGAGAGAGCAAGAAGGAGTGAACTTATTCCTGCCATAGCAAACGCACTCCTACGGTGATGGCATTAGTCCATTCATGAGGGCGATCCCTCATGACCAATCACTTCTTAAAAGTCCCACTTCCCAATACCATCACAATGGCAATTAAATTTCAGCATGAGTTTTGGAGGAGACAAACATTCAAGCCATGAAAAAATCCAAGGTGCATCACTGGTCATTGAGAGTTCGGGAAGCTCCACTGTTTTCTTGGCCTGAAACTCAGCAGCAAAGTTGCAGCCATCTTCTCTGAGAAAAGCCCGGTTTGTGGCTTCAGAAGGGACCTATTCCTTTTGAGAACTTTTTCAGAACTTACATTTCTTAGAGCAAACAGAAACGTAACATGTTACAAGATCTTTCTACTCTGGTTGGCAGAAGAGTTGAAGATGATAAATTTACATCCTTTTCATTGAATCAGTCACAAAATGTAAACACTTTAAAAGCCTTGGACATTTATCTGTGTAACAAACCTGCATATCCTGCACATGTACCCCTGAACTTAAAAGTTGAAAGAAAAGAAAAATAAAAGCTTTGAATAAGAAAATGTTTTTAAATGTATAAAGTTGTTTATGATAGCTTGTACCAATGACTGCTGACTTATTCTAATAATGTTTAAAATGAATGTTTATTCTACTGTTTATTCTAATAATGTTTATTCTAATGATGCTTAGAATGAATAATAGATAATTTATTTGAAATCAATTATCAATTTGTGAAAATTCACATTATGAGGAGTTTGTGAAGAGCAAATTAACTTCATGTACCAATGAGTCACATATTACCTTGTGATTGAGAGTCCAGATGATGACCTGTGCTCTTTCCATCTTTCCACTCTTTCATCCTTGGCATATTAGCCTTGTTCTCCTTCTTGTCATCTCCTGGTCACAAGATGACCATTCTACCTGACATCCTATGTCTGCATTCCAGAGTGAAAAGAAAGGGGAAGAGTGTGAAGGCAAAGAACTTCCCCAGAAAGGCTTTGCCTCTTTATTCAAGATAGAACACCCTCTTGTCCTCTTCTGTTTACATCTCAATGACTGGAACTATGTCTGATGGCCATCCTGAGCTTCAAAGGAAGGTGTAAAATGAAGCATTTGCACCTAGGCACATGGGCATCCAATCAGAGTCCTGCTAGGAAGGAAGCCATGGGGAGCGGATATTGGGTAGTAACTAGCAGTGCCTGGTATACCCCTGAGCCTTCAAGCTGAATCATTGCTGCAAGAGCAAAGTGGGAGGCAATGTAGGGCCTGATTACAGAGGAACTTTTCTTCAATACACAAACTTCTAACCTACTGAATTGGAATCTCTGGAAATGGCACCCTGAGACCTGTATTTGTTAAAGCACCAACTGCTTTCCTGCTTCACCTGAGGACTTAAGAGCCCTCTCCTCCTACTTCTCCTAATCATGGTCCCCCTGCCATTTCCTCCTCACAGATCAGCCATGGTCCAACATTTATGTGCAACATCTCAGGCTGTGCTGTGAGCCCGGCTATCCATTTCTCCTTCACCAGCTACAACTTTGGGACCTGCTTTATCTATCAAGCTGGGATGCCCCCATACAAACAAACCCTGGTAATTACCAACAAGGAAGAAACACCTATGAGGTAAGCAGGCTTCCAGAGCCTCCAAATGATTCTCTAGCTGCTTGTGGGTCCTACAGATTCCACACAGGTGAAGCCCTGCCAAGACAAAAAAAAAAAAAAATGATTATGGGAAAGAGTCAAACAAAAGTGGGTATGAATCCTAGGTCCCTGTCCCCATAACTAACACTAATACTTGGATAGCCACGAGCTACCCTGCTAAAAATCCTCTTTGTGAAGTATGTAGAGCAATGCCAAAGGACCTAATGAGAGGTTTTATGACTTCCATTTATCTTGTCGTGCAATAGACTTGGAAACTGAGGTTTGAAGAGTTAAAAGGTAAATTTCTCAGGCCAGTGGCTTTGCAGTAAATAGCAGACCTGTACTGAGCCTAAGCTTTCTGATTCAAATCCAGCCTCTCGGCACCATCCCTGTGTGGGATGTTCTAGTCCAAGGTTCTGAGCCCCATTCAAGACCTAATGAGATAGAATCTCCAAGGGCTGGCCCAAAGACCTGTGTTTACTCAAAGCTATCTATCAGTACTTTAGAGAACTTTCCATCATGATGAAAATGTTGTATTTTTGCATTGTCCAATATGGTGGCCTATAGCTGAATGTGGCTTCAGAGCACTTAAAATGTGGCTAGCGAAACTAAAGAACTGATTTTTTATTTTATTTTAATTAATGTTAATTTTAATTTTAATAACCACATGTGTCTAGTGGCCACCATATTGGCTAGCACAGATCTAAGTTCAAATTTCAACTCTTCCCTAGTTGTGTGATCTTGGGCAAATTTTTAAAACTCTCTATGCCTCTGTCTCCTTGCCTGAAATGGTAGTCATAATAATACCATCTATATAAGACTATTAGGATGATTACATTAGTTCACCTAGGAACAGTGCTTAGAACACTGCCTGGAACATAAGAAATGCCCAGTTATTGTTAGCTGCTGCTGCTGCTGTTATGATTATTATTAGTACCCTGAATATTAAATTATAAGTGTGTCATGTAATTTTAAATACTAATTTTAAATCTTATCTATCTATACTTCTTGCATGATTTAATGTAATCTCAGTCTTACTTTGCTTAAGGCATTGAGCTCTATATGTTGGCCTAGCTAGACTCCTTCTCTACAGACTGTAAGGCAGAGAAGGAGAGGTTGTAATGAAAAGGCCTAGGTGCCTTCCTACCCACATGTGGAGTAGGGTGGACATGATCTTTTAAGATCCCTTCTGGTTGAACAATTAGTCATAATAATAATAGCTCACTTTATGGAATATTTCCTCTGTGCCCTATTTAATGACTGTTTCAGTCACTTAATCTCATTTAATCCTCACAACAGCCCTAAGAAATAGTTATCATTACCCCCATTTTACAGATCAGAAAACAGAGACCCAAGTGGGCCACATAACTCTTCAGAGATCATTTGGGTAATTAGTGATGGAGCCTAGATCCAGACTCCTCTCTGCCTGACTCTAGAACATATACTCCTCCCTACTGTGCCTTGTTACCTAATTACTTCTGGAAGCACTTCCTTCTTATGAGAGGGTACAAAACCCTCGTGTAGAAAACCATGAGATGCATTATCAAGAAATCGAGAATCAGGCTGGGCGCGGTGGCCTGTAATCCCAGCACTTTGGGAGGTCGAGGTGGGTGGATCACCTGAGGTCAGAAGTTCAAGATCAGCCTGGCCAACATGGTGAAACCCTGCATCTACTAAAAATACAAAAATTAGTTGGGCACAGTGGTATGCACCTATAATCCCAGCTACTCAGGAGGCTGAGGCAAGAGAATCGCTTGAACCTGGGAGGTGGAGGTTGCAGTGAGTTGAGATCATGCCACTGCACTCCAGCCTGGGTGACAGAGTGAGACTCTGTCTCCAAAAAAAAAGAAAGAAAGAAAGAAAGAAATACAGAATCGGTAGAGTGAAGAATATTGGGCAAAGGGTGATGAGCCTTGAGTTTGAAACCCAGTTCAGCCAGGATCTCAGGATGTGACTTGGAGCAACTTGGTTGTGCCTAAGAGAGCATGGGCTGGGTCATTGCTGAGCTCCCTTCTAGCTCTTAAATGACTTCTGTGACTCTAGGACAGCAGGGCAGGAAACCCATCAGTGTCCAGCCCAAAGAGACAAGGAGACAGCATCTGCCCCTCTGGGTCAGACTTCTTGGAGCTTACGCCTCTTCCTCTTGATTTTCTGCAGCATAGATTGTCTGTACACCAACACCACTCACCTCGAGGTGAACTCCCGTGTTGATGTGGTAAAGCCAGGAAACACATTGGAGATTCCAATAACTTTTTATCCTCGAGAAAGTATCAACTATCAAGAACTCATTCCCTTTGAAATCAATGGGCTCTCACAACAAACAGTCGAAATCAAAGGGAAGGGTACCAAAATGAAGGTAACAGACAGTCGGGAGGCCTTCAGGCGTGGCACCCTCCTTTCTACCCTTCTCATCCTTCTTTGCCCCCCAGAACCCCTTCACCCTTCCAGCCCCTCTGCTTCTCTGCCCCAGGCTGCTCTGTTGTAGGTCAGCGAGTCCCACTGAGATGATGTTCCTAATAACAGAAAGGGGCAAATCACCAGATCAGACTCACTGAATCATAGATCTTATTCAATACCAAACTTTACTGTATCAAAGGATACAGGTAATTACAGACACTAGAGAAATATTCTTTTTCTTGGAGAAATTTGAGACTTTCAGACTCAGCACCCCAAGTATATCCTTTTCCTCCTGCATCAGGGCATGTTTGTTTTCAGGTTTAATAGATAACATTTTTTTTAACATTTTTAAGCAATGTACACAGACATGTGTTTCAGTGATGGAACATCTTTCCTTAACACCCCATTGATTAGCATTCTCCAGCCAGCCACAGATCCCTGGATGATATTTGGTTCAAGGCATTTCTTTTACTGAGGCACTCTGGATAGAAAGGGAATGGTCATATTCTGCTGCTCATTCATTTCCTTCTTGTGTCTAGTAAATGTGTAAGGTGCTTGTCTGGTGGGATTATCTGTATTTTAATAGAAGGTTTTGGAAGATTAAAATCCTTCCAAGACTTTCAGGAATGCATAGCATATTTCGGCAACCAGGGGAGGGGTGTATTCCTGGCAGCCTTCCCATCAAGCCATAGGAGCAACAGGACATTACCAGCTAATGTGTCTGGACCCAAGCTAGAGACAAGGTCGCTTCTGATGCCATTGATTCATTCATTTTCCTATTGGTCTTTCACTTGTTCATTT
Organism: Homo sapiens; assembly: GCF_000001405.40. Lineage (NCBI taxonomy): Eukaryota > Metazoa > Chordata > Mammalia > Primates > Hominidae > Homo > Homo sapiens. The sequence goes on along the minus strand of NC_000016.10, from coordinate 70,836,847 downwards.
AGCACCCATTATGTATTGGATATTTTGGGAAGATGCACAAGTGACTTACACATGTTCTCAGACATCCAAGAGCTCATGACTGGTGGGACAGACTCTCTTGCCTTTTTAGACAAAATGGAAACATGTGGGCTGGGTTTAAAGATAGTTGGGTGGAGGGGTGCAATTTAGTGACTGACCATGACAGTGACCAGTGGGTGCTGCTCATTGTGGGTCAGTGCCATTTTGGAGGGCAGGCTCAGCCTGGCCTTGGCCTGACCCAGGCACCATTTTAATCAGTGTCTTACCTGAGGACTTGGAAGCATAACTACTTTTCTCTGCCTCTACTGCCACTGTTCTAATCCAACCACCATCATCTCTCCCTCCTGCTTTCTTTCTTGCCCTCTTCAAGCCCATTCTCCGTAAAGAAGCCAGAGCTCTCTCACAAACACTCCATACTTCACTGACTTCCCATTGCTCCCAGAATGAAGCCCAGTTTTCCCACTTCTCACTCAGCAATGGCCTAAAAGGCCTTGCAAGACCTGGCCACCTCTCTGAAGTCATCTTCTCAAGTCCTAGCTCCCAGCCTCAGGCCTTCACTGGGCCACTCCCTCTGGCTCAGGGCCTGGCCACAGGTTGTCTCCCTGCCTTAGGTTGTTCCCCAATTCCACACTCACTCTGGCTGAAACTGACTAGCTCATACCTTTCTTTAGCTCTTGATGTATACATGCCATCTTCGGAAAGGCCCCCTGAGCCCCCTAGCCTAGTTTCAGCCCCATGTAATATGCTCTCAAGGTGCCCTGAGATTTTCCTACATATATTTTGACCCAGTTGTACTTGTATAATTGTGTGATGAGGAGTTCAGTGGGCACTTGAGGCACTTAAATGCTTATTGAGTAGGCAGATGCCCACCCAATATGAAGAAGTGAGGGCACAGAAAGAGAAGGAACCACCCTTGCCTCACCAGAGTAGACATATAATGTTTATTTTTCCCTTTAACTAATGAACTCTTCTTCCTACTCTTTCTTGTCCCACAGATTTTAGTCCTAGATCCAGCCAACAGGATTGTGAAGTTGGGAGCTGTCCTACCAGGGCAGGTTGTGAAAAGAACAGTTTCCATCATGAACAACAGCCTGGCCCAGCTCACATTTAATCAGTCCATTCTGTTCACAATTCCAGAACTCCAGGAACCCAAGGTTGGTGCTCAGAGGGGCTCCTAGCGGCCCCTTCATGCTCCCTGATGATGAGGATGGCCATGCTGGCAACACTAGCAGCTCACATTTCTTGTGCATCTGTAATGTGCCAGACCATTCTAAGAGCCTTCCCTGTACTCCCTCTGTTCATTTTCACAAAAACAGTATAGGGCTTTACAGGGTGCACTAGTCCCACACTGTTTTTGTGAAAACGAACATTATTTTCATTTTGCATTTTCATTTCATTTTCCATGTCATTCATTGTCATTTGTTTATTTACATCTCCGTTGTGTAGACAGCCCAGTTCTCTATTTTCGTTCATTTCAGGTGTTTCTCCTTAAGCCTTTGTGCATGCATGACTCTGTGCTTAAGATACATTCCTAGGCTGGGCGTAGTGGCTCACGCCTGTAATCCCAACACTTTGGGAGGCTGAGGCAGGTGGATCACAAGGCCAGGAGTTCAAGACTAGCCTGGCCAAGATGGTGAAACCCCGTCTCTACTAAAAATACAAAAAATTAGCCAGGCATGGTGGCGGGTGCCTGTAATCCCAGCTATTCAGGAGGCTGAGGCAGAGAATTGTTTGAACCCAGGAGGCGGAGGTTGCAGTGAGTCGAGATCGCACCACGGCACTCCATCTCAAAAAAAAAAAAAACATATATATATGTGTGTGTATATATATATGTGTGTATATATATATATATACACACATATATGTGTGTATATATATACATATATGTGTGTATATATACATATATGTGTGTATATATGTGTGTGTGTATATATATATACACACACACACACACATATATATATGTTTGTTTGGTTTTTTTTGAGTCGGAGTCTCACTCTGTCGACCAGGCTGGAGTGCACTGGTGTGATCTCAGCTCACTGCAATCTCCACCTCCTGGGTTCAAGTGATTCTCCTGCCTCAGCCTCCTGAGTAGCTGGGACTACAGGCATAAACCACAAAGCCCGTCTAATTTTTGTATTTTTAGTAGAGACGGGGTTTCGCCATGTTGGCCAGGCTGTTGTCAAACTCCTGACCTCAAGTGATCCACCTGCCTCGGCCTCCCAAAGTGCTGGGATTACAGGCGTGAGCCACGGCACCCAACCGGAATCTGCATTTTAAAAACCACACAGGGAAACTGAGGCAGGGAAGACTCCTTGAGAAGTGCCAGAGCTCTAACTGTTTGTTATTTCCCATTACTATTTCCTGTATCAGGGAGGAGGAAGAAAGAAGGAAGTACACAAAATAAGTTAGGAAAGGGTCAGGAAAGGGAAATGATACTTATTAAATATCTATTATGTGCTACAAATTTTATAGAGATGATCTTAATCTTCAACATAGAGTAAGTCACAGAAAGTTGAAGTAATTTACCAAAGCATACACAGCTGATGGGAGAGCAGGAGTGAGATCTGACCCCTGTTCCAATCGCAGCAGCAAGAACTCCGGGAACCGAGGCCTTAGGGGCCTCCCACCCTCAGCTGCTGACTCTGGGTGCTATTTCATTCAGGTCCTTACCCTGGCGCCCTTCCACAACATCACACTGAAGCCCAAAGAAGTCTGTAAACTGGAAGTCATCTTTGCCCCGAAGAAGCGTGTCCCTCCCTTCTCTGAGGAAGTGTTCATGGAATGCATGGGGCTCCTGCGCCCCCTCTTCCTCCTTAGCGGCTGCTGCCAGGCCCTGGAGATCTCACTGGACCAGGAACATATTCCCTTTGGACCCGTGGTGTATCAGACGCAAGCCACACGTCGCATCCTCATGATGAACACAGGCGATGTGGGTGCAAGGTAAGGGAGCAGTGTCTCCCACCCTGAGGCTGCCCCAGAGGCTGCTGTCCCTGTATCTGCCCTGGACTTGTTCTGCAAGTGCAATCACTTTTTACTTCTGTCCTCTCCCTTCTACATCCCCCTGCTTCCCTCAAGATGTGACAGCAGTGGCCTCACTGGGGTGATTGCTGCTACTATGATTACTACAGTTGAGATAACAGAAGATATTTAGTCCATGCCTGTTTCCTGCCTTGACATGGCACACATCATTTAATCCAACTACAGTTCTATGAGACCAAGACTGCTACCAACCCATTTCACAGATAAGCGAGTGCCCAACCACAGAGGGAGGACCACACAGGGCCATGGGATACCAGTGCCACCCAGAACAGAGGCAACTCTCACGGGAAGGGATTGTCGCCATCCCCCAGGATCTGAACCAGGAAGCAGTGCAGGGAACAGTTAAGACCACAGTCCCAGAAGGATTTCTGTCCTAGCCCAGCCACTTCCTAGCTGTGTGACCTTAAGTACACGACACATGTGTATGTGTGTTCATACATATGTTCCCTGATGTGTCACTCGTGGATAATAAGATGCAGCCACTTCCTGCCCTTGGCTCAGCTCTGCAAAGGAGCCAAGTCCACCTACCCAGGAAGTGACCTTGGCCCACATTCCCCAGTGCTTCTGCTCTGTCTGGCAGAGATCTTTCTCCTCCTAGGTGCTAGGATAGACTCAAGGGAGGTGAACCTCAGCCTAGGCAGTCTCTTGTTCTCAGTAGCATTGAGGACACCCTTACAACATCCATAAACTCTCTTTCTTTTCTTCTTTTTCTTGGAAAAGGTTTAAATGGGACATCAAAAAATTTGAGCCTCATTTCTCCATTAGCCCAGAAGAAGGCTATATTACCTCAGGCATGGAGGTTTCTTTTGAAGTGACCTACCATCCCACCGAGGTGGGAAAGGAGAGCCTTTGTAAAAACATTCTCTGCTACATCCAGGGAGGCAGTCCTCTGAGTCTAACCCTGTCTGGAGTCTGCGTGGGACCACCTGCGGTAAAAGAGGTTAGTAGCTGCTGCCCGGGGTGGCCCAGTGGCAGGAGTGACCCCAGCAAGTGAACTCAGCCAGGCCTCCTTCAAACAGGCAGGCCTGCCCCCTCCCTCCACGAGGCCTGTGAATACACCGTTTCCACTGCTGGAATATTCATTCTCCCCTCTTCATTTGGTTTATTCCTTTCCATTCTTCAGCTCTCATCTGAAACATTACATTCTCAAGGAAGCCTGCTTTGACATCCCTGGCTAGATCACATTCTAAGATCTATGATTAAAGCGTTAACACCTTTCTCCTTTTCTATGGTTTAAAAAAAAATGGCCTTGGTATATCCGTCTGCTAGCCTTGTTCCTGGGAACCTAACTGAACCATCAGCTGTGTTACCTAGCAACACTGCTTGTGGTAGAAATGACACCCAATCTCCCTGTCTATAATTTTGTTAAAGAATGTTATATGAATGGAATCATACAGTATGCTATGAACTTGTATTTATAAGTCTCAGCAGGAACATATGCTTTCATTTCTCTTGGATAAATACCTAGTTGTGGAATGGCTGGGTCATGTGGTAGGCGTATGTTTACCTTTGTAAGAAACTGCCAAACTATTTTCCAAAGTGGTTGTGTCCTTTTACAATGCCACCAGCAATGTCTGACATCTCCACTTACTTCACATCCTCATCAACAGTTGATAGTCAGTTGTTTTAAATTTCAGCCATTCTAATCAGTATGTAGAGGTATCTCATGGAGGCTTTATTTTCCTGATGACTAATGATGTTAAGCAACTTTTCGAGTACTTATTTGCCAGCCCTGTATTGTCTTAGTTAAAGTGTCTGTTCAAGTCTTCTGTTTATTTTTAATTAGGTCGTTGGTCTTCTTATTAAAGTTTCTAGAGCTCTTTATATATTCCGAACATAAGTTTTGTGTTTAGGTCTTCAGTCTATTCGGAGTTAATTTCTGTATATAGTGTGAGATATGGATCAAAAATTTTTTGTACATGGATATCCAATTGTTCTAGTACCACTTGTTGAAAAGACTCTTTTCTCTACTGAATTGCCTTGGCACCTTTGTCATTGATTGTAAATGACAATCAATTGATCATATATATGTGGGTTCTGTTCTCATCTATTGATCTATTCGACCATCTTTATGCCAATACCAATCCAATAGCCAGTTCTTTCTTTAACTATAGGGAGCATTTGACACCATAAACCCGTTCCTCCTCCTGCAAACACTTCCTTCACTTGGCTCCAGCACACCACTCTCTCCTGGGTTTCTTCCTACTCACCGGCTTCTCCTTCTCATCTTCTGTTTGTTTCTTGTTTTTTTTTTTTTTGGTTTTTTTTTTTTTTTTTCTGAGACAGAGTCTCACTCTGTTCCCCAGGCTGGAGTGCAGTGGCATGATCTCGGCTCACTGCAACCTCTGCCTCCCAGATTCAAGCAATTCTCCTAACTCAGCTCTTAAGTAGCTGGAATTACAGGCCCCCACCATCATGCCTAGCTAATTTTTATATTTTTAGTAGAGACAGGGTTTTGCCATGTTGGCCGGGTTGGTCTCAAACTCCTGACCTCAGGCAATCCACTCAACTTGGCCTCCCAAAGTGCTGGGATTTCAGGCATGAGCCACCAAGCCTGGCCTTCTGATTCTTCTTAACATTGGAGTTTGTCAGTCAAGAACTAGTCCTTAGATTCCTTCTTTCGTCTACATACCATCATTTCTTGTTGATTTCAGCCAGTTTCTTGGCCTAAAAAAAAAAAACACTGTTAGGCTGGACACAGTAGCTCGTGCCTGTAATCCCAGCACTTTGGGAGGCTGAAGCAGGAGGATCGCTTGAGCTCAGGAGTTCAAGACCAGCGTGGGCAACATAGTGAGACCCTATCTCTACAAAACAACAACAGTAATAACAACAATGAAATTGCTATACTGACAACTCCCAAATCTTTATCTGCAGCCTGGACTCTTCCCTTGAACCCCAGATTTGTAAATTCTACTTCCTTCTTGACGAATAGGCATCTCAAATTTAACATGTATGAAACCTGAGCTCCCGATCTCTCACTGAAACCTGCTCCTCCCGCAGTCAATCCCACATCAGTAAAGGGCATCTCCATTCTGCTCATTGGGTGTCATTCTTGAGCCTTCTTCCACCTATACCCAACATACCATACAGAAGTAAATGCTATTGGCTCTTCCAAGTACAACTGGAATATACCCACTTTCCACCATCCCCAGTGCTACCAGTGCCACCTAAGCCACCGTCATCCCCCACCTGGCCTATTGCAAGTGTCTTCTAGTTAATCTCTCTTCCTCTGTCACCTCTAAGCATCTAGAGCAGTTCTGTTAGAGCATAGATCCGATCAGGTCACTCTACTCAAAATACTCGTAAGTCCTCCTTTTTCAACTAAAAAAAAAAAAAAAAAGTGTCTACCATGACTCCAAGACCCTGCGTGCTGTCCCCTGTCACTTTATCTCCCCCTCACTCACTTCACATTTGCCACACTGGCCTGCCTGCCTTTTGTCAAAACCAGGAGCTTTGTAACTGGCATTTCCTCTGCCAGTTACACTCAGGCTCACTCAGGCTCTTCCCCAGGTCTCCCCTACTTCATCCTTCTTGGTCTTTAATCAAATACATATGCTCAGTTAGGCCCTTCCTGATCACACTGTGTAAAAACTCAAACCCACTCCCAATCTGGCACCCCTTCTACTTTGTCTTTCCCCTTGGCACTTATTTCTATCCTGCACGCTCTACATTCCACTTGTGTGTCTGTCTCCCTCTAGTAGAATCTCAGCTCAAGGGCAGAGATTTTTGTTATTTCGTTCATTGCTACATCTCTACCACCAAGAACAGTGCCTAGCACATAGAAGGTACCCGTAAGTATGTGTTGAGTGAATGAAAGAAAAAGAAACGGACCCACTGAAACTCATGATGGGAAGCACTGTCAAAGTCAGTCTTCCCCAGCGCACATTCTGTACTTCTGGCCCTGGAGACGGACCAGGGGGAAGTGCCATGGAAGATGAGGTGCCTGCTTTCTTCCAGGTAGTGAATTTCACGTGCCAGGTGCGCTCCAAGCACACGCAGACCATCCTGCTGTCAAACCGCACCAACCAGACCTGGAATCTGCACCCCATCTTTGAGGGCGAGCACTGGGAGGGGCCTGAGTTCATCACCCTGGAGGCCCACCAGCAAAACAAGCCCTATGAGATCACCTACAGGCCCCGCACCATGAACTTGGAGAACCGCAAGCACCAGGTAGACTGAGGTCCCCCCACCCCCATTGGTTTCCTGGCATAGTTGAAGGTGGCACTATGTGAATGAGGTTAAAAGACACTTTGGGGCTGGGCGTGGTGGCTCATGCCTGTAATCCCAGCACTTTGGGAGGCTGAGGAGGGTGGATCGCCTGAGGTCAGTAGTTCAAGACCAGCCTGGCCAACAAGGTGAAACCTTGTCTCTACTAAAAATACAAAAATTAGCCAGGCATGGTGGTGCACACCTGTAATCCCAGCTACTTGGGAGGCTGAGGCAGGAGAATTGCTTGAACCCAGGAGGCAGAGGTTTCAGTGAGCCAAGATCATGCCATTGCACTCCAGCCTGGGCAACAGAGTGAGACTCCATCTCAAAAAAATAAAAATTAAATTAAAAAACACTTTGGAAGCTGAGAGCTCAGAGAATGTTAGATGGGGAACACCCAGATCATGTTGGAATAGTGAGGATTTGGGAATTGTGCAGATTATCAAGCTTTGGCTTCCTTTTTTCATTTTTTATTTTAATGTACAGGGATTCTCGTAGAGCCAGGGGCTCAGTTCTGAAATGGAGTCCAGACCAAGCATCAAGTAATTAATGTTTCACTTAATTGCATAAATAACATAATGGTGACTGTAACAAAACAAAAAAAAAGTGGCCACAATATTCCACCCTATTAAAAAATGAACTTTTCTTTTCTATCTTCACTACCAATCCTTATTCAGATACAGCCATAACTATCATCATAACATACCCAATTTTACATTCAGTTTGTTTTCACTTTACGGTATAGCAGTAGCATTTTTCTATTTAACTATGCGGTCTTTATGATAATTATTTTTAATAACTGCCCAATATTTCACTGAATGAGAATTCCACAATTTGTTTTACAGTCCCATTTGTTGAATGTTTATCTACAAATTTTCATCAACATTATAAATGGTTCTTATATATATGCATAACTTTTTTCTTTGGAGGGATTTTTCTTCAATAGGCTCTCTGGGATAGGATTCCTGGCTCGGATACATATGAACATTTTTCTATCTCCTGAACTATATCACCAAGATGTCTTCAAAAGTATTATGTTTCTTTCCAGAGCCTCCATTATCCTCCATTAATCCTGGGTCTCTACATGTCCAATAAGTACCTAGTAAAGAATGCTGTGTGGCATTCTGATCACATCCTTCTTCTCCTTAGGGCACCCTCTTCTTCCCCCTCCCAGATGGGACCGGCTGGCTGTATGCTCTGCATGGGACTTCTGAGCTCCCCAAAGCTGTAGCCAATATCTATCGTGAAGTGCCATGTAAGACCCCCTACACTGAGCTTCTGCCAATCACCAACTGGCTGAACAAGCCCCAGAGGTAAGGGGGTGGGGCTAGGGGGCTGGGTGGGGAGATGAAAGGAGGACTTTCACCATCTAGCCTGGTCCTTCCCCTACTTAGGACCTCTAGAGGATGTTGAGGGGCTCGAGGAGTTAGAGACAAAGTTCCCTGATGTGACCAGGCATTTCCTGAACACTAAGCCTCTAGCGAGATTCTCTTTTCTGTGCTTAGTTACTTGTAAGTTTCCTGGCACAAAATAACCATTCGATAAATGTTAGCCATTATTATCATAATGATAATTACCACTGTTATTGCTGAGTGTTCTGTCTTATCACCTAAGCCACTGGCCAGAGAAGCAAGTCCTTGGATCTTGTCCTTGCAGTAGGAGCAGAGTGGAAATCGGGCACCAGGAAAGCTCAAGGCCAACAAGCATGGTCCCCTTCTTTTACAGAGAAGGAACTCTAGACTGGGAGACCAGGCACAATGTACTGAAGGCTTCCTGCTTAGCATAGTGGGTAAAGGCCTGACCTAAATTTGAATCCTGGTTCTGCCAGTAACCAGTCATCTTACCTTCCTTCTCTTGGAGCATCTTATCTTCCTTCTCTTGGCCTGTATTTAGTGATGTGGACATGATAGTGATATGTATTAATACCTCCTACAGATATTGCAAGGATTAATGCCTGTAACACACAGGCCACTCACTCAGTCCCTGGCACATAATAGGTGGCCAGTAAATGGCAGTTCCCATTATTGTTAGTGACAGGGTGAAGACTAGAACCCTGGAGCCATGCACTTCCCATAAAATCAAGAGTACAGCTGGCACTTCTCCTTTTTTCCTATGGGTTAACGGTCTCATTTCCTCTCCCCTCTTGTGTTCTCCTATGCTGCCCCAGATTCCGGGTCATCGTGGAAATACTGAAACCAGAGAAGCCGGACCTAAGCATCACTATGAAGGGCCTTGATTACATTGATGTACTGTCTGGCTCTAAGAAAGACTACAAGCTGAACTTCTTTTCCCACAAGGAGGGAACGTACGCTGCAAAGGTATCTACATAGCAAAGGCACCACCCTGGAACTCAGGACATTTGACCCTGAGTTTGATCCTGGTGTTAGCAAGTAAAGATGGCCCCCATAGTCACTGCTCCAAGACATCACAGGGTCTCTCACACATGAGTTGTTTCACCTCATTCATTCAGTGGTTTAACAAGTATCTATTGAGCACATATGCCATGTACTATACTGATTGCTGGTAACACATCAGCGACCTGAATAGGCACAATCTCTGTTCTCACAGAACACACAGTCTAGTGGAGAGAGATGGGCATTGCTCAAATAATTGCACTATGGATGTATAATTACAAAATGAGATAAGTGCTTTGAAGAAAAGGAGCATGTGTGGATCTGTAGCTCATGGGAGAGGTCGGGACTAAAGATAACATTTGGGAATTTTTCATTTATAGATAGCATTTGGAGCTAAGATGTGGGATAGAATCACTTGGGGAAACATTTTAAAGTAAAAAGAAAAAGAAAAAAAGAAAGTATCTAGGAACACACACACAGAGAGAGAGAGAGAGAGAGAGAGAGAGAGAGAGAGAGAGATGCTGGCAAGACGCATCCAGCAGTGTGAGATCTCCTTTTCTACAATAACTGAATAGGATGCTCCAATCACATCTCATCAGATCAGCATTCACAGACAGACAAGATTTTAAGAGAACCTCAAAACAAGACATCATGAAACATCTAAAAAAAGTTACCATAAAATAGAAACACCTACTCAATAAATGAGTAAATCACCTCTGAAAAGAAAGAGTTATTAAAGCAAACAGAAAACTTTAAGTGAATATTATTTATATCCCCAAAGGGAGAAAATCGTACTCATGAAATAAGGATAAGCTATTGTGAAAAAGAATCAATTAGAGACTCTAGAAATGAAAAATAAAATATTTAGAAAACCATGCAGGAGGGATGGACTTTATAATGGAGATTACTAATAAGTTACAAGATGGAGCTGAGTAATATCACCAGACCTTAGCCCTTGAGGACAAAGAAATGGAATGAAATGAAATAATAACAAGCATCAGCAAGGATGTGGAGAAATTGGGACCCTCATACACTGCAGGTGGGAGTATAACATGGTGCAGCTGCCCTGGAAAACAGTCTGGCAGTTCCTCAAATGGTTAAACGTAGAGTTACCATATGATTCACCAATTTAACTCCTAGGTAATACCCTAGAGAAATGAAAACATATGTGCACACAAAAATCTATACACAAATATTCATAGCAGCATTATTTATAAGAGCCAAAACGTAGAGACAACCCAAATTTCGATGAACTGGTAAGTGTATAAATAGAATGGAATTTGACAATAAAAAGAAATGGAAATAAAATATTGATACCTGCTATAAAACATTATGCTAAGTGAATGAAGCCAGTAACAAATGTATGATTTGAAATGAAAGTGAATGTATGCTTTGAAATATAGGTGAAAGAAGCCATTCACATATTGTATGACTCCGGGTGTATGAAATTTGAAGAATAAGCCAATCTACAGAAACAGAAAGTCGATTCATGGTACCAAGGGCTGGAGAGGATGGGTTGGGGAAAAGGGGAGTGACTTAATGGTTATAGGGTTTTAGGGATTATGAAAATGTTCTAAAGTTTATTGTGGTGATGGCTACCCTGCCTTGTGAATATACTACAAACCACTAAATAGAACACTTTAAATGAGGGATTGTATGGTATGTGAGTTATATCTCAATAAAGCTGTTTCAAAAACAGAATGAAAGGAAATATGAGACAATGTATAAATCAAGAAGTTCTAATATATATGTAATAGGAGCTCCTGAAAGAGAAACAAGATACTGGAAGGAAGAAAGTATTCAACAAAATAACTGAAGAAATATTTCCAGGGCTTTTTAAGAAGATCAAGTCTTCTAATCGAATGGGTCCATCAAGTTGCCAAACAGGGTGAATGAAAAAAATACTCACATCTAAATACATTAGAGCAACGTTTCAGAAAACCGGGATGAAAGAGAAAGTCCTAAATGATTCTAGAGGAAATAAAAGGAGCTAATAATCATGGTAACATAAGACTTCTTGTGGCAACACTAAATACCAGAAGATAATGGAATAAGCTATCCAAATTTCAGAGTGAGAATGATTGTCAATCTAGAACTCTTTTTCCAGACAAAACTCTTATGACAGCAAAACTTGGACATGCAAGGACTCAAAGTGACTGACCCAGGGCCAGGCACAGTGGCTCACCTCTGTAATCCCAACACTTTGGGAGGCCAAGGTGGGCTGGCACGCGCCTATAGTCTCAGCTACTCAGGAGGCTGAGGTAGGAGGACTGATTGAGCCCAGGAGATTGAGGTTGCAGTGAGCTGAGGTGACACCACTGCACTCCACCTGGACAACAGAACAAAACTGTGTCTCAAAAAAAAGAAAAAAAAAAGTAACCCACCCATATGCACAAATTCTATCTGAAAATAAATACAAAATTAAAACTTTCTGAATTAGCAAAGCTTAAAAAATAAGTAAGTGAGCCATGTGCAGTGGCTCATGCCTGTAATTCCAGCACTTTGGGAGGCTGAGGTGGGTGGATCACTTGAGGTTAGGAGTTCAAGACCAGCCTAGCCAACATGGTGAAACCCCATATTGAGGCAAGAGAATTGCTTGAACCCAGGAGGCAGAGGTTGCAGTGAGCCGAGATCACACCACTGCACTCCAGCCTGGGCAACAGAGCAAGACCCTGTCTCAAAAAAAAAAAAAGTGAATCAAAGAGGAAAGTACAAGGATATAATAAGCAAATAATCAAAATTAAATTGATAGGTAATTTTAAACAACTGTTGAAAGACAATCTAAGATAAATATTTCATATGACCTGAACATAGAAAATAGCAAGGGGAAGAATAAAATAAGGCAATGAGAAGCATTTCCTCATTCTGGAGGAATTGAATGGGGGAAATAAGAGAAGGTTTCTCATTCAGAGAGAAGAGTAGGAAGAGAATAGAGATATTCATAAACTGTACATGTAAACAAAATAAAGATATGTAAAAATATAAGTGAAAAGACTTTGGAGTAAAAATGACAGAGTGAACCCAAATCACCAGTCTCCTTACAGTAATACATATTGAAATTAAAAATAATAACAAACATTTTTCAAAGAATAAAAAGCATTTCTGCTTCTGGTTATAATGATTATAATACTCCATTTTATACTCCTCCCACTATAAAAAAAAAACATATAAAACTCAACAAAATCTCTGAGGCAACTTTTCTCAGGCATTGGACAACAGGCAGCACAATACTGCAATCCTCGAAAAGGAAGGAAAACTCATGACGAATCCCCATGATTATCCTGGTTCTCTGCCTAAGGACAATTTCCTGACTACAATTCAGTGAGCTAGAGTCCAAGCAAAGCACAGCAGCCGCCAAGGAGCTGAGGAGGCAGAAATCAGAGTTTGGGACAGTCAAAAAGGCTAGTCTCTACAGGGTAGGACACCAGAGAGAAGGGACCAGTGCATGAGTAAAGAGGACAGGTCAGAAGACAGCATGAGCGTTCCCTTCACTATCCTTGGCTAAGAGTTGCACATGTGCAGGGTGAGACAACATGGGATTTACCAGGGAGCAGCTGCTATGTGGTTGTTAAAGGAATAGCAATACTATGTGTTAATCAGTGCTGGGGAACATTAGAGGTCTGGCCCAGCCAAAGGAAAGAGATTGCATTAATACCTCATTAAAATCCTGAGAACCCAGCTAAAATACTAGAAAAGCCAGAAGAAAGACTTAGGAGAAAGGGCCATTCCCTTAGTATAAGGCCTTCTCTTTATCAGCCCTTTAAAAAAGCCTACAACTAAGCACCTGCAAGTTCTACAGGGAGGACAAAATCTGGAGATTGAATCCCAGCAAGTCAGAAGGTCCTGATAAATACCTTGAGCTTTACACGGATGTGCTCTAACAAAGCATAAAACCAAACCCACACAAATTTAAGTCAGTGATTCAACTACCTCCTACAACAAAATCAACACTGTTAAAAGGAAGACAACAGAATCCAGAATCTCTACAATGATCATCAGCATTGTCCAGTAGACAAATAAAAATTACTAGACCTGTGGAGAAGCAGAAAAATGGGATCCATAGTCAAGAAAAAAAAGCAGTCAATGGAAACTGACTCCAAGACGGGCCAGATGTTGGATTTAGCAGGCAGACTTCACAGCAACTGTTCTAAACATAACATAACATTCTCTGGGAAGAAGAGAATGAGAGAGAATGTGAATGAGGCAGAAAATTAAATTACAGACATACCTCAGAAGTACTGTGGGTTTGGTTCCAGGCCACCATGACAAAGCTAATAATGCAATAAAGTGAGTCACAATATTTTTTGTTTCCTGGTACATATAAAGGTTATGTTTACATTGTACTGTAGTCTATTAAGTGTACAATAACATTAGGTCTTTAAAAGTAACGTGCATACCTGAATTATAAATTACTTATTTGCTTAAAAATCCTAATGATCATCTGAGCCTTCAGTGAGTCATAATCTTTATGCTGGTGGAGGGTCTTGCCTCGATGTTGATGGCTGCTGACTGATGAGGGTGGTGGTTACTGAAGGTGGGGGTGACTGTGGCAATTTCCTAAAATTAGACAACAATGAAATTTGCCATATAAATTAACTCTTCCTTTCATGAAAAATTACTCTGTAACATGTGATGCTGTTTGAAAGCATTTTACCCACAATATAACTTCTTTCAAAATCGGAGTCAGTCCGCTCAAATCCTGCTGCTGCTTTATCAATTAAGTTTGTGAATATTCTAAATCCTTTGTTGTCATTTCAACAATGTTCATGGCATCTTCACCATGAATAAATCCCATCTTGAGAAACCACTTCCTTTGCTCATCCATAAGAAGCAACTCAACATTCATTCAAGTTTTATAATGAGATTGTAGCAATTCAGTCATATCTTCAAGCTCCACCTCTAATTCTAGTTCTCTTGCTATTTCTGCTACATCTACAGTTACTTCCTCTACTTTTCCAGTTACTGAAGTCTTGAACTCCTCAAAGGCATACATGAGGGTTTGACCTTCTCCAGTGAATCACAGATGTTCTTAATGGCATCTAGAATGGCAAATCCTTTCCAGAAGGTTTTCAGTTTACCTTGCCCAGACCCATCAGAAGAATCATTATCTATGGCAACTATTGCCCTATGAAATGTATTTCTTAAATAACAAGACTTGAAAGTCAAAATGACTCCTTCATCTGTGGGCTGCAGAGTAGATGTTGTGTTAGCAGGCATGAAAACAACATTCATCTCCTGTACAGTTCCATCAGAGCTCCTGGGTGTCCAGGTGCATTATTAAAGAGAAGTAATATTTTGAAAGAAATCTATTTTCTGAGCAGTAGGTCTCAACAGTGGGCTTAAAATATTCAGTAAGCCACCCTGTAATTAGAAATCAGATGTGCTGTCATCCAGGATTTGTTGTTCCATTTCCAGAGCATAGGCAGAGTAGATTTAACATAATTCTTAAAGGCCTTAAGATATTTTTTAAAAAATTAGTTTTTAAAAAAAAACTATAGATCCAAGAAACTTGGCAAACTTCAAGCAGGAGAAATACAAAGAAAACTATGCCTGTACACATCAGGCATCGTTTCATTTTCAAACTGCCAAAAAACAAAGATAAAGAGAAAAGCTTAAAGCAGCCAGGGGGGAAAAATACATATTACAGCGAGAGGGACAGCGATAACAATGGCTATCCTAGAGTTCTGGCTTCACCTAGGAAATAATGGAAGCTATCTGTAAAGCGATGAAAGGAAAGGAAACAGTCCATCTAAAAATTCTTTATCCACTAAAAATGTCCTTTAAAACTGAGAGTGAAATAGACATTTTCATATAAAAGAATCTGAGAACATTCATTGTCAGCAGATTTACATTACTGCAAAACATGTTAATAGATCTTCTTCAGTCTGAAGGGAAATGATACCAGATGGGAACTCCAGTCTGCAAGAAGAAAAGAGGGGCTCTAGAAATGGTCAATACCTAGGGAAATGCAAAATATATATTTGGAGGGTTTTTTCTTGGATTTCTTAAAAGATTACTGACAGTTTATAACAAATATAATAACATTCTAAGGTGGATGTTCTTATGTATATAGAAATAAAAGATATGATAACAAAAGCACAAAAGATGGGGTGGACAGGCAAATGAAGTGATGCTAAGGCAAGGTTATTATTAAGTGTGAGGTAGGGACCAGGAAGCATCCATTGTCAAGTGGGAAGTGATAAAATATTAACATTTAATAAATGTTGATAAGGATTCATTTTTAGCTCTGGAGCAACCACTAAACATTGTTTTAAAGGCCAGGTGCAGTGGCTCACACCTGTAATCCCAGCACTTTGGGAGGCTGAGGCAGACGGATCACTTGAGGTCAGGAGTTCAAGACCCGCCTGGCCAACGTGGTGAAACCCCGTCTCTACTAAAAATACAAAAATTAGACGGGTGTGGTGGCACATGCATGTAATCTCAGCTACTCGGGAGGCTGAGGCTGGAGAGTCACTTGAACCCAGGAGGTGGAGGTTGCAGTGAGCTGAGATCGCACCACTGCACTCCAACCTGGGTGACAGAGTAAGACTCCATCTCAAAAAAAAATATGTTTTAAAATATGACTAAGAAGCCAGTAGAGGAAGTAAAATATATGCCAAAAGATTGTGTATCAATCCAAACGAAAGCAGGAAAGTAACAACAGAAAAATGAAAAATAAAAGGGACAAGTGGAAAATAACTAGCAAGGAAGCAGACTTCGGGCCAAACATATAAACAGTCACTTTAGGCCCGGCACGGTGGCTCACACCTGTAATCCTAGTACTTTGGGAGGCCGAGGCGAGCAGATCACAAGGTCAGGAGATCGAGACCATGGTGAAACCCCATCTCTACTAAAAACACAAAAAAATTAGCCAGGCATGGTGGTGGGTGCCTGTAGTCCCAGCTACTTGGGAGGCTGAAGCAGGAGAATGACATGAAACCAGGAGGGGGAGCTTGCCGGGAGCCGAGATTGCGCCACTGCACTCCAGCCTGGGCGACAGAGCGAGACTCCATCTCAAAAAAAAAAAAAAAAAAAAAGAAAAAAGAAAAAAAAATCACTTTAAATGTAAAACACTAAACACTCCAATTAAAAGACAGGGAGTGAAGGCCAGGCGCGGTGGCTCAAGCCTGTAAACTCAGCACTTTGGGAGGCCGAGGCGGGCGGATCACGAGGTCAGGAGATTGAGACCATCCTGACTAACACGGTGAAACCCCGTCTCTACTAAAAATACAAAAAAAAAAAAAAAAAAATTAGCCAGGCGTGATGGCGGACGCCTGTAGTCCCAGCTGCTTGGGAGGCTGAGGCAGGAGAATGGCGTGAACCCGGGAGGCAGAGCTTGCAGTGAGCTGAGATGGCGCCACTGCACTCCAGTCCGGGTGACAGAGCAAGACTCCATCTCAAAAAAAAAGGGAATGTTAGAAGCTCTTCAAGACACAAAGAAGTTGAAAGTAAAAAGCCAGACTATATAAAGAACTATTAACACCTAATAATAATAAGATAAAACAACCCAATGTGTTACAAAGGACAAACCACTTGAATAGACCCTATTGCATAAAAGCAGCTATGTGAATGACCAATAAAAACACGAGAAGATGCTGAACATTATCAGTCACCAGGGAAAAGAACTTAAAGAGGTGAGCAGCACAAGAAGTCCGTTGCAGGGGTGAAGGGACAGTATAGTGTCGTTACAAGTGTGAGCTCTGGAGTCAGTCTAACCTGGGTTCAAATCTTGGTCCTGACTCTTCTTTATGTGTGACCTTGGGCAAGATACTTGAGTTTGCGAAGCCTCAGTTCCCTCATCTTTACAAAATAAAAATTAAATTAAATTAAATTAAATTAAATTTTAAAAGGTTAAGTGGCATAATAACAGTGCCTACGAATTGTGTGAATTAACTAATTAAGCATTTCTATTTATTGCCTGGCATACAGTAATCATTAATTAAGTGTCAGATGCTATTGTTGTTTTTAAACTATCCCAGCAGCAACAGGAATAGGAAGAAAGCCCACTGTGGCCAGGCACTGTGGCTCACACCTATAATCCTAGCACTTTGGGAGGCCAACACGGACAGATCACTCGAGGTCAGGAGTTCAGGACCAGCCTGGCCAACATGATGAAACCCCGTCTCTACTAAAACTGCAAAAATTAGCCAGGCATGGTGGCAGGCGCCTGTAATCCCAGCTTACTTGTGAGGCTGATGCAGGAGAATCACTTGAACCCGGAAGGTGGGAGTTGCAGTGAGCCGAGTCATGCCATTGCACTCCAGCCTGGGCAACAGAGTGAGACTCCTTCTCGAAAGAAAGAAAGAAAGAAAGCCCATTGAAAGTTACCTCAAAGGTCTCGCTTGTTTTCCAGAGCCGGCCAGCTGTCCCCACCAGGGAAGTGCTGGCGTTGGACAGTCCTGCTCTATCTAGCCTCTTCTAAAGCAAGCCCAGGCTATTTAATAATCTCTCATCTGGGAGGAGCCGGAATCCCTAACTAGAAAGTCTGGCTGGCAGGGATCCGGATAGGCTGCGAGCGTCCTGTCAGCCTGGTACCTGTGCTTCATGTGCCAAACAATGCTAAAAAAGAGAAGGAGGCTCTGAAAATGTGCAGAGGACCCTCGGCTCACCCCTACTCTTCCCTCCTTCCTCCCTCTCTCCCCGTGAATGCAGGTGATCTTCCGAAACGAGGTGACAAATGAGTTCTTGTACTACAATGTGAGTTTCAGGGTCATCCCTTCAGGCATCATCAAAACCATCGAGATGGTGACCCCAGTCCGGCAAGTTGCGTCAGCCTCCATCAAGTTGGAGAACCCTCTGCCCTACTCGGTGACCTTCTCCACGGAATGCCGGATGCCCGACATCGCCCTGCCCTCCCAGTTTGTGGTGCCTGCCAACTCCGAGGTACGGCCCCTTGGCTGTCGGGGGCTCCCTGAGAGCTGTGAGAGTGGCTTCCACCCATGAGATCTCTGGATCCACACTCTGCATCCCCAGAGGGTGGGCCAGCCCTGACAGTGGTCAGGAAGGCAGAGGACGGGACAATCACCCTCATGTTCCTTTTCTTGTTGCTAAAGTCCTCATAGGAGCTTGGGCACATCGTTTGGAATTCTCTCTTATGAACCTTGTCTCTGTGATTTGTTTGTTTTCTTTGTTCCAGCTAAAAGTATTTTTCTTGTTTTTTCTTAATTATAAAAGTAGTATAGAGTCCAGGTGCAGTGGCTCACACCTATAATCCCACCGCTTTGGGAGGCCAGGGACGGCAGATCACTTGAGGTCAGGAGTTTGAGACTAGCCTGGCTAACATGGTGAAACCCCATCTCTACTAAAAATACAAAAATTAGCCCAGCATGGTGGTGGGCGCCTGTAATCCCAGCTACTCGGGAGGCTGAGGCAGAAGAATTGCTTGAACCCAGGAGGTGGAGGCTGCAGTGAGCCGAGACTGTGCCACTGCACTGCAGCCTGGGCAACAGAGTAAGACTCTATCTCAAAATAATATAAAATAAAATAATAAAATAAAATAGTATAGAATAGGTGTGGTGAAAAGGAAAACAAGGGATGTAATAGTGTGCGCACACACACACTACTTCAGGAAGGAGCACAAGAAAACTTTGACAGTGGTTAGGAGTGCATGGCTGGAATTATAGAATTGTGAACTGGCAGGGAGAGGAACTTTCTGTGGAGTCTTTTTATCTGGTTATCACTCCAAACTCTCACTGTCCAGATTCTATCAACTCTCTTCTGTTTTTCCACCTTCAGCCCACCTGACGAGTTCCCCTCACTCCAGCTCCAGCTGACTTCCTTCTTCAGGCTGGTCATTTGTGTTGGTTTCAATGTCTAGTTATCCTGAAAAATGTGGCCATGGATCTCCTGGTACATGTATCCTCCCAATGCGCATAGGCATACGTTGTTCCACAGCATATGCCTAGGAGTAGAACCACAGGTCATAGAGTGTGCATAGCTTTCACTTTAGTAGGTAATTGCCAATTAGTGATGAGAGTTCCTAATGTTCAACGTCTTCACCAACCCTTGGTATTGTCGGGTTTTTTAAGGTTACTAATCTGATAAACTGCTAACTCCTCGTGGACTTAATTTCCCTTTTTACAAACAGATTGATTTCAGTTGGGTAATATTATATATAGGAGATCTGCATCTGTGTTCATGAGTGAGCTTAGACCACCGTTTTCCTCTCTCGTACTGTCTCTGTCCAGTTTGCATATCAAAGTTTTGCAAGCCATATAGAGTCAGGCATTTTCTCCCTTTCTGGATTCTGTGAGTTTACAAAAGATTGAAATTACGTCTTTCTTGAACTCACAGATGAAGCCACCTAGGCCTGGTGGGTTTTTGTATGTGTGGAGGTGGGAGAGATTGTCTGCTACTTATTTGTCTACTACTATTCAATTCCTTTAATGGGTTATTGGACTACTTAGATTTTCTGTTTCTTCTTGCATCAGTAATAAGACCATGTTCATTGCATCCATATATTAAAATGTTGGTATAAAGTTGTTAATGTCATATTACCTTTGTAATGTGACGTCGCTTTTTCATTTCTAATATTGGTTATTGTGCCTTCTCTCTGTTTCTTAGTCTTACCAGAGGTTTCTTTCCAAAATGCATCTTTTGTCTCCATTGTGACTCTATTGTATGCTTGCTTTCTGGTTACTTGATTTCTGCTCTTGTCTTTATTATTTCCTTCCTTCTGCTTCCTTTGGGATACTGGGGGCTTATTTAATTTCTAAGATGAAGGCTTAGTGCTTTGACTTCTAGTCTTCTTGATTTTCCAAGCTAGACATTTAAAATTATAAATATCTAAGTACTGCTTTAGCAGTTATACAAATTGTGATTGTAGTGTTTTTTATTCAGTTCAAAAAGGTTCTAATTTTTGTGATTAATACTTCTTTTTTAACTAATGGTTATTAGAAGAGTTTCTTAATTTCTGAACATGTGGATTTTTCTAGTTATTTTTTAAATTACTTTGTGATCTGAGAACATATTCTATATTATTTCAGTTCTCTAGAATGTGTTTAGACTTGTTTTTATGGCCCAGTGTGTGGTTTTGTGGGGTGGTTTTTTGTTGTTGTTGTTGTTGTTTATCCTCCATCTATTTTTTAAAAGGATGCGTTTGCCATTTTGAGGTTTATTTTTGAGACAGAGTCTCACTCAGTTAGCTGGAGTGCAGTGGCGCAATCTCAGCTCACTGCAGCCTCTGCCTCCCAGGTTCAAGCAATGCTCTTGCCTCAGCCTCCCGAGTAGCTGGGATTACAGGCGCACACCACTACGCCCTGCTAATTTTTATATTTTTAGTAGAGATGGGGTTTTGCCATGTTGGCCAGGCTCGCCTGAAACTCCTTACCTCACATGATCTGCCCACCTCAGCCTCCGAAAGTGCTACTGGGATTACAGGCGTGAGCCACTGTGCGCAGCCGGGTTCAATTTCCTGTATTCTTACTGACATTTTTGTCTGCTTTTTTTTTTTATCAGTTAAGAGAATACATTAAAGTATATCACTATGATTGTGGATCTGTTTGTTTCTTCTTGTAGTTTGTCATGTTTTGCTTCATATACTTTGAACTATATTTTGGTTAAGTAAAAATGATAGTATTTTTCTGGTAACTTGAAACTGTTTTCATTACGAAGTGATCCTCTTTGTCTCTACTAATGATTTTGCCTTGAAGATCATTTTGTCGGCTATTAATACAACTTTCTTCTGGTTAGTATTTGCATAGTGTATGTTTTAATTGTCATACTTTCAACCTTTCTGTGACCTTATAATTTAAATGTGTCTTTTATAAACAGCATATAGATGAGATAGATTTTAAGAGAAGGGGGTGGAGAGGGGATTGAGACAGGATCTCACTCTGACACCCAGGCTGGAGTGCAGTGGGTGATCACAGCTCACTGTAGCTTCAACCTCCCCAGGCTCAGGTGATCCTCCCAACTCAGCCTCCCGAGTAGCTGGCACTACAGGTGCGTGTCACCATACCCGGCTAATTTTTATATTTTTTTGTAGGCTCATCTCAAACTCCCCGGCTCAAGCAATCCACCCGCCTCAGCTTCCCAAAGTGCCGAGGCGGGTGGATTGCTTGAGCCCAAGAGTTACAGGTGTGAGCCACCACGTCCAGCCAGATTTGTTTTTTTAATCCATCCTAGCAATCTTTACTTTTCACTGGAGTCTTTATATTATTTGTATTTAATATACTGACATAGTCAAGTTTATATTCCCCCCTGTGCTTTCTCGTTATCTGGGCTGTTCTGTTTTCTTTTTCTCTTTTGTTTTGTAGATATCTCTTCCCATCTTGTCTTCACTGTTACTCACTCACATTCACTTTTTTAAGATGATAACTTTGTGTATAATTGTACCATCCTCCTTTTCCATTGCTTATGTTAGGTTTTTCCATACTCTTGGAAGGAGAAGGTAACCTGTGTATCTAAGGCTCTCTCCTCTGTTGTAACTGCAAAATGTTGATTTTTTTTTCAAATACAGCCTTATGCTTTTAAGATTTATTTTCTCTGCTCTCATCCCCACCTTTTTCTGAGCTCTATCTTTCCTTTACCCCTAGTGTCTCTGTTGTGGTCAAATAGATTCTACTTTCATAAATTTCTCTCAGTGCAGGAGTTTTATCTTAGAAAGGAGCTTCAGTCACTTGGTTTTGTGCATTCAAATGGCCTATACTGCCCCATATTGTCCAATCTTATCGCAACAGTTTTTGCAATTAACTATAAACTGGAGCCCGAAATATTCCTCCAGCTTAGGCTGCTATTGTCAAATTGTCCTATCGGGTTTTCCAGGTTTTGCCTGTTCATGCAATGTCAAGGGAAGAAAAGTTTTCCAGGTTGCATGAGAGCCCCCAATTCAGAGGCGATTCTGGGTTCTTGGGCTCTCGAGACTGATGCTGTTTTGCCTTCCTCCTGCTTTTCCTCTATAGTGGCTGATACCGCATCCATCTGCTAGCTGTTAGTAATTTGGTCCTACCCACTAGTATTTTGGGATTTGAGGGGTTACCTTTTCACTGAGTTTTGTTATAAATCGTGGCCATGTGTTCTTGCTGCTGTTAACCTAGTAGATCTGTGCATTTCGTGGGGAGATTTGGGGAGATACCAAACTACGCTGCTGCAATCATCTTGCCTAAAGCCTGAAATTGCTTTCATATGTGAGCAGAAGTCAAGTTTTCTTTTTTTCCAAATGGGTATAAATTGTCTCATACTGTTTTTACTTAAAAGGCCATCTTTTCCCCCACTGCTCTGCAGGGCCGTTTATGAAATAAATCAAGTTCATCTATGCATGGGTCTGTTCTAGCTTTTCTATGATATCATAATGATCTAATTACTGAATTTGTGCCAATATCAGAGCATCCTAATTACTACCTACTTAGAGTAAGGTTTGATGTCTGGTAAAGCAAGCAATTATTCCAGCTTTATGTTGAGACTTAGTAACCTCTTATATTGTTGTTCTGCTGGAGTATCTTAGCTATTCTTGGCCCTTTACATTTACATATCAATTTTGAAATCAGCTTGTCAAGTTCCTCAATAAAAAATAAAAAGAAAAGAAAAATAACCTGTTGGGATTTTGATTTGGATTACATTGAATCTATAGATTATTTTCAGAATATATTAGTTATTTGTTGATCTGTAACAAATGAACCAAAACTTAGCAACTTAAAACAACAGACATTTACTGTCTGCGCAGTTTCTGAGGATCAGGATTTAAGAGCAGCACCTTGGCCAGGTGGTTTGGGCTCAGGGTCTCTCAGGAGACTGGAATCAAGTTGTCAGCCAGGACGCTAGTCATCTCGAAGCATGACTGGGGCTAGATTTTCTGTCTCCAGACTCACTCATGTGGTTGCTGGAAAGGCCTTAGCTCCCTGCTGGCTGTTGGCTGGAGGCTTCAGTTCCTCACTATGCGGGCCTCTCCCTAGAGCTGCTTTCAACATGGCAGCTCGCTCACTTCCCCTAGGATGAGAGATCTAAGAGAAAGAGTGCACAAGAATAGAAGCCACAGGCCGGGCGCGGTGGCTCACACCTGTAATCCCAGCACTGTGGGAGGCTGAGGCAGGCGGATCACAAGGTCAGGAGTTCAAGACCAGTCTGGCCAACATAGTGAAACCCCATTTCTACTAAAAATACAAAAATTAGCCGGCCATGATGGCATGTGCCTGTATTCCTAGCTACTCAGGAGGGTGAGGCAAGTGAATTGCTTGAACCTGGGAAGCAGAGATTGCAGTGAGCCGAGATGGCAACACTGCACCCCAGCCTGGGTGACAGAGCGAGACTCTGTCTCAAAAAAATAAAAAAAGAATAGAAGCCACAGTCTTTCATCATTTAATCTCAGAAGTGACATGCCATCTTTTCTGCCATATACCAGTGGTCACACAGGTCAGCCCCTGGTATCATATGGGAGAAGACTACACGAGGCTGGGAATCCCCAGAGGTGGGGATTATTGAGGACCATCTTGGGCCTGTCTATCAGAAGGAGAATTAATATCTTTACAATATTGAGATTTCCAATCCACGAGCAAATCTCCACTTATTTAAGTCCTTTTTAATTTCTCTCAATAGCATTTATTTGGTTTTCTATGTAGAGACTTTATTCATCTTTTATTAGGCTTATTTCTAGGTTTTATATATTTTGATGCTATTACAAATAGTATCTTTTTAAAATTTCATTATTTGTTGTAAGAATATAGAAATATAATTGATTTTTGTGTATTGATTTTGTACCCCATCATCTTTTACAATTCACTTATTTCGGGTTTGTTTGTTTGTGACAGAGTCTCGCTTTGTCACCCAGGCTGAAATGCAGTGGTGTGATCAGGCTCACTGCAACCTCCAGCTCCCAGATTCAAGTGATTCTCATGCCTCAACCTCCTGAGTAGGTGGGATTACAGATATGCGCCACCATGCATGGCTATTTTTGTATTTTTAGTAGAGACAGGGTTTCACCATGTTGGCCAGGCTGGTCTTGAACTCCTGGCCTCAAGTGATCCTCCTGCCTTAGCCTCCCAAAGTGCTGGGATTACAGGCGTGAGCCACCACGCCTGGCTACAATTCATTTATTTTGTATAATGACTTTGTACCCAACCATCTTCTAAAATTCACTATGTTCAGGAGAAAGACTGGCATCCAATTTTTCTTTCTCCTATTATTGTTGGATTTTGGTATCAACTTTATGCTGGTTGGAACGGGTTCCCTCTTAGTCTTTTCTCTGAAAGAATTTGTGGAATACTAGTATTCTTTCATCCTTGATTGTCTGGTATAACTTACGAGTAAACATTTATGAACCTGAATTTCTTTAAGGATTTTTTTTACTATTGATTACATTTCTCTAGTGGTTATATTAATAGAACTAAGTGGATTTTCTATATGTTCTTGGGTCTGATTTTTTTTTTTTCCCAAGATGGAGTTTTGCTCTTGTGGCCCAGGCTGGAGTGCAATGGCGTGATCTCGGCTCACCACAACCTCTGCCTCCCGAGTTCAAGCAATTCTCCTGCCTCAGCCTCCCGAGTAGCTAAGATCACAGGCATGTGCCACCACGCCCAGCTAATTTTGTATTTTTAGTAGAGACGGGGTTTCTCCATGTTGGTCAGGCTGGTCTCAAACTCCCAATCTCAGGTGATCCGCCTGCCTTGGCCTCCCAAAGTGAGGTCTGTTTTTATAGGTTATATTTGTTTATACACATGTCTATTTTATCTAGTTTTTAAATTGTGGTAAAATTATCTAAATTCTTATACTATATTCTTTTTTGTTAAACAACTATAACTTCAGCGATATCCTCTTTTTATTCTGATATTTTTCTTTTTTAAAAAACTTTTTTAGAGATGGGGTCTCACTGCGTCTTCCAGGCTGGAGTGCAGTGGTATGATCATAGCTCCCTGCAGCCTTAAACTCCTACAATCAAGGCCTCCTCCTGCCTCAGCCTCCTGAGTAGCTAGGACTACAGGTGTGTGCTGCTACACTCAGCTAATTTTGTTGTTGTTGTTGTTGTTGTTGTTTGTAGAAACAGGCTCTCGCTATGCTGCCCAGGCTGGTCTCAAACTCCTGGGCTCAAGTGATCTTCCTGCCTCACTCACCCAAAGCACAGGTGTGAGCCACTGAGCCCAGCCTCTGATATTTTTCAATAAGAACTAGTTATTTTTTTAAATACTTACTCATAGTAAAACCAAATTTTACCTATATAAAAGTATATGAAATTGAAAATAAGTCTCCAGAATCCCATTTTCCCACCCTAACATAACTACTGGTAACAGTGTGGTATATATTCTTACAGTCTCTTTCTATACATCCATAGACATATTCTTCACAAAAAAGAGCTCATACTATATATGCATTTCTGGAACCTGCTTTCTTCCACTTAAAATATCATCAACATCAACACCTTTCATTTCGATGTGTATTGCTCTACACCTCTGGTTTTTTTTTTGAGACGGAGTCTCACTCTGTTGCCCAGGCTGTGGACTAGAGTGACACGATCTTGGCTCACTGCAACCTCTCCTTCCCGGGTTCAAGTGATTCTCCTGCCTCAGCCTCCCGAGTAGCTGGGACTACAGGTGCGCACCACTGCGCCCAGCTAATTTTTCTGTTTTTTTTAGAAATGGGGTTTCACCATGTTGGTCAGCCTGGTTTCGAACTCCTGACCTTGTGATCCACCCGCCTCAGCCTCCCAAAGTGCTAGGATTACAGGCATGAGCCACCGCACCAGGCCCCGCTCTACCTCATCCTTTCTAGT
The DNA here is from genome assembly GCF_000001405.40 of Homo sapiens. Taxonomy (NCBI): domain Eukaryota; kingdom Metazoa; phylum Chordata; class Mammalia; order Primates; family Hominidae; genus Homo; species Homo sapiens. The sequence goes on along the minus strand of NC_000016.10, from coordinate 70,810,525 downwards.
GGCTACACAATATTCCACTGAAATGAGAAAACTGTAATTTGTTTAACTAATCTTCTACTAATAATACATTCGAATTGTTTCCCTTGTTTTGCTATATAAGAAATGCTTTCTGTTCTTGCTTTGTTTCGCCATGGGTAATAATGGAGGATGGCAGAACCCAGGACGCTGTTCTGAGATTGGCCATGAGCAAAGAAGGAGCTGCCTAAGCTTCAGCCCTCCTACTGGCAGCACTCACCCATCTCCACATCTCCCTATGTGCGCTTCTCAGGAGACAGTCCAGCACCTGCACTTAGATTCATAGAGATCCCAGATATAGAATCACCTGAACTAGAGAAAGCTAGGAGAGGTACAGGGGAGAGAGGGTGGGCTGGTTTGGACAGGTTCCCCAGGAGCAAGAACAGCATGATCATGTGCACTATTTCTGCCCCCAACCTGCTATGGAGCCTTGGGCAGGTCTCTAGGTGGCAGGTGATGAATTAGCCTTTCAGCATGACAGGATCCTCTGTTTTCTCTTCCAGGGCACGTTCTCATTTGAATTTCAGCCCCTGAAAGCTGGAGAAACCTTCGGAAGACTAACTTTGCACAACACTGACTTGGGTTACTACCAATATGAGCTCTATCTGAAAGCCACGCCAGCACTTCCGGAAAAGCCTGTTCACTTCCAGACTGTCCTTGGCAGCAGCCAAATCATCCTTGTGAAGTTCATCAATTACACACGGCAGAGGACAGAATACTACTGCAGGGTGAGTGGCCCCTGCTCTACCTTCTGCCCTTCCCTCACATGAACGCTGGGTTCAAAAACAATGAGAGGAGACACAGGGAGCATGAATGTGAGACTCAGAGAGACTCAGGTGCTTCGTTGTCATGGTGACACCTGCCTCAGAGGCCTGAATCTAGCCTGGAAACTCCCAGCTAGAAACAAACAGCACCAGGCCTGGGTTCTTCCATTACAGACTTTCTGTCTTAACAAGCTGTGATGGAGTGTAGGGGAGTTTTGTTTCACACAGCACGCCCAGTGATCCACAGAGGGAGACAGTATAGCTTAGTAGTCATGGTATCGGCTGTGGAATCAAACAGACATGGGTTTGAGTCCTGGCTTCACCACTTACTCTTTGTATGAATAATTTGCTTAAGCTCTCTAAGCTTATTTATAAATGGGGATAATACCCCCAACCTTGCAGGATTGCTATAAGGATTTTAAATATGTATCTAAAGCCATTTTCTTAGAGCCTAGCCTATAGTAAGTGCTCCATATACATTAGCTGTTACATCAGTTGGAATATAGGTTCAACTACTAAAACAGAAACCCAAAGCTAGACACAGTGGTTCACATCTGCAATCCTAGCACTTTGGGAGGCTCAGGTGGGAAGATCGCTATAGCCAGGAGTTGAAGACCAGCCTGGGCAACATAGCGAGACCTCATCTCTATTTAAAAACATAAAATAAAATTCTAAAAAACAGAAACCACAAATAACAGCAAATTAGGTGTTGGTTTCTCTCACAAATAACAGTCTGGGCATAAGCAGTTTGAGCTGGAATGGCAGCTCGCTGACACCAGGCACCCAGACATCTTCTGTCCCGATGCTCTGCCCTCTGAAGGGAGCTGTTTTGGTCCACGTGGGCCAAGATGGTTTATCAGGACATCCACATTCCAGCCAGCTACAAGGGAAGAGGGGACAGTTGTATATATCACCTCTACTAATATTCCATGGAACAAAACTTCACAGGACCACACCTATCAACAAAGGAGCTAGGAAAGGTAGCTTTTGTACTGGGCAGTCACATGCCCAGGTAAAATCAGAGATCTTGTGGCTGTAGCCAAGAGGCAGAGGCTCTTGATCAGTTGTATCAGCCAAGAGATGCTAGGTTAGGTGCAGTAGCAATCACAGGGGCTTAAGATGAAGGCTTGTTTCTCATTTGAGCAATTTTCCAGAGAGGCCAGCAGGGGACCCTGCTCATCTCAGTCTCTTGGGATTCAAGCACCATCTCAAATATTTCCAGTACAGTATTAGAGTGGTGAAAGGACCCTGACAGGAGTTAAATTGGCAATGAAAGGCTCTAGCATGGAAGTGACACCTTTCACTTCTGCTCACAGCTAGTTGTCTGGAACTAGCACCACCCATCTGCAAGGAACCAGAATGTTTGGTCTTCCATGTACATGGAAGGAAAGAACCGAATATAGGGGATCAGCATCCATGACTGCCCTATTAACGTAATGTGGCTGTGTGTCTCAGTACACATTATTAACATCTCTTTGCCTTTGTTTCTTTGTAGCAAAATAGAAATAATAATTAGTAATACCTACCCTACAAGGGAGTTATAAGGACACAACTTTATAACATTCCCAGTCTCACACAGACATAGTTGCTTGATGTCCAGGAGTGGAGGGGCTGGGGTAGACTTGAGCTCCTGGTGTGCTCTTCAGGATCTCACGTGAGCTGAGTTTGTTTGTTCCCCTTTCAGACCGACTGTACAGACTTCCACGCAGAAAAACTCATTAATGCAGCCCCAGGAGGCCAGGGAGGCACTGAAGCCAGTGTGGAAGTCTTATTCGAGCCCAGCCACCTGGGTGAGACCAAGGGCATCCTGATCCTATCATCGCTCGCAGGTGGAGAGTATATCATCCCCCTCTTTGGAATGGCTCTGCCTCCCAAGCCCCAAGGTCCCTTCTCGATCCGAGCCGGGTACAGCATAATCATCCCCTTCAAGAATGTCTTCTATCACATGGTGACCTTCTCCATCATCGTGGATAACCCAGCCTTCACCATTCGCGCTGGAGAGTCTGTGCGGCCCAAGAAGATCAACAACATCACAGTCTCCTTTGAAGGAAACCCATCTGGCAGCAAAACCCCCATCACCACCAAGCTGACTGTGAGCTGCCCTCCTGGTGAAGGGAGTGAGACTGGAGTTAAATGGGTTTATTATCTGAAGGGGATCACCCTTTAGTGGTAACCAGGGTTACCTGTATCAACCAAAAGCTATGCATTGTCTTAGCCTGAAAAAGAATAGAGAAAACAATAAGAATTCTAAAGGAACTGTTTTTATTCTTCTCATACAATTATAGGGCAGTTATTTCCCTATTATGTGTTTTCCAAATATAGATATGAAATATCTATTCCATATTAAACATTATAACTACACACAACAGCTCTATATTTTAGACAACTGAATCCTTGTGAGTCCCTAAATTGAGTTTCTTGACATAGCCCCAAAGCTCAAGTACTTTGTAATAATTCCCATTTTTATCAAGAAGGCACAGGTATCACACTAGTGACCTTCTACTCTACAACACTTAGCAATGCGTGACGCTGGGTACTGCAGTTTCTTTTTAAAATCCAAAATGGTTTAAAAAGCCCTTAGACATGACTATTTTGATGTGGCATTTTATTCTGCTTTCACATAAAAGCCAAATAAATATTTTCAGAGGGATGAGCAGATAACATTAGGGCAATCCAGGGACACTCCCATCACTTTTTCTCTTGGCTTTTATACCATCAGTGTCCGAATCCCACATCTGCCCTACACAGAAAGTTCTCACTGAAGTCTAGGCCCTGGAGAAAGGCTAATAGAGATCCCAGCTCCCCCCACCACACATACACACCCCGCCTTGGATAGCATTCAGCAGGAGAGCAGGGATTCTCAACCCATCTGCACATCAGGACCACCTAACTCTCACTCTGAACGTGCCCAGTCCCCATCTGATGTAATTGGTCTGGAGAGGGGTGTGGGCATCTTTATTATATACATTTAACTTGTATAGCAGATGGTTAAAGTCTGGCCCTGGCATGGGTTTGCTTCTGCAGACATACACCTCTGACGGAGGGTCCCCCTGCCTCTACCTGCTCCCCACACTCATCCCCCACAGCCCTCCTACAAGAGGGGCAGGAGACTGGAAGAAGATGGCCTCTTGGGAATGAATGCCGTAAAGAAGTGGGTCTTAAAAATGGTCCCTGGGCCAGCAGCAGTACTATCACCTGGGAATTTATTAAAAGTCAAACTCTCAGTCCCCATGTCAGATCGACTGAATCAAAAAGTCTGTAGGTGTGGCCCGGCAATCTTTTAGCAAGTCCTTATACCTGTCAGAGGTGGCTTTCATGGAGGGAGACTCTTCTCCTTCTTCTGTACCTCCCCACAACCCTAGCCCAGTATACTCTAGGACCAAAAAAGCTTTTTCTAGAATGTCTGTAAACACAGACCTTTACAATAGTCCTCCCTCATCCTCAGGGGATACATTCCAAGGTGCCCAGTAGATGCCTGAAACCACAGATAGTACTGAACACTCCATATACTGTGGTATTTTCCTTTACATACATACCTTTGATTAATTTATAAATTAGGCACAGTAAGACATTAACAATAATAATAATAAAATGTAATAATTATAATAATATGCCAGCATCACTACCCATGTGCTTTGGGGCCATTATTAAACTAAATAAGGTTTCCTTGAACACAAGCATTGCGATCCCATGACAGTTGACCTGCTAACCCCAAGTCATCTACTCAGTGACTATCAAGTAGGTTGTGTCTACAGCATGCATACGCTAGACGAGGGGATGATTCACATCCTGAGCAGGATGGAGTGGGATGGCATGAGATTTCCTCAAGTTATTCAGAACAGCATGCCATTTAAAAAGTATGAATTTTTTATTTCTGGAATTTTTCATTAAATATTTTCATTCCACAGTTGACCACAGGTAACTGAAGCCATAGATGAGGAGGACTGCCATACTCAATAGACAATTTATTTCTATAACCTCTAAAGACACTACTGATAGGTCTAAAGACAACCAGATGACAGATTTTCACAATGGTTAAGTGAGCAAAGATCGCTCTGACCAATAATCTGAGAGGATGCTAAGATCAATGAGCAAGAGTGATGACTTGCAAATATACAGCATCTGTATAAAGTCAGTGCTTCTGAAATATTAGTATACATCAGCATCCCCTGGAGGGCTTACTGAAACAGATTGCTGAGCCCCACCCTCAGGAAGTCCGATCTAGGAGATTTGGGTGGGGCTTGAGAATCTGCATTTCTAACCAGTTCTTGGTGATGCTCGTTGGTGAGACCAATCAGACTGTGAGAACCACGACTCTAAAGCCTCGAGCCTCCTGGTTATTCGGAGTGGCCTATGGACCTGCAGCATCAGCATCACCTGGGAATTTGTTAGAAAGGCAGGCCCTCAGGCCCCACCCTAGACTTGTTGAATCAGAATCTGCATTTTCATGGACCTCCAGGCGATTTGCATGCACATTGCAGCTGAGAGTGCTACTTTAAGGTACCTGGCAAAACTTGACATTTGCCAAACCCACAGCCATAACTCTTTCATTACAGTCCTGAGAAGTCTTACCAAATCTGCATAGGACCTAGTTGATGAAATTAACCCTCCCCAAAATGTGCCTCCTTCCACCTATTCACCAGAGGTATAGGTTAGGAGAAGGGAAGCAATTGGTCCCTCACCCTACTCTTCAAAAGGGTGTACTTTTTCAATAATGGTCAATGTGGTACACCAAGTGATCCCTAAGACTAAAGAAAAGGTGGAAGAAGCTGTCTGAAATCTTGTCTAACATGCCACCAGCCCCAGCATGGCTTATAGCCAGCCTTGGGGTGGCTAGGGGCAACTCCCCCAACTTCAGACCTGTTCCAGTGCTTCCCCAAGCCACTGAAGCTGTCCATATACATTTTATAAAAGTGATCAGGGAGAAGGGAGGGGGAGAAACAAAAACGAACCCAGGTTGCAGCACACTCAGCATTAATCACTAGATCAGCCTGCGCTCAGACCTGCTTCCTCATAGCTGTTTGGTGCCTGCTGTTTCAGAATCACGTAGACCCTGCTAAAGATCATAGTTCCCCTCAATGCTCTGGAGATAACAACTTGAACATTAGGAAACGTTAAGTTTTCCGTTTGAGATATTTATTCTTGGTCCTGTGTACCAGTGAAACAACTGACATCAGCTGATCTGAAGGACCTCACGAGAAGCTGATTCACCAAAGAATGCGGTTTCCACATCCTGATGATTTCATCCGTCTTACCCAACCAATCAGTCACCTGGTTTTTCAGCCCTTCACCCTCCAGGATCCCCTTAAAAACCCCAGTCCAGAACTCTTCCGGGAGATGGATTTGAGGGTCTCCTCCCATCTCATCACTCAGTGACCTTTGATCATCACTTTCTCTGCTGCATCCCCACTGTCTCTGTGCATTGGTCTGTTACTGCACAGTGGGCACACAAACGTGTTGGTCCTATAACACCACTGAGTCTAGGGTCCAAATCCTCCTAGCCCCTGAGAGAGGAGGAAGTTCCTTCTCCCTGGGACCAAGAGCCAAGCTCAGATCCTGCCCCAGTGTGAACCCTCTTCCAGGCTGGTTTGAGATTGGGTGCATTTCTTCCCTTTAGGTTTTTCTCGTGCTTCCTTAGCCTCAAACAATAACAAAATAGTCTTATATTAGCAAATTTGGAATGGCAAAGTAGCTTAACAGCAGGCTTGATGAAAATAACCCTTCCAACACATGCTTGTGGAAGTTACATTGGAGAATCCATTCTCAGCAAAGCAGACCAGGAGACTTCTAACTGGGGGATGTTCAGAAAATGTCAGGGTAGCTGTGTGGCAGAACTCCAAGGAGCACTGTGCACAGAATACCATGGGAATGGGGCTCCCTGGCCTCGTTCCACACTGGGCCCCCAGTGAGTGTGGCATGCTAAGTCTAACCACTTCTTTAGGAGCCTCAAGTCAGAGGTGACAATACTGTAACATTGGTGAGGGCCTGCTACATTTCAAGACCTCTACCTAATACCTTAAACCCTGTTGCCCTGAAACTCCAGCTACAATTACATTGCTGTTGGAGAAACTGCTTTGCACAGTTCAAGATTTTGGTACAATTTCTTACAATGTCATCAGCAGCCTCTTGCTACAAGTTATGTCATAACTTTTACATACTTGTAATAGCTATTATGAATAGTTGTTACAGAACTATTACAAGTTCTAGCATAACAACCAAGCATCACACAGATGCAGATGAATTGTAACTGTGAAATAATGACTAGTATGCAGTCAGGCACATCAGTTATCCCCTAGTCTAGAAGAGTTTCAACAGGAATGGTCACAGGTCAGAGAAGAGGAACAAGGGTGGAAGGCAAGGGTAGCCTTTGGGCTTTATTTTTACCACCACTGCTAGCTCAATTATGCATAAATAATCTTACCTAGTTGGCATTTTTCAAGATATTAGAGAAAAGAACCACTTCTTTCTAGGAACTTCTGACCTAAAGGTAGGCATTGGTCTGGGCCTTGAATAAAAAACTGGTTACTTAGCAACCTGAGCCAGAATATAATTTCAGGAGAAAAGAATACTTCTGGTAAAAAAAAAATTCCTTATTGTTTGAATTATTAAAAACTGTATCATTACCCTTGGGAAATTCAGTTCACCTCTAAGAAAAAGCCAAACCAAAAAGCAAAAGAAACATGAAATATATTAGATATGCGTCCCGTGGAAATGCACACACATTGGAGAAATAGAACCAAATCATTCCCATTGATTTACATTTTTTCAGTGTTTTTCATCAACCATCATCAAAATCCTAAAACCAAACTTTGCAAGACATTTGGAGATGTCCTTGGCAGCACTACTACTACTTGTTAGCGCACCTACCTTCATTCATAGGATTGTGTCAGCAAAGGTTTTAACAACTATGAAAACCCCACCTGTATAGGAGAATACATTTTTTATGGATTTTTCTAGACATGATATATCCATGACTTGCCGAGTTTTGGATTAGCCTTTGTATTCATTTTCTATGGCTGCATAACAAATTACCACAAAACTAGGAGAGCAAAACAACACAAATTTATTATCTCACAGTTTCCATGGGTTGAGAGCCCAGTGTGAACTGGATTCTCAGCTCAGGGTTCCACAAGGCTGAAATCAAGGTGCTGGCCAGCTGCATCCTCATCAGGAGGCTCAACTAGGGAAAGATCTGCTTCCAAGGACCCTCAATGTGTTGGCAAAATTCATTCCTTTGTGGCCATATGACTAAACTCCTTACAGGAGAGTCTCTCTTCCAGTTCAAATTTCTTCTAATCTCTTTTAAGTACTCACTTGATTCGGTCAGGCCGACTCAAGTTAATCTCTCTTTTTATTAATTCAATGTCTGCTGATTAGGGACCTTAATTACATCTGCAAAATCTCTTCTGCGATATTACATAATATAATCATGTGAGTGATGCATAGCCCATCATATTTACAAGTCTTGTTCACGCTGAAAGAGGGCATAATACAGGGCATGAACACGAAGGGGTGGGAATATTGGAGGTCATCCTAGAATTCTGCCTACTTTTGCCCTTTACTCATTGCGTCCCTGTTTCTGTTGAGGAAAATACTCCATTTTCAAGACTGTTATAAGGCCTATATATGCACTTTTCATTCATTAAAGAAAAGTATCACCATGCATTCTGAAACTGTTATTCTTTGAGCTCCACTGTAATCTAGCCCTTGTCCTAAGTCCCTGTTCACTCTGAAAGCTTATGATAGGAAAGGCTGATGCACCTCCCTGTTAACTGCATGTTTACCACACTCCGGCCATAAATTGCTTTTAAATATTTTGCCACATAGTTGGGATTTCTGTCTCACCATGTAATGTGATTCCCGAAGCAGCTGAAGGGGCTGCTTTCCAGGGGACCTATCTAGAGACCCGCACTCAGCAGATCTGGGGCCTTTCTCTCTGTCTGTAACCAGCCCTCCTAGGCATCAGAGCATGTTAAACACACCCCCAAATGGTGGAGTGACAGACACTGGTGGTACCTGAGATCTTAGGTGGTAGACAGGTAGTGCCATTTTTAATTGAGAATTTATTTTGATGTGTCTTAGAAAAAATATACCTATTCAAACTCATGGTTTTAGGGCATAAGCAAAGCTAAAAGAGATTTAAGGTATTTTTTAAAGTGAGTTGATTTGAGGAAAACATTAAATAGATAATACAAGTGGCTAGAATATGGTGAAAGTGATGACAGTGTTACTGCAGTTAGGGAAACGTCTGCATCTAGGAAATTGGTAAGTGACCAACTACTGAATGAACTAGTGAATTCGGTGACTATTGAATAAATTATGTTAAGTGAATCAGACTCCAAGAACCCATTCGGTCTTACGAACGTCTACAGAAGCCCACCACGTGCCATCAGTTGGGCGTGAGCTACACACCCATTAAAGCACGTCTCAAACCACACTCCAGCTACCTGGCGCGCAGCGCGATAGTGTGTGCAGTGTGGGTGGAGCCTTCCGAGGGCGTGGCCAATCCACCTGCGGCCTGCGGTGGGGGCGTGGCTGGAGAGGGGCGGGCCCTCGCGACGGAAGGCGGAAGTGCTGTAGAGTCATGTGACTCGAGTAACATGGCCGCTGTCTCGTGAGTCCCGCTAGTGCCGGGCGGGAGTTGTTAAGCGGCCAGGGTCAGGTGTGCTGGAGCGGGGTCCGGGCCCGGGTTCCAGGGCGAGGCGGCGGAGCGTGGCAGGCAAGCCTAGAGCGGCGTGGTCCATGCGCCGGCGCCGGGGGCAGAGCGGAGCCGCAGACTCCCCTGGCCCCGGCGCGGCCCCGGCAGCCGCGGGCTAAGGAGTCGCGAGGTTCCCCCAGCTGCCACCATGAACCCCGAGAAGGATTTCGCGCCGCTCACGCCTAACATCGTGCGCGCCCTCAATGACAAGCTGTACGAAAAGCGGAAGGTGGCAGCGCTGGAGATCGAGAAGTAAGAGCCGCCAGGACCCCTCCCTGGCTATGCAGCCCCTGACTGCTCTGCTCCCCAGGGGGACTTCTCACGCCTTCCCAGCCAGGGTTACTTTCCCAGGTTTTAGGCCCTTACCTTAGCGCAGTGTTTAAGAGCAGATTGGGAGCCATATCTGGGAGTCCCTGCTTTACTCCTGACTGGCTGTGTGATTTGGTCCCAGCTTTTTAACCTCCCGGTGCCACAAAGGGCTGCAGTGAGAATGAAGTGACATCATGTATGGGTAGTGCTTTGCACAGTGCATGGCACATGGTGAGTCTTCGGTGCGGTGCCACCCAAACCAGCAAATCAGAGAGTTGTCTCTGTGGTGAGAGAGAAGTCAGAAGCCGGAGAATTTGCAGGTGATGCTGACCAGCCTGGTTTCTTACCCAGCTTCTGAGAAGTGAAGGAGATTGTTAGTGACCAAGTAGAGAAATCAGGTCGGAAAACTCGTGATCTCAAGGCTCAGAGAGTTTTTTGTTTTATCTGTGTTATAACACCCTTCCCTGCAAGTGGAAGTAGAAATAATTTGACCTTTCTTGCTTCTGCAGTCTTGTTACATGTATGTGTAACAATGATCTGATATTTTACTTTATTTCCCAATGTACAAAACAGCGAAAGTTTAACTGGGGATGTTTTATTTATTTTTTTTTCTGCAGTATTATTTTACTTTTGTGGGTTTTTTCCCAGTCACATTTTAGTGTTAAAGTCAAGTGAGTGAGTGATTTCAGAAAATTGGAAAGAAGCAGGCTGTGAAACTGGAAGAATACCAGTCTGCGAGTCAGAAAAGGTGAATTGTATTTCTGTTCTGTCCAGTAGAGTAGCCGTTGGCCGTGCGTAGCTATTATAAATTTAAATTATTAAAGATTAAACTTTAGTTTCTCAGTCACACTACCCGTATTTCAAGTGTTCAATAGCCACATGTAGCTATTGGCTGCTATATAGGGCAGCACAGATTATAGACTGTTTCCATCATTGCAGAATGCTCTATTGGACTGCTCTAATCTATTCCGTGGTGTGACATTCATTCGTTAACCTGGGGCAAATTCCTTAACTCAGGGTTTCTCAGCCTCTGCACCATTCACATTTTGGGGCAGATGATTTTTGGTTGTAGTGGGCTGTCCTGTGCCTTGCAGGATTTTTAACAGCGTCTCTGACCTCTTCCCACTGGATGCCAGTAGCACTCCATCCGTTGTAACAATCAAAAATGTCTTCAGACATTGCTAAATGTCCCCTGAAGGAGCAAAATTGCCCCGGTTGACAACTGCTGCTTGCAATCCAAATCAAATGTTGCTTTGGATTTTAGTTTCCTCCTAAACTAAAGGGTTCGGACCTTGATAAGAAATCCCCCACCCTGCCTCCATTCAGCTCTCATACTCAGTATGTCCACAACCATCTAGCTGCTTCTCTCATCAGACACCACTTTCTTGACTGCTCCTTTTATATAGCTTTTTGTTTATGCCTGACTCTCACGAATGCTAGCAAGTCTTATTGCACATTGCCATACTGAATAGAGGGACCCAGAAATGATATATAGGCATGGTTCCGTGTCCATGGGGTTTTGTTGGCTTTGAAGTTGCCTTGACACCTAGTTTTGTCCCTCACCCACTCTGCTTCTCAGGAATATCCGGTTTTATTGTAGCTTGAGTCGTCTGTTGAGTCCTTGAAGAGAGAGGTATTCATCTCAACATTATTGTTGCTTCCAGCGCAACCTGTGTATCTGTTCTCACTCTGCACACAGTTCTGTAAGGGTTTTGTCTTTGATCGAGTTCATTTTGTATTGGACATTGCCCTTGATTTGTGGAATTTAGAGAAACTCAGCAGTGCCTTGACTGTGAACTCCTTAAGAGCAGAGAGTTCTGTTTATGTATCTGTTTTATTTATCCTTAGCACTTAGCCTGGCAGCACTTGACAGCTGGTGTCCGAATAAATGAATGACCGTACATTTTCGGTGGGGAAATAACATTGCAGGCTCAGGACCTTGCTGCCCAAAAGCGTGGCCTACAGACAGCAGCATCAGGATCACCTGGGAGCTTGTTAGAGGCTCTGCAGCTTTGCTCCAGACCTATGGAATCAGAATCTGCATTTTAACAAGATCCCTGGGTGATTTGTGTGCACATTAAAGTTTGAGAAGCACTGGCCTCAAAGACCCTCTCATCTGTTTCCAACCTTCTCCAGTCATGCTTAGAATGAAGAATGGCTGGTTAGTTCAATGCCTTCCTCAGAACATATGCTTCACAAATTGCTTAGAGATAGATACTGACTTACTTATCTGTGCTTCACCAGCACCAGCATTTTGCTTGTCTGAGCACTTTCTATGTGTCAGGTACACATAGGATATTGTATGTTTTAATATATTCTTCATTTGGCCTGGTCAAAGTGACCCTCAGCAAACACAGACTATTAATTAATCTCTCATTAATCAGACTGCAGATGCCCAACAAAAGAAGAGTCCGAATATTGGCAGTTATCTATGTAGTGTAAATGAGTCAGTTCATGTGCTCCCTAAATGAAAGTGCTTAGTCCTGTTCTTAGGTAAGTTGCCCCTTTAAGATACCCTATTTCCTGAGAGGCTGCGTGGCATGGTGTTTAAGAGCAGGCTCTGGAACTGGGGTTCAAGCTCCCATTTACTGGCTAGGTGACCCTGAGCAAGCTAATTAACCTCTGTGCCTCAATTTCTTCATCTGTAAAAAGAGCATAATAATAATATGCATAGAGTTGTTTGAGCTAATGTTGTAAAGTGCTGTGTTAGTCTGTTCTTGCTCTGCTATAAACAAATACCTGAGACTGGGTAATTTATAAAGAAAAGAGATTTATTTGGCTCACGGTTCTGCAAGCTGTACAGAAAGCATAGCGGCTTCTGCTTCTGGCGGGGCCTCAGGATGCTTCCAATCATGATGGAGGGCAAAGAGGGAGCAAGGCGTCCCACATGGCGGGAGCAGGAGCAAAAGAGAGTGAGCAGGGAGGTGCTGCACACTTTCAAACAACCAGATCTCTTGAGAACTCACTATCACAAGAACAGCACCAAGAAGATGGTGCTAGGCCATTCATCATCATGGGAGAAATCCACCCCCATGATCCAGCCACCTCCACCAGGCCCCATCTCCAACACTGGGAACTACAGTTGAACAAGAGATTTGGTGGGGACACAGATCCAAACCATATCAAGTATTTAGTGTAGTAGTGGGCACATTGTAATTGTTACAAACTGTATACATAGAGAGAGAATTGTTATGTAATTGCCCTAATTATTTCTAACATACGTATATCACATAGTTGTCATCTGTCAGTACTGCTGTTACCACTTTTTGGTAGGGAGAATGATAGCCTCCTATATTTGCCCCATGCTAATCCCTGGAGCCTGTGAATATGTTATGTTACACAGCAAGGGGGAATTAAGGTTGCTAATCACTAACCTTAAAAATAGAGAGATTATCCTGTATTATCGAGGTGGGCCCAATGTAACCCTAACCAGAAGAGTCAGTGTCAGAGTGATGTGATGTAAGAAAACTTACCCGGATCATCACTGGCTTTGAAGATGGAAGGGAACCACCAGCCAAGGAATGCTGGCAGCCTCTAGAAGCTGGCAAGAAAATGGATTTTCCCCTAGAGCATCACAAAATAACATAGCCTGCCAACATCTTGATTTTAGCTCAGTAAGACCCATAGTAACAAATGCGTTGTTCTTGAATTTTTTTAATTTTTTAATTTATTTTATAGAGATGGGGGTCTCACTATGTTGCCCAGGCTGGTCTTGAACTCCTAGGCTGAAACAATCCTCCCACTGCAGCCTCCCAAAGTGCTGGGATTACAGGCAAGAGCCACTGCCCCAGCCTGGTGTCTCCTTTTATGAGGACACTGATCCTATGGAATCAAGGGCCCCACCCTTAGGACCTCTTTTAACCTTAATTACTTCCTTATAGGCCCTCTCTCCAAATCCAGTCACACTGTGGATCAGAACTTCAATATATGAATCTGGGGGTTGGGGGACTGTTCAGTCCATCACAGTGATCATAGTGAAGCCTGGGAGTGCACGTATATAAAGTGCTGTCTGCCCCATTTTGGATGGTTGGGAGGATATAGAAAAGCTTCCTTTGGTTTGGCCATGGTATACCCCTCATCTCATTTATTTTGCATCGCTGCCCTATGGGCGTGGTGGTGTTACCCTGTTTCACAGATGAGGAAACAGGCTCCTTGAGGTTAAGTAATCTTCCCATGGTTTCACAGCTAGAACCTAGCAAGAAAACTCAGGTTCATGTGTCTCAGAAGACGTCCCCACTGCATGACTGGTTTTCCCTACCAGAAAGGGGACATACTTATAATAAAAGGAATTTGATACTTGAAATTCTCCACAGTGGTTTTAGCTGCCACTTTCAGTTCTACAGAGCTCAGGTGACAGAGCCAGTCCTGCCTATGGTGTTCCAGTGAGGCATTAAAACCACTAATAAGAGGGGATTGTATCATGATGACAGGCCTCTCAGACACTAAAAATGCAGAGATGGATGCTTGCCTCAACTGAAGGACCCCCAGATCCAGAATCTTAAGACCACCAGTGTGGTGTTAAGTGACCACACTAACTGTCTAAGTGTTGGGATCCAGTTGTACAAAGTTCTGGAGAACTTTTGCCCCTACAACCTTATTCCCACAGGACCACACAATTTCCTATAGGATAAGGCAGTCAGGTTAGGATTTTTATCATGGCTGTTGCCGGTTTTGTGGGTTTTCAATTTTAATATAGTCATTGATCAGTCGTAATGAAAAGGGTGGGAAGATGCCAGGCTGTCTTCCCAGAAGAGTCTAATGTGGGGGAGAAATGCTAGCAGGCACTCTGATCAGTGTGGTGGGTGCTCGCTCTGCCAGGCATCATGGAGGCAGGGCCCCCACTGTCTCACTGCTGGCTGGGAGAGACAGCGCCACTCATGGTCAAGTCTCTAGTGGTCCTGAGCTTTGAGTTCCATCTGTGGTTCTACCTCCCTGAACGCACCTGATCTTGTTTTTGAACTTTGAGTTCAAAGCCAGCAAATGTAACTCTCCTGCTAGGTGGCCCAGGCCATGCCCCCTGAGAGCCCAAAGCCCCAGGGAGGGCTGCTGGGAGCAGAGCTCCTGAATCACGCCTCCCTGCCTGCTGGCTGTGGGGGAGGCGAGTCCCTGGAGCTCTGTGAACAGGTGAAAGTTGAACAGGTGAAGGTTGACCTGGTTCTTCGGAGCCTACCACCTCTGTGGGGAAGGTGCCAGAGTCATGTATCGCTTCAGAGGGATGCATTCTTTTTTTTTTTTTTTTTTTTTTAGACAGAGTCTCGCTCTGTCGCCCAGGCTGGAGTCCAGTGGTGTGATCTCATGGCTCACTGCAAACTCTGCCTCTCAGGTTCACGCCATTCTCCTGCCTCAGCCTCCCTAGTAGCTGGGACTACAGGCGCCCACCACAACGCCCGGCTAATTTTTTTGGTTGTTTTTTGTTGTTGTTGTTGTTTTAATTTTTAGTAGAGATCGGGTTTCACCATGTTAGGCAGGATGGTCCCGATCTCCTGACCTCGTGATCCACCCGCCTCAGCCTCCCAAAGTGCTGGGATTACAGGCATGAGCCACTGCGCCCGGCTCAGGGGATGCATTCTGAGAAGTGTGTTGTTGGGCAGTTTCATCATTGTGTGAACAACATAGAGTTACTCACACAAACCTAGATGGTGCAGTCTGCCACACACTAGGCTATATGGTAGAGCCTATTGTCCCTAGTCTACAAACCTGCACAGCATGTGACTGCTGAATAGTTAGGCAGTTGTAACACAGTGGTATGTGTGTACCCCAATATATCTGAACATAGAAATAGTATAGTAAAAATATAACATTATCATCTTACGGGTCCACTGTGGAATATGCAGTCTGTTGTTGACCAAAATGTCCTTATGTGGCACATAACTGTATTTATTACCCAGTGGCTCAAGGTAATTTTTGGAGTGCAGGTCAGAATTCCACCCAGCTTGGCTGTTTATCAGCAGTGGGACCCTGTTTAAATTGTTTAATTCCGGGGTCACAGGCTGGCCCCTGGGGGCTGTGACCTACACGCAGACCTGTTTGGTTTGGCCTGGATCACAAAGTATTTTAAATTGAGAAATTTCACAGTGAAATTCAGGTTTCTGGATTATCTTACGGACTTGGGAGATGTGGCTTTGGGGGCCCGCATTCCTGCAAAGCAAATCGTCGGGAGCTTTGCCACCTGTTGGCAGATTAACCAGAGCCTGTTTTACCTCCTGGCTTCCCCCATATCTCCTGCCTGGCCCGTGTGGGCATTTGAGTTTATGATCTCTGATTTAACCTCTTTGTGCCTCAGTTTTCTTATTTTAAAAAAAAGCCCCTTGAAAACATTATGCTAAGTGAAAGAAGCCAACCATAAAAGGCCACATATTGTGTGATTCTATTTGTATAAAATGGCCAAAATAGGCAAATCTATAGAAACAGAAAGTAGACTCGGGCTTGCCTAGGGCGCGGGGGAATGGGGAGTGACTGCCAGTGGGTGCAGGGTTTCTTTTGGGGATGGTAAAAAAATGTTCTACAATTGACGGTGGTGATGGTTGCACAGCTTCGTGAATATACAAAAGGCTGCTGACACCTACACTCTAAAAGAGTGAATTTATGGTATGTGAATTGTGTCCCAATATTTAAATTAGTGCTGTTTTGTTACAGTCTGAGGGAAGCACTTATTCAGTAGTCACAACTACTGTCACCCGAGATCAAAACAAGCCTCCTGCTGTCACTGACTCTTGCTTCTCCTTTGTAGTTTTTTCCACTGGTTGGATCCACTGTATGCTCAGTACATGCTCATTCCTACGTCATATCTGCTCATTTCTAATCAGTTCATTCCTAGGTCCAACCTAGGTTGGTTGGTGGGTGCCCAGCCAACATTTATGGAATGAGCACAACCTCGTGTGCTATGTATAAGATCACAGCTTGTCTCTGATTCTGACTTTGCACTAATACTGTTATTTGAGCATGTGCAGTACAGAGCACAGAATGCAGTTACCTAATTTAATTCTCTAAAAGCCCTGTAAAGTCATTGTCATGATTAACCCACCTACAGCTGAGGATGTTCCCTCTGAACACATGGGAACCTGAGTTCAGTGGCTAAAACCTCTGCCACCTAGGACAGAGGTTGGGACATAGGGCCATCACCAAATGACATGGGATTGGAGTTAAATGAAATCATGTGCCTGGCACACAGTGGGCACCCAGCTGGTGGTAGCTGTGCTATTTGGGGAGGGGCTAGTCTAATATAGTGGATAAGATTTTAGATCTTGGGGTTAGAAAAGCCTAGATTTGATTTTTAGATCCATCATCTACAACTTGCATGACTTTGTGTATATTTCTTAACTTCTCTGAGCCTCAGTTTCCACAAACTGTAAAATGGGTGTAATGGTACTTAACTCAGTGGCTTGTTTTAAGGTTTCAATTAGACCCTGTATGTAAACATGCAGCACGTTGCCTGGCAAATAGTAAGTACTCAGCTGATGGTTACTCACTGTGTCCTGCGTTCACAGAAGACCAGCGCTAGAGCCTCATTTCAAAACATCTCAAGTAGGCACCTCCTCTGTACTCCCTGTGTATGGAAGGAGTGCCTTGGCGATGACCGAGCACTGTGTGAAAGTGTATAGAGAAAGCTACGTTTCACTTGGGGGCCTTAGTTCTGCACAAGGGAATTGCCATCTGTAATTGGGTGCAATTGGTTTGCAGCTGAAGTGGCTTAGGGAGATGGGAGGGAGGGACTGTGACATAGTTGAAGGGATATGGACTTGGTAGATGTCAAGGGTTCAGACCTTTGGTGACCGTAGGAAAGGGGCTTGATTTACTGTTTCAGATCTGGAAGATGGGAGTGAAATAATAATAGCTACAGCAGGAGGTATCGTCGGGAATAACTGACCCCTGGAATACTCAGCAGAGTGTGAGTGCTTAGGAAGTGGTCAACTCAATAGTCCTCATGTGACCTGTGACAGTCTCTTGCGACTGTCACTGTGCTGTGGTACAGAGTTAAGCTAAGGGGTCCTGTGGCTGTGCTGGATGGCCCCAGGCTCTCCCTTGGCTCATGAAAGTCCAGATGTGTCTTGCAGTGTCCATGGCTGCTTCTCCTGTCAGGTAGTCAGTGTGGCAGTCTTTGAGACATTGAGGGTGGCGTCAAGAGCATGATGTTGGCCCCCCTTGGGGCTTGTATCTTCTGGGGAATGGGTGTTCCTGCCATCCTGCAATGCCACTGGCCAGCTGAGAACCCAGGCTCTGAGCAGCCTCTAGAGGACACCTCTCCAGCCAGGGTTCTTTAGCACTTTTTGGAGGAAACCAGGCAGAAGTGGATCCCTGCTCTGGTGTATAAGACAGCGATGTCCATGCCCTTCACATTAGTGAAGGTCTCCAGGGATTTGTGATCGTGAGAGTTTCTGGGCCAGATACTAACTTCAAAACTAGTTCAGCCTCAGATCCCCCACCTCTGGCTCCCAACCTGTAGATGAAAGGAGGGATAGTGTGGTCTTTTGAAGAGACACTAAACCTGGAACTGGGGCTGCCCAGGTTTTCAACTGCACTTACTCTGCTTCCCCTTGTAGTTTCTTTTTTTGTCTCTGCACTTGCCCTGTGAAGTAGAGACCACACCACAGGCTGGCTGACTAGGGCAGTTCTGGAGCACCTAGCGAGGGGTTAGAGGACGCCTTCACCTGTCCTTCAGGCGTCATCCAAGCCGGTGCACCTTTCCCCGGCCAGCAGCCACAGCTCTGGTGACCTGAGCCCTTCTTGATGTGCATTTTTGGGTCCTAGTAATGGTGCCCTTTGCTCCTGCTAACCTGGACTATAAGAGTAGAGGGTGAGGACCGTCCAAATGCAGTATTGATTAACCCAGCAGGTTAGGTTTGGGTTTGCAAAGCACTCCCATGTCACCAATATGGCAGTGTGGGGTCTTGCCCAGGTTTTCCCCACAGCTCAAGCTGCCTGTCACCCCTGCCCGTCTTGACAAGTGTTTCCCCACCTACTGCACTCAAAGTTCTGAACTCGGAGAGAGGCCTAGTGCTAGAGATGCAGACACATGGTGCCAGTCCTCAAGGACTTTATCAAGAAGTTGTGGAGGGTCCAGGCATGGTGGCTCATGCCTATAATCCCAGCACTTACGAGGCCAAGGTGGGCGGATCACTAGAGGCCAGGAGCTCAAGACCAGCCTGGCCAACATGGTGAAACCCCGTCTCTACTAAAAATAGAAAAAATTAGCCAGGCGTGATGGCAGGCGCCTGTGACTCCAGCTACTCAGGAGGTTGAGGCAGGAGGATCGCTTGAACCTGAGAGGCAGAGGCTGCAGTGAGCCGAGATCGCACCACTGCACTCCAGCCTGGGCAACAGAGCGAGACTCTGTCTCAAAGGGAAAAAAAAGTTGTGGAGGTAGGAATCACGCATGAGAAGGAATTAGAAGGAATTTACCTGCTGACATTCGACAACATGTTGCTGGGCACAGAATGAGGGGTCCTGAGTCCTTCTGCGCTCACTTCGTGGGATCATCAGGAAAGGCAGGGGGTTGGATTTGAGCTGAACTTTGAGGGCTGGGTAGAATGTTTAAGGGACCAGGAGCTTTTCTAGAGAGTGGGCAGATGGGAGGTGCAGCATGGGCCAGGCAGGGCGCAGTAAGAAGGCAGGCCTGGCTGGAGTAGAAGCCTGTGCTGGGAGCCCAGCAGGAAGGCTGCAGAGGTCAGAGGTCGGCCTGGCCCTGTTTTGCTTGCCCCAAGTGTCAGATAAGTAGGGTAGGCTTGATTCGTGGAACAGATTCTTCCTGCCGGTGGCCCAGGGGTTGACCCCAGGCCCGGTGCTCTCCAGACTGACATATTGGTAAGGACGTGTTCCATGGTTTTCCCTCCAGCCATTGTTTGTCTGCCTGACGCCTGTTTTCCTGGAGATGAAGAATATTCTACCCTTAAGTGCAGGGGCGGAAACAGTAGAAACTTGGAGTTCCTGGGGCCACAGGGCCTGAATGGGCTGTCATTTTTGTAGTGGCCTGGGGTGCTCTGAATTGAGTCCTAGTAGGACTCTGGTGGGGGAGGCCTTCCGGCTGGTGCCAAGCAAGAAGACATTTGCTCTTTGCAAAGGTGAGGGGGTGGGGAGGGAACGCCCAGCACAGAAATCCCCCTTGCCTCCCTCAGGAGGCCCTGTTACTTTTGCAGGCTGTCACTCCGACATCAGAGCCACTTTCCTCGTACTCTTCAAAGCTTCCTAAGTGCCATTCAAACCCATACCACCCACTGGGGCAGACTGCCCTTCCTAAAGTTCACATCACGTGCGAGCTCATGGTCTTCTGCAGCTCCTCACATCCACCGGGGCTAAATGCCAGTGCCTTTGCCAAGTGTCCAGGGTCCCTTGCTGCATGACTGGGAGCAGCTTTTCCAACCCTGTCACCTACTTCCCCTCCACCTGTGGCTTTTCTTTCTGCCAAACCAAATGCCTGCTCCTCCTTCCTCTGAGCCTTTGTTCAGCCTCATCCTAACCAGCTCCAGAACGAACACCTACTCATCCTTCAAAACCCGTCTACAATGCTGACCCTTATAGAGCCCTAGTACATCCCTGCCTGGCAGACACGGGTCGTTCTCTTTCTGGCCTGCCCCGAGTCACCTCATGCCCTTCTTACCAAGTGTTTTTTCTGTTTGCACAGTATTCCTTAAGCCCTCTCTTCTTTCCTCCTCTTCCCACGCTGGCAGAGAGCTCCTTGGGGGCAGGGAATAGCTCTCATCCACTGGTCATCGCACAGGAGGAGTCTCCTGTCCAGTTGCTCGGGGAAT
The DNA here is from genome assembly GCF_000001405.40 of Homo sapiens. NCBI lineage: Eukaryota > Metazoa > Chordata > Mammalia > Primates > Hominidae > Homo > Homo sapiens. The sequence continues at coordinate 70,789,994 of NC_000016.10, read as the reverse complement.
GTTTGTGACCTGAAACAAGGAGACAGGAGAGGAGGTGGCTCCAGGGTGGCCTTCGCTGCCGTGCAGGTTGGCTTTCCTTTGGACCCCTTGCTGAAGCCTCGAGGATGTCCCCACTCCCACTCCTAGTGTCGCTGTAACTTGTGCCAAGCGGAAACATGTCCTGGCTTCCTGGGCAGGCGTGGGGAGGCACAGCTGCTTTAGCGGGCCTAGGTGCATCCCACATCCTGGATTCTTCAAGAACAAGGAGACCAGGTTCTAGATCTTTGCAGAATTTAGGAAAATAAGTGTTTTCATCAAAGGCATTTGAAATCCAACTAGAAACAAGTCATTCTCAGTTCTCAGAGTGGATTTATAAATTCTTTAGGCAGTGTGAAATCTCAAATTCAGTCTCTCACGATTAAACTAAAGGTCTGCTGCTGCATTGGCCGGGAATCGAACCCGGGCCTCCCGCGTGGCAGGCGAGAATTCTACCACTGAACCACCAATGCCCCAGATGTGAGCAGCTGTGTGCGCACCTCCCTTTAACCCCATTCTTGGGCCTCCTTGCATATAAGTTGATTAACAGAATATGAAGCCAGTCTCTGATGCTGCCACATCAGCACAGTTGCAAGAATGGAACACTCAGGCTGCAGAGCAGGAGGGAGAAGGCAGGAAGCAGGAGGGTGTGCGTGTCCAGTTGATTTGCCTTCAGACCTTGTGACAGAAACTAGAGCTTGAGTCTTTCTTGGTAGCAAAAGTATATTAAAACTTTGGGGGGCTTTTTCCCCCTCTGATGTTTGAGTCCTCCCACCGCCTTCTGTGTTTAGTCTTGTGTTAAACTGTGTTACTGTTTGAGTCCTCCCACCGCATTCTGCGTTTAGTCTTGTGTTAAACTGTTACTGTTTGAGTCCTCCCACCACATTCTGCGTTTAGTCTTGTGTTAAACTGTGTTACTGTTCTCAGGTTTCATGCCAGCTTCCTGCGGAAGACTGGCCAAGGCTGAGGACAGCACAACAGGAGTCCCCTTAAGGTGAAGGCATCAAGTTCATGGCTCCACAGCCATAGTGAGTGTTTCTCTGGAGAACCCAGCAGCTCTCATGTGTGCACTTAGCAGGGAAGTGTGGTTCCAGATTTGTGGGCACCCTTGGCTGCTGCAGGTCTGGTGTAGTTGGAGGGACTGACTGGCTCCTCTAGCAGGATCTCTCTGTGAGGAAAACTGGCCAGCAAAAGGCAGAAAAAGCAACACTTCATTGCATTGGCCAGGAATCGAAGCCCGGCCGCCCGCATGGCAGGCGAGAATTCTACCACTGAACCACCAATGCTCCAGCTGTTTGGTAGAGCATCTGCAGGGCTTTTGGCAAGGGGCTGTGTCTGTCAATACTTAGGCACTCTGCCAGATGATTGGGTCTCACCTGGCTGGTTTGTCCAGTTTGGGAGACCAAACAAGTTGATGTAGAACCATCCTTGCCAGGCCTTAGTACGCTGTTTTGAGAGTTGAGGCCTATGAACTGGAGTTCACATTCTATCCAGAGGCCCTGGGTTCATCCACAGTCCCAGTCCCATAAAGACGAAAGCAAGGGGCAACTCACAGGCCACTTGTACAGCTCCTTCCTGAAGCATCCATCTCCTCTCCAACGTCCACCAGCCCAGAGCGAGACCTATTTTGTCACCTCTTGCGTGAACAGTGCCTGGCGCATGATAGGTGCTCCATATGATTGGCTGTATTAAATCTTTACCGAACCACTGCCCGGTCCCTCTTTGAACAGCCTTTTTGCCGGAGTGCTCACTGTCTCACAGGACAGCACCGTTGGTTTTAATTACTAGAAAGTCCCAGCTCTAACTATTAGAAAGCTCCTGAGCTGGAACCACACAGACTAATGGACACCTTTTGGACATGACTGTTCTTAAAATTCTTCAAGTCAACTTGAGACCCCATTTGTGGAACAGGTGAGCAAGATACCTGCCATGATTTGATGCAAAGCAAGGAGAGAGAGTGCCTGCAGTTACTTTTTAAAGTCTGAGGTCTCTAGACTGCCCTTTTTCCACCTTCAGTGGCTCCACCAGTGTCATCCCTCACGCTTCCTGTCCTCATTTCACAAGCATCTCCAGGCTCCTTAAGACAGTCTTTCATATGCCCAGCTCCCTGGTACATGAAATCTATTCTTCTAACTGGAGATTCCCCAGTTACCACCAGCAGCCCATCCCGCTGCTGTACTGTTCTCTGGGGCCCCAGACAAGGTTGGCTACTTCCGCATCCTCACCTCTGCTACCAGGGTTCCTTTTGCCAGGAAGGCCCGTTTCTTTCCCTTCTGCCTCCTTGAAGATCCGGCTCCATCCCACTTCCAGGAAAACTCCCCTGACCACCCCAGCTGCCTCTCCTCCATCAGTGATCTGGGGCACTCCTGCCACCACATGCCATGTGAGATTTGGGAGGGCAGAGGCCTGGCCTTTGTGTCCATGGGGCTCTGAAAACAGACTAGTCTGTTGTGGAGCCAGGCCTCCCTCAGCTCCTCCACTCAGGGCAGGGCCTGCCTTGGGAGTCATCCTCCCTGGGTGACCAGCAGCCCCTCCCTCCCATGAGGGCAGCCTCCCTCCGACCTGCTCCTCTCCCTGTCAGCATCACTGTCCAGGGAGACACCTGGGGGCACTGTCTACCCTACCCTCCTCTCTCCTCTTATATCAGCTATTAGTGCTTTTCCATTTAATTCTAGAAACAGTCCCTGCTGCACTTTCCCACTGCCTCAGTCACATTTCAGGACCACCTTACCCCATAGCTACAGTGTTCTCCTGAACGTCCCCGGCATCAGTCTCCCGTCAAACCCATGCCTGCCCCAGCCCAGCTTCTCCAAGCCACCACCAGAGATGTCCAGTTGGAACATGGGGCTGAGCGTGTCATCCCTTGCTGGAAAACTTTCACCGGCTCATCTTTTCTTTACCTGTCTCTAGCCACTCCTTCCACACGCTGGAGCCCTCATCCTGTCCCAGATATGCCATGTCAGCTTGCGTGGCCTTGGCCAGGCTCTTCCCTATGCCCGAGGTGCTCTGCCTTCCTTTCTTTACCTGGAAAGTGCCTGTTACTGTTTTTAAGATCTGACTCAGCCGGCACCTCCCTGTAGCCCTCCTGGACGGCCCGAGGAGACTGAGCCCATTGCCTTTTCTTGCTTCTGTGATATCACTGGTGCCACTTTGCTACAATTATTTGTTGGCATGTGGCTCTTACCCATTACACTGGGGCCTGATTCAGCTATGTGTCCCAGCAACGTCCCTGGAAATAGTCGCTCAGACGCGGAGAATTTCTGAGATGCACGAATGGAAAGCTGAGTAAGTGTTGAATAAAGACAGTTGATCAACTGATAATGCATTGCACTTTTTTGGTCCCCAGTGACACATTGATTTGCATTCTCTCAGATTCCCAGAAGTGAGATAGCACCACTGTTCCTTATTCCATTGTACACAAAGGGAAACTGAGACCCAGAATAGGGAAACAACGATGACTCAGCCAGCAACAGAACTGAGACCTGCCCTGAGACGCCTGTCTCCCATTTCCTCTTTCCAAACAGGTCATCTCCCTTCCTCATTGCCGCCCCAGGCCCTGGAGGCCACAGCAGAGGTAGCCTGATTCCCACAGCCCCTCTCTCCTCTCTCTCCAGGCTGGTCCGGGAGTTCGTGGCCCAGAACAATACCGTGCAAATCAAGCATGTGATCCAGACCCTGTCCCAGGAGTTTGCCCTGTCTCAGCACCCCCACAGCCGGAAAGGGGGCCTCATCGGCCTGGCCGCCTGCTCCATCGCACTGGGCAAGGTGGGCCTTTCACCCAAGGGACAGACATACCAGTCCTGGCCTTGACGCTGACCAAGCCATCCCGATGCCTTCCCTGTCAAGACCCAGTAGGGCATTGCAGACCTATGTTTTATTACCACTCTGTCCGCACCTGAGACCAGCAAGGCTGGCTTTGCGGCCTTGCAGCCTGGTCCCCTAGGCATGGGCCCTCTCCTGGGAATGAGGCTTGGGAAGGGTCTTTGAGCCCAGCCCTCACACAAAGGCCTGAGCACCTTCAAGGGAGCTGGGATGTCAGCTGGCACTGCAGGCTGCAGGGCCTGGGCTCCAACCCATTCTGATCTGTCTTCTCCTCCTGCCTCCTTGCAGGACTCAGGGCTCTACCTGAAGGAGCTGATCGAGCCAGTGCTGACCTGCTTCAATGATGCAGACAGCAGGCTGCGCTACTATGCCTGCGAGGCCCTCTACAACATCGTCAAGGTGGCCCGGGGCGCTGTGCTGCCCCACTTCAACGTGCTCTTTGACGGGCTGAGCAAGGTAACCGCCCTCCTCCTCCTCCTCACTGAGCTGCGCTTGGTTCCCCCACCTCACTTGACCTTCTGGAACCTTGGACCCCTTTTCCCAGATGCAAGCAGAGCAAACAAGCATGTGGCTGCAAGGGACACTTACTGTCTGTTGAATCTAATCATTTTTAATGGACTTGCATTTATACCTTTTTTCATTTCTCTTTTAATTCATTTTGATTGCATTTGATATAAGTATCAGTCTGCCATACAGTAGAGGGAAGAAGCTGATAGTCTGTGAAACACTCGCCTCCCTGGTAGAAGGGGATGATGCTGACGCCATCATCCAGACCGTACTTTCCCTTTAGGGAGGGCTGCACTTAGTCTAGCTCATAAGTGCCCTAGAAAAAGCTCATGCTCTCCTCCGTGCCTCTTGCAGCCTGGTGGAGTTCCCTTCCCAGGCGCGGAGCAGCCCTGCAATGCTGCTGCCCCTGCAGAATGCCACGGAAGTTTCTAGAGTATCAGCCTCGCAGCTACCCTGTCCCCTCCTCCAGGAGTGGAACAAGGACCCAGCGCTTTAAGATTGGAAACCCCTGGGGAAGGCTGACGGGAAGCAACCCCGTGACCCAGTCACAACAGGGAACAGGAACCCCAGCGGGTCATGGGAGAAGTCCCTGAACAGAAGGGTATTTCCTGAATCTGCTCCTCAGCCAACTCCATTGTACCCACTCCCACTTTCCCAGCCTTTCTCAAATGTGTTCACCGAAAGGGTGATGTTCTTGCTAGATGTTCTGGGCTGCACCAAGGCCTCGGCTGCGGATTTGCAGGAAATCCCTGGTCTTGCATCCAACCGTGACCCTCGCCTCTGTGTCCCTCCCCTGTCTGTGCCTCTTGCAGCTGGCAGCCGACCCAGACCCCAATGTGAAAAGCGGATCTGAGCTCCTAGACCGCCTTTTAAAGGTATTTGTACTTTGTCCCCACTTTTATTTCTACAATCTGTTTCTCCCGTCTGTCTGTAAAGCTTAGAAATTCTGTCATTGGGAATGTTCTTCTTGAATTTAAAATATATTTTAAATTTACATGTACTCCCTGGTGTGCAGTTCTATGACAAGAATATCGAGCTCAATCACCACTATCAAATACAGAACTGTGCCATCACCCAAAATGTCCCCTTTTGTTGCCGCCACCTAGAGCAAAGAAGCTTGCCTGTCACTTTCCACACCTCTCTGGCCCTGACAGCAGGGGCCTGGGCATTCCATCCAGACCACAGAGAGTAGGGTCTTGCCATTCAGTTGGTTCTCTCGACTTTGCTTCCTGCTTTCAATCTACCCGTTTTTCGTATCCCGTGGACTGGGACAGGATGAATACTCCAGAGACCTCTTATGCCTAGCTCAGGATCTGCCATTTTCCTTGGTGGCCGCCTGAGCGCTGGAGCCAGCCCTGGGCAAGTGATTCAGCGAGGTCAGGCAGCCCTGGTCTCGGGCTCTCGGCAGCTCACTTTCCTCTGATCCACAGGACATTGTGACTGAGAGCAACAAGTTTGACCTGGTGAGCTTCATCCCCTTGTTGCGAGAGAGGATTTACTCCAACAACCAGTATGCCCGGCAGTTCATCATCTCCTGGGTAAGGCCTGGCCGGACACCGTTTCTCCAGCCTCCAGTTTGGAAAATCTGCTCTCTAGCACACTCTTGTCAGGCCCTTTGGCTATAGGAACCCTCCATGTTCTCCCTTGAATAGCCATTAACACCTGATAATTCAAAAACACCTTATTCAGCTTTGCCCCCGAAACCCACCATGTTGGCCCTGAAGGGATCAGGTTCTTGTTGCCCTGGAAGGGAGTCCAGTTCTTTCCTTGTCCCAGAAAACACCTGAGTTTCCTTTAAAGCCAGCAGTGCTACTTCCAGCAATCTCACTTTTTCTAGCCTTTTCTGTCCTTCCCCATCCATCCCCTTCTCCCCTGGGCATCCGAATTTCCTTAGAGTCAAATTGCCATTCCCCTGCACATTAAACAAGAAATGCTGACTGTCCTTGCCAGCACCCTCCTCCCACATGGGACACCTGCACTGCAGGGAAATGCTGTCTCAGCAGGGTCCCCTTCCTACAGCCCAGTCCCAGAGGCTTGGTGAGCAGGAAACAGGGTTCTGGAGCTGACTTCCCCTCCTGTTCCCTTCCCCTGGTCAGATCCTGGTTCTGGAGTCGGTGCCAGACATTAACCTGCTGGATTACCTGCCGGAGATCCTGGATGGACTCTTCCAGATCCTGGGTGACAATGGCAAAGAGATTCGCAAAATGTGAGTGGAGTAAGGGGCAGGAAGCTGCTGCCTCCTGCCACCCCCAGCTGTGCCCATGTGCTTCATGCCCACAGAGAGGCCGCGGCAGGAGGGCAGGAAATCACCTCTTCTTCCTGGCTCTTGTGCTTCCCGCTTTGAGGAGCCAAGAGCCCATCAACCCCCAGCATCTGAAAATGATCACCTGACAAGTCCAAAAGCCAAGCCGCCCTCTGGGTGGCTGACCCAGCACGGAAATGGGGCTGGTTTGAGGCTCCTCCAGCCCTGGCTGACCCTCGCTGTTTCCACTTTCCTGTTCTTGTTCATAGGTGTGAGGTTGTTCTTGGAGAATTCTTAAAAGAAATTAAGAAGAACCCCTCCAGTGTGAAGTTTGCTGAGATGGCCAACATCCTGGTGATCCACTGCCAGACAACAGGTGAGTATTGGGGGAGGGCCCACAGCCACGGCTGCCACTGCTGCTGCCACTGCCACCTCTGCAGAAGCCCCTTTCACCATCTCAGCTTCAGTGAGGGGGCAGGGGAGATTCCTGGTAGGAATATTAGCCAGTGTGACAGTGGGCCCTGGGAGAGGTGGAGTGCTGGGTCTCACAGAGGGAGGTCTGGGTTCTGTCACCACAGAGACACAGAGGTCCTTTCACCTGGTGTGTGTGGCCTGTGTGGAGTAAGATCTGGAGGTTTCCTTACTGGTGAACTTGGCCTTAGCCCTGAGACTTGAAATGCTTGGAGCTTGGGATTATGTATCTGTTCACTTCTGCTGAGTATCAAACCACCACAAAACGTCATTCCCTAAAACAGCAGTCACTTATCATAAGTCTGTGGGTCACCTGGGTGGTTCCACTCACCTGGGCCAGGATTGGCTAGGCTCAATCAAGTACCTGCTGTTAACTGTAGGGTTGCTGGGGTGGATGGGCCACAGTGGCCTCACTTATGTCTGGCAGTTGTCTGGCTCATGTCATGCCGGGACCATGGGGGCAGCTGGACCACATGTCTCATCGTCCAGCAGGCTAGCCTGGGCATGCTCATATGGCATCAGTGGGATTCCAAGACAGACAGTAGAAGTGAGCAAGGCCTGTTGAGGCCTAGGCTTGATCCAGCCACATCATCACTTCCACCACGTCTCATTGGCCAAAGAAGCAAGGCCAGCCCAGATTCAAGGGGTGGAGAAGTTAATTCCACTCTTGATGAGAGGAGGAGCAGAGTCCCAGTGCAGAGGGGCAGGGATGCGGCTGCCCTTACAGTCTAGCACAGGATTGTTGCTCCGTCCCAGCCTGTGTCTCCACCTTTGGAAGGCAAAGCACACAGGTAGTAGAGCATTGGTGAGGCTGGAAGCCGTCAGGCGCTTGGGTTCCACAGGCCGCCAGCCCCATCCCACGTGTATGGTCAATGGGAGGGAGCACTCGGGCTGCGTGTGCTGGCCCCTCTGAACCCCCTGATTCCCCTTCCAGATGACCTCATCCAGCTGACAGCCATGTGCTGGATGCGGGAGTTCATCCAGCTGGCGGGCCGCGTCATGCTGCCTTACTCCTCCGGGATCCTGACTGCTGTCTTGCCCTGCTTGGCCTACGATGACCGCAAGAAAAGTATCCTTTGCTTTGGGAGAGAATAATTGAGAGAAGCCCCAAAGGGATTATGAAGTTGAGGGACCCTGCACTGGGGGCTGGGGGCTCTCTTAGGATCCATCACACTTCCATAGTCCCTAGCAGCTCGGGAAAAAGAGATGGAGCCAAACGTGGATTAGGAAAGCCAGGGACCCGGGGCTGATGCTGGCTGTCCCCACACCTTGCCTGGTTACTTGCAGATCTGGAGCAGCTCTCTGGGGCCCCAAAGTTCCAACCCTCTGAGTTCATACTGCCCCACCTTGGGCTGGGGAGATCCTGTTGGTGGGAGGGTTTAGGAAGGGGTCCTAAGAGAAGAAATAGGCGCATTTCACAGGGGCACCAGTATGACAAGGAGAGCAGGGGCTCAGTTCGGACAGCCTGTCTGCCTAACGTAGCCCTGAGACGACTGAGCTCCAGACTAGGAATACGAGGTTCAGAGAAGCCTCCCCTGGCTGGGACCACTCTATATTAACCCATTTTGCGTTGCTATAAAGGAATACCTGAGGCTGGGTAATTTATAAAGAAAAGAGGTTGCTTCAGCTCCCGGTTCTGCAGACTCTACAGGAGGCATGGTGCCAGCATCTGCTTGGCTTCTGGTGAGGCCTCAGGAAGCTTTTAGTCATGGCAGAGGCAAAGAGGAAGCCAGCAGGTCACATGGCAAGAGAGGGAGCAAGAGAGGTGGGAGGCTTTTTGAAAGAACGAGCCCCCTCATGAATAATAATAGAGCAAGAACTCACTCAACTCGCTCAGTACCATGGGGAGGGCACCAAGCCATTTGTGAGGGATCCACCCCCATGACCGAAACCCCTCCCACCAGGCCCCACCTCCAACACTGGGAATCACATTTCAGCAAGAGATTTAGAGAGACAGGCATCCAAATCAGATCACGCTCCTTACATCAGTGGACTCAGGCATCAAAGAAGTGGCCAACGTGTGCAACCAGAGCCTGATGAAGCTGGTCACCCCCGAGGACGACGAGCTGGATGAGCTGAGACCTGGGCAGAGGCAGGCAGAGCCCACCCCTGACGATGCCCTGCCAAAGCAGGAGGGCACAGCCAGTGGTGAGTGGACTCCGTCCCTACACCTCACCTCCTGTCGGGGGCCCAGGGAGCCAGATGTCATAGGAGTTGCCTTGGGGCCTCACTTAAGCAACCAGGACTACTTTATGTATGTCACTCACACAATTGTAGCAGCAACCCAGCGCAGTGGCAGCAGTGGTTCTCCCCCATTCTGCAGACAGGACACAGGGAAGCTGAGTACCATGGCCACACACTCGCAGCTAGTGAAGACTGGAACCGGATTGGAACCCAGGCAGGCTGTCTCCAGCAGCCATGATCTTAACCCTTCCTGCCTCAAAGACCATGAAGCCTTTCCTTCATCTTTTTCCTGGATTCACGGGAAAGAGTTGTTTTCAGGGCAGGAAGGTTTGGAGCATGGGAGGAGTACCAGGATTCAGGGGGCACTTGATTCTTGGCCGTAGACGTCCAGCCACCAAGAAGCCTGGCTGCCTTTACCATGCGGGTCATTCTCAGGGTGGGAGGGTTAAGAAAGCTCTAGCTTCGATTTATTCTGTACTTGAAAATTCTCTTGCCCAAATAAGTGCCTTTAAAAAGTGAAGTTGCTCTGCTCTCCTTTCAGACTCCTCTAACATAATTTTCTTGTTTAGCTGTAAGGTAAAGAAAACTGCATTATAAGAAACCACATTTATGGCCGGGCTGGGTAATCCCAGCACTTTGGGAGTCTGAGGCAATCTGCATGAACTCAGGAGTTTGAGACCAGCCTGGGCAACATGGCAAAACCCCATCTCTACCAAAAAAAAAAAAAAAAAAAAATTACAAAAATTAGCCAGATATGGTGGTGCACACCTATAGTCCCAGCTCCTCAGGAAGCTGAAGCGGGAGGATCACTTGAGCCCAGGAGCCCAGGAGGCAGAAGTTGCAGTGAGCTATGATCACACCACTGTATTCCAACCTAGGCAACAGAGAAAGACCCTATCTCAAAAAAAAAAGAAAAAAGAAACCACATTTATGCCGACTGGCATCTGGAATTTGACTCCAGATGTAATCTAGAACCCTGATGCTTTCATATTTCTTGGGTCTCTGTCCTCACCAAGAGGTCACTGATCAGCTTTGGGTTGATGTCCTCCTTTGCCGAAGCAGCCAGAGTAAACTGAGATATAACCTACTCAGATTTTTTTTTCTAGTTAAATTCCATTTATTACAAATCTAACATTTAGCAAACATCTGTTATACATCAAGCTGTGTTTACCAGACAAAGTCCTTGTGCTCCAGAGGCTTACAGTCTAGTCAAGGAGGCAAGACAGCAAAACAAGACAAATCAACCAGTGGTAAAAGAAATCACAGCATTCAGTAGAATAACCCACAAGGCCATAAAACAAGAGAAACAAGTGAATGACAGTTTCAGCTAATTTGTCAAGAAATTTTTTATAGGGAAGACTAAGCCTACTCAGATCTTTAAGGATAACAGAGTAAGGTCTGGAACCTGCCCACAGGAGCCAAAAGAATTGCTGAGCATTCTCCCATTGCCATTCATGGACTTTTCTTTTGAACAGCTGAGCAGAATGTCAAGCATGCATGCCCCACCTCCTCCCATAGGTTTGGCTGGTAAAATCCAGCAGCTGTCCATGCTGGACCCATCTCAGGTGTCAGGTTACAGCTGTGCCATCACCACTGTGAATCAGAGCAACAAAACAGCTGGAGGCAGAACAGCACTCAGCTGGAGCATTGGTGGTTCAGTGGTAGAATTCTCGCCTGCCACGCGGGAGGCCCGGGTTCGATTCCCGGCCAATGCAGCAGCTGAAAGCTTTTTGGCAGCTCCTGGAAAAAGAAAACTTGGAGAAATAAGTTAACTTGGAGGGATAAGCTAGTGCGGGCCTTCAAAGGGAGGAGCTTTTTTTACTGGGAGAAACTAGAAGACTCGGGGATACATATTTTGTGACCTCTCACTGAAATATGAGTGTTTGATTTTTGTTTTCTAATTCTAATTTTAGAAAATTTGGAAAGTAGAGAAAAATGCAAAGAAACAAGACTATCCCCAAGAGGCAATGAATGTTCAAATTTTGATGTATTTTTTCCAGTTTTTAATATATATACGTAGTTAAGATCATAGAACTTAACACAGCTTCACCTTCTGCTCTGTTTGTTTGAAGTTCACAGTGCCTCTTAATCCATAGTCAGAAAATAGAGTAACAGTTGCCTGGGTTTGAAGAAAAGGAGAATTGGGACTGACTGCTTACAGATGCCCGGTTTCTTTTTGGGGTTATGGAGATGTTCTAGAATTAAATAGAGGTGATGGGTGCACAACTTTGTGAATGTACTAAAAACTACCTAGTTGAACACTTTGAAAATGGTGAAATTTTTGTTATGTGAAATGTTATATGAATTATATCTCAATTTAAAAAAAAAAAAGTCAGTGCCTATTCCTCTAAATTAGAACCCAACAGCCCCTGCCACCTTTCTGCTTATGTGGCAAGAAGTCAAGCCCGCTAGAAAGGAACCACTCCATCCTGTGGGTCGTGGCCTCAACTAAAAACATCCCTACCAGCTGGAGCATTGGTGGTTCAGTGGTAGAATTCTCGCCTGCCACGCGGGAGGCCCGGGTTTGATTCCCGGCCAGTGCAGCCTATCTACCTTTTTAGATGGTTTTCCTAAGCATTTTTTCACACAGCTGCTTGCCCAGGAGAGTATTACCCTAACCAGGATACATTCATGCCTCTTGGCTCTGGATTTTACTGCCTCATAAACAGCATTTCAGCAGATGAAAAGCTCACTTTGTACTAGTTCCCAGAGATGGTAAGAGCTAATTTGGCGCCTTTACATCCACTCTCAGCCCTGCTTAGCTTGTAACTAACTAATCACCAGTCTTTTACCAAGGTGCCCAGGAGACAGTCCCTGCCAGCCGCAGGACAGATAGCTTCGCTGGTCAGGGACAAGTTCATCACAGCCTCTCCTGCTCACTCTTCCCTCTCTGCTCCCTCTGTTCCCACTCTGGTCCACCTGGCTGGAGACAGGACCTCATGCCTGGCCTTCTTTGTTTACTTGTGCTGATCCGCCGACAGCACCACGTTCCTCATGGCACACCTCCGGGCAAGAACCTTTGTGTGTGTGCATATTTGCACCCCTGCCCCACCTCCGCATCTTCTCCCTCCTCCTCTAACCACAGGACCTCCAGTCAGGGCAGCCCCTCATCTGTGCCTCTTCACTTGCTCCGACTCCCCCTTGGCCTGCCACTTGGGGCCATCCACAGCACAGTGCCGTTTCCCTGGTTCTGAGCTCTTATGGCACTTTGCGTGTCCAGCCTGGTCCCCTCCAGGACGTGACCTGATTGTCTCAGGAATGGCAGCAGAGATTCTGGGGTCTGAACAACCTGCCTATGAGTCCTGGCTCTGCTGACTTTATATCTGTTCCCCTCAGACAGCTGCCTACCCTTTCTGAGCCTCAGATTTCTTATTTGTTAAGTAGGGTAACAATAGTAATACCTAACCTATAGTGTGGTTGTGTGTTTCAGACAAAATTTTTGCATGTAAATCGCTTAGCACATGACAAACACTAACGGGTGCTTCAGTGTTGTTTTAATACATGTTTATGGCTGGGCATGGTGACTCATGCCTGTAATCCCAGCACTTTGGGAGGCTAAGGCAGGCGGATCATTTGAGGTCAAGAGTTCGAGACCAGCCTGGCCAACATGGTGAAACCCCGTCTCTACTAAAAATACAAAAATTAGGGGCCAGACGCGGTGGCTCACACCTGTAATCCCAGCACTTTGGGAGGCTGAGGTGGGCGGATCACGAGGTCAGGAGTTCGAGACCAGCCTGGCCAGCATGGTGAAACCCCATCTCTACTAAAAATACAAAAAATTAGCCAGTCATGGTGGTGCATGCCTATAGTCCAAGCTACTTGGGAGGCTGAGGCAGGAGAATTGCTTGAACCTGGAAGGCAGAGGTTGCAGTGAGCCGAGATCACACCACTGCAGCATAGGCAACAGAGCAAGACTCCATCTCAAAAAAAAAAAAACCTGGTAGAATTTTTTAAACAAGACCCACAAGCAAAAATTATTAAAAAAAAAAAAAATTGAAACAAACCATATTTAAATTAAAAACTGAAGGTGGTGTGGTGGTGCGTATCTTTAATCCCAGCTACTCAGTTTGCTGAGGTACAAGGATCCCTTGAGCCCAGGAATTTAAGTCCAGCCTGGGCAATATAGCGAGACCCCATCTCAAAACAAAATAAAATTGGTGTAACTGAAAAAAGGTTAAAAGTTACAAGGCAAGGCCCAGACTGGGAGAAGATATTTGCAATGTATTTTGTCATTAAAGAGTTAGTATCCAAACACAAGAAAGAGCTCTTTTAAGTCAGAAGAAAGAAATGGAAGAAAAATGTGAAAGTCCATGACAGGGCCATTAATCCTTTATGTAACAAATGGGCCAGGTGCAGTGGCTCATGCCTGTAATCCCAATACTTTGGGAGGCTGAGGCGGGAGGATTGCTTAAAGCCAGGAGTTTGAGACCAGCCTGGGCAACAAAGTGAGAGACCCTGTCTCTACAAAAATAATAATTTTAAAAAATTAGCTGGGCGAGGTGGCACACACCTTTAGTCACAGCTACTTGGGAGACTGAGGCAGGAGGATCTCCTGAGCCCAGGAGCTCGAGGCTGCAGTGAGCCATGATCACGCCACTACAGCCTGGGGGAGAGAATGAGACCCCATTTCTAAAAAACAAACAAAAAATGCTACAATAGTTCTTATGGTGGGTGTCATTTTAAACACCTAACAAATGTTAGCTCATTCATTGTCATAGCAAGCTTAGGGTATAGGTACTGTCATTACCCCCATTGTACAGGTGAAGAAAGGCTTTAGAAGGGGTAACTGCTCTTCCAATTTGGAAATACACATAAATTGGTAGAACCTAAAGGACAATACCTATTAAAATAAGAAGTGCCCAATCCTTCCCCTCAGCAGTCCCACCCTGCATGAAAGCACAGGAGAGATGTAAGAGTGAAAATCTGGAGACAATCTAAATTAATTTGAGGCCAATTTCTGATGCCACATTATTTCATCTATAAATGTGGGTATTTCTAAAAGATGCCCTCCAGGGGCATGGAGTCCTGGCTGCTGTTCCAGTCTATCCTGCCCAGCTTTCCCCAGCTTTTCCTCACCTTTCCCCAGGCCCTGGTCCATCAGACAGACACCAGGCTGCCTGGGCCTTGGCACTAGGAGGACGAGCATCTGAGCGGGCCCAGCCCCCTGCCACAGCTGCCCCTGTCCCCTCTGAGCTGCGTCCTGGGTCTACAGGGGGCAGGCAGCAGTACAGACATGGAAATAAAGGCCCCCTTTACTAGGAGAAAAGGTCTATGGCCCGCACCTAGAATAGCACTGCTCTAAGCCATAGGACAGAGTGAAAGATGCAAGTTGCAGAAAATAAGTTTTGTGATCCCGTTTATGTTTACAAAATAAGAAGTAGGACAGCACAAGCCAGCACAAGAGACTTGCCTACCCCGGGGAGCGGTGATGGGCAGGTAGAGAAAAGTAAGATTGAAGATTAAGGAGAGAAAGAGGTTTTGCTTTGTGTTTGAAAATTTTAGAATGAGGATATATTTGTATAATTTAAAACTTTTAAGAGGCCAAGGCTGGTATCATTTGAACAACAATATAAATAATGATCATTTTGATTTGTAACCCACGGAATAATATCAATATCCAGGAGTCCATAATGACATAAATAATTGAATTGATTAATGGTGGAGAAGGGACAGCTCTTCCTTACAGAAAACTTCAGTCAATACGCTGGGCATGGTGGCTCACGCCTGTAATCCCAGCACTTTCAGAGGCTGAGGTGGATCAATCACTTGAGGTCAGGAGTTTGACACCAGCCTGGCCAACATGGTGAAACCCCATCTCTACTAATAATACAAAAAAAAAAATTAGCCGGGCATGGTGGCGCGCCACTGTAATCTCAGCTACTCAGGAAGCTGAGGCATGAGAATCATTTGAACCCGGGAGGCGGAGGTTACAGTGAGCGCCAAGATCATGCCATTGCACTTCATCCTGGGTGACAGAGTCAAACCGTATCAAAAAAAAAAACAAGGAAGGAAGGGAGGGAGGGAGGGGAGAGGGGAGAGGGGGAGAAAGAGAAAAGAAAATTTTAGTCAATAATGGAGGAAAAGGGGAGACAGAAATCACCATCAGGCAAATTCCACAGTAATATTTGTTATAGGCAAGCTCCAGCCCTGAGTGCTGCGGTCAATCACTGGGGACATGTTTGAGGGAAAACAGAATATTTTTCCAATCTTAAGTATCTTCCCCCAAGTTATTTATTAATTACAAACAGAAAAACAGTAACCTTACAGGGGAGAAACCCAGCAGACACTGTGCGTCAGGCGATGAGGTTAACGTCACCAGTAATGAGGCTAACAGACAACACGTTCCCCCGATAGGGTGCACTGAGGCGCAGCACTTCCGTGACATCCCTCCAATGATGCGCAACTCCCTACTCGTGAGAAAACGTGAGACCAACCCAAACGGGGAGACATTCTGCAGAGTGACCAGCGCTTCAAAAGTGTCAAGTTTATGAAAGACACACAGATTGAGGGGCTGCAACAGATTGGAGGAGACAAAGAAGACAGTTTAGCTAAATGCAGTGTGAGATCCTGGAACAAAAGGCCAGGAATGGAAAAACTCGTGATGTTCAAATTAGGGTAATCATTTAGTTAATGGTAGTGTATCGAAGTTAACCTTCTGGGTTTGATCATTGAACTATGGAGCCGGGCATGGTGGCTCACGCCTGTAATCCCAGCACTTTGGGAGGCTGAGGTGGGTGGATCACTTGAGCCCAGGAGTTTGTAACCAGCCTGGGTAACACGACAAAACCCCATCTCTACTGAAAATACAAAAAAAAAAAAAATTATCCGGGCTTAATGGTACGTGCCTATAGTCCCAGCTACCCTGGAAGCTGAGGTGGGCTCAATCTCTTGAGTGCAGGAGGCGAAGATTGCAGTGAGCCAAGGTTGTGCCACTACACTCCAGCCTGGGCAACAGAGCCAAGACTCTATCTCAAAAAAAAATAATAATAATAATAATTGAACTATGGGTATGTACAATGTTAGCATTAGGGGCAGCTGGCTAAAGGGTATAAAAAGAATTCTTTACTCTTTTTGCAACTTTTCTGTACATCTAAAATTATTTCACAACTACAAAAAATTAGTATCAGGAGTCTGGAATTTTTTCCTATAGCACCTCCCACCCCAAGCACTGCAGGACTGCCAGCCCCCTCTTCCCTCCTCAGTGCAGTGAGAGCTGTGGCCAGTGCCTAGACGGGGACTGAAGGCGGAACAGGATCCTACCAGCAGCTTTCCAGATCTAGAACATCTTGGCTCTTTAGGAAACTTGATTAGATGCCAAAAGAAAAAGGTTGGAATTTAAAGGTTATTCCTTAACTGAGAAAAATAAGTAGTCGATGCCAGGTAGATGCTTTTCTACCCTGGGTTATATGATGGTAAGTTAAATACTAAGACAGGTATTGAGTTGGCCACTTGGAGGAAGACTCGGGCACAGACACAGTGCAGTCACAGTCCTTTCCCCAAAGTCATTTTTTAAGCCCTTTATTGAGATAGAATTCATGTACCACACAATTCACCCAACATCAAGTGTACAATTCAGTGACTTTGTAGATTCACAGGGTTATGTAACCATCACCACAATCAATTTTAGAATATTTTCCGTGCCCTTGAAAGAATCCATTAGCCATTATACCCTATTCCCCCGTCTCCTCCAGTCCTAGGCAACCTCCAGTCCATTTTCCGTCTCCATAGGTTTGCCTGTTCTAAACACTTTCGAGAAAGGGATACAATATGTAGTCTTTTATGACTGGCTTCTTTCACTTAACACAATGTTTTTAAAGTTCATTTTTATGGCGTGCATCAGTACTTCATCCCTTTTTATTGCCAAATAATAGTCCATTGTATGGCTATACCACACCTCATTTATCCATTCATCTGTTGATAGATATTTGGGTTGCTTCTGCTTTTTGGCTATTGTAGATAATGCTGATGTGAACATGATTGATATACAAGGTTTCATGTGGCCATAAGTTTTCATTTCTCTTTGGCATATACCTAGGAGTGGAGCTGCTGAGTCATGTGGTGACTATGTTTAGCCTTTGGAGGAATGGCCAGACTGTTCTCCAAAGCAGCTTGCACCATTTTACATTCCCACCAGCAATGTACGAGGGTTCCAGTTTCTCCACATTCTCATCAACACTTGCTATTATTTGTCTTTTATTTTAGCCATCCTGATGGGTGTACAGTAGTATCTTGTGGTTTGGATTTGCATTTTCCTGATAGCTAAGGATGCTGGGTATTATCTGTCATTTTAAACATCCATTCCCCTCAGGCCAGTGATCCCTTCTGAGATTTGACAGATGTGTTTAGCACTGGTGTCCCCTCCTTGTGAGATCACTGTGACTACAGACTTACAAGCTTGGGGACTATCGAGAATGACTGGGCGTTGGTTGGGTCCTCAGGGCTCCAGAGCCATGGTCCTTTTGAAGAGCCTGAATCAAGGTATGGGGCTCTGGAGAGTTCTGTGTGTGCTTGTCACAGGGGTCTTGTTTATTCAAGAGAGCCAACAGCCTTTCATGACCCCTTGTTCCTCTTCCTCTCCCAGGAGGTCCAGATGGTTCCTGTGACTCCAGCTTCAGTAGCGGCATCAGTGTCTTCACTGCAGCCAGGTAAGTGGCTTGTTTCAGCCAGAAGGTTTGTGGAAAGCGAGCGGCCTAGATCTTTCCTGGATGCGGGAGACTACAGCAATGACCCAAGGCAAATTCTACTCGCGGCTGCTGCTTTTGGGACACCCTCGTACACAAAAGAGTTAATTGATGAAGGAATCTGAAGGACACTGAGCAAGCCCACCCCACCCAGGCTTGATGGATAGATAGGGCGGATTAGAAGCCACTGGGGGCCAGACATGGTGGCTTATGCCTCTAATCCCAGCACTTGGGGAGGCCAAGGCAGGCACATCGCTTGAGCTCAGGAGTTTAAGACCAGTCTGGGCAACATGGCGAGACCCTGTTTTTACTGAAAATACAAAAAATTATCTGGGCCTGGTGGCGTGTGCCTGTAGTCCCAGCTACTTGGGGAGGCTGAGGTGGGAGGATCACTTGAGCCAGAGGTTGAAGTGAGCTGAGATCACACCACTGCACTCTAGCCTGGATAACAGAGTGAGACCATGTCTTAAAAAAAAAAAAAAGGAATGAAAGAAAATGGATTGTTCTTACTTATTTTTAAATATTAAAAAAAAATTAAGCTATTGGAGGTCAGTAAACGCAAGTTATAATAATAAAAGTACAGCTAATACATGGTGACTGCAGTGAGACACAGTTGCCTTGACTCATCGCTGTCTGTTTGTCCAGGATGATGGGGGGCCAACAAGACCCACAAGGGGAAGTCTGTTCAAGGACAGCCTGAGCATGGGCAGTCATTAATCATGTCCAAGATTAAGGATAAATCACCGGCCCCAGGAGCTGTTGTCTCCTGTGCGCCCAGGTCAGCTGTAATGGCGCAGTCTTCCACATGGGGGCAGTGCAGACCAGGCAGCAAAATAATTCTCTTCCTTGGGGCTCCCTCCATACTCCCTGCAAGGTGAAGGGACTCCCCGCGGAAGGTACTGTAACGGTTCTGCCCTGGTCTGAGTCCCCTGGACTTGCCCCATGTCACTTTTTCTTTGGGTGACCTTGGCATCTCTGGGGCTAGAGTGGATGGTGGGTCTCATACAGGGGTTTCTTTCCCCTGAACTTGACAGTGAACCTGGGCCCTGGGAGAGCCAATCACTCATGAAGAGAAAGTGTGCACTCTACCCCAAGAGGCTCTTCCCCCCAGACCCCTAGCTAGGGTTCTTCCCTCATCGATGTCATTTGTGAACTTATCCTCATCCCTCAGCACCCTGAGCATGTTTTCCAAGCACGCAGGTGCAGCCGTTTATGAAATGTACCACTAGGAGTCCCCTACGTTGATGGAGGAGATCAGCGAATGTTGCCATTCTCTCCTTTTCACATAGCTGCCACGCGTTCCAGTGCACCTGCCTGTGCTCACCCCTGTAGGCTCCAAGATAAGAGCTGGCCCCTGAATGTGTCCCTGACCTTCATTCATTTACTCCAGTGGTGAGGCAGAGAAGTAGCCAGGAAGTTACTGGAAAGAGGAGTGATTGATGTGAGGGGTGAAGTTACCAGAAAGGGAGGGCCATGGTGCCTGAGCCCAGGCAATGAGAAGACTGGCTGGGAATAACAGCTAATGCCAGTCAACATAGCCAGGCTTCCAGGGCCCCAGCGCAGTGCTAAACCTTTACGTCGGATCCTTCAGCTTTGTCTGAGTCTCGTGGGGTCAGTAGTATTACTTTCATGGCAGGGACGAGAAGGGAGGAAGAACGGGGCTGCTCTGTGGACAGTGGATCTAGGAGGGGCCCGGTGGATGCAGACCCGCTAGGGAGCTGTCACCGTTGTCCCCATCAGAGGGGATGGGGGCTCAGGCTGGGGAGGAGCAGCATGTGGAGAAAGTTGGGTGGGTTTGAGCTCTGTGTTGAGAACCACAGGACTCACTGATGGGTGGGATGGGGTAGGCAGGAGAGAGGTGAGGGAAAGACTGCCTTCTAGAAATTTGGTGTGAGCCAGACCCCCGCTATCCTAGTGTCATTTGCACACCAGGGCTGGAAGGAGGAGCAGGTGTGGGTGGGGTGGTCAAGAGCTCGTTCCAGGTGGCTCTGAGCATCCCAGGAGAAAGGGGGAGGCAGACTCAGGTACTGGGTCCTGGAACTCGGGGAACGGTCTGGACAGACATGCGAGGACTTGTGTATCCTGCAGAGGGCTTAGCTTTTGCGCTGGAGGCTGTGGAGACAGTGTCACAAGTGGGAATGGCAGGATCTGATCTGGGATTTAAAAGCCTCCCTCTGGCAGCCAAAAGCCTGTTGTAGACTTGTCTCTGTAATCTGGGCTATGGGGATTGAGGGGGAGGTCGGGGAGGTCTAGGAGAAGGCAGAGGTAGGCTTAAGCCATGGGCTGCAGAGGGGCACCGCTGTCCGCTGCCTCGCTGGGGAGACTGTGCTACTGTCGGCTGGGATGAGCCTACAGGAGCCCTCAGTTCTTGTGCCAAGGCCAGGAAGTGCTAGACTGGACGAGGGTTTTGGTTTATACTTGTCATTCAGGAGCCAATGCCAAATCCTACCTAAAATCCAAACCATCCTACCTAAAAAACCAAACAAGAACAAATGATCTAGTGCTTCCTGACTTTTGGTGACAGAGATCCCCACGTGGCAGCTGCACAGTCAGTGTCACCAGCTGTGCTCAAGAGCTGGGCACCTTCAGAGTTGTAAAACCAGAGCCAACATGCCCGGGCTCCAGCCCACCACCTTCTTCCCACAGCGGGTATTGACACAGTGAGACTGAGCTTGGACACGGGTGGGATCGTGCAGAGTTGCCAGGTAGCCAGACCCACCCTGTGATTCTTCAGCTGCGCCGCTTGCCCAAGGCACCACGTGAGGCCACCAGTTTCACTCAGTTCAGGTCTGCCCAGGGTGGTGGCCAGACTGGAGACTCCTCCCACGGCAGAAAGGCATTCCCACCTGGCTGGAAACTGCCATGGTGGTGGCAGTCCTGTGCCTCTGAGTGGCCATTGACCCTTGGAGAGCCTGATGAAAGCTATGGACCCTCTTCCAAAAAAAATGCACATCCACAGCTGGGCACGGTGGCTCACGCTTATAATCCCAGCATTTTGGGAGGCCAAGGCAGGTGGATCACCTGAGGTCAGGAGTTCGAGATCAGCCTGGCCAACATGGTGAAACCCCATCTCTACTAAAAATAAAAATTAAAAAAAAAAAAAAAATAGCCAGGCGTGGTGGCACTTACCTGTACTCCTAGCTACTTGGGAGGCTGAAGCAGGAGAATTGCTTGAACCTGGGAGGCGGAGGTTTCAGTGAGCCGAGATCGCGCCACTGCACTCTAGCCTGGGTGACAGAGCGAGACTCTGTCACACACACACCAAAAAAATGCACATCCACATGAAATTCTGAATTCACTTTCAGGGGTTCAAGGATCACCATGGAAGCAATCCTTGCATCCCAGATTTTTTATGAAAGATTTCTCACTTGGACCGAAACACAGGGAGAATTAACTGACTAAACCTGAGAGCAGAAGCTGTCTTCCCCCTCCCTCATCTCCCCTCTTCCTGCGATACTCGGGAAGCCCCTGGTGGCCCCAGGCTTAGCCATGGAAGAATGCCACCTGGAAAAGCAGCAGGTGGTGAGGTGGCTGTAGGTCTGGGTTCCTCCACCCTCCAGAGCATGGGAAATACATGGGAGGTGGAAAATTGGACTCCCCAGGGAGAGGTGGAACGTGAAGGAACCCGGTTGGAGGAAGCATGCTTGCCAGCTGAGGAAAGGGTTAAGAGAGAAATGTCTCCACTGGGTGTGTTCTCTCTCGTGACTGCTCTGCCTGGTGGAGCCAACTGCCTGGATTCATGCCCTAACTCCAGCATGCCTGGCTGTGGCCTTGGTCAAGTAGCGTGATTTCCCCCGCCTCAGTTTCCTCATCTTTAAACTCAGTATAATGATAGTACTGACCTCAAAGGGATATGGGGCTTCAGTGAGTTAAAGTATGTAAAGAACAGCCAGGCACAGTGGCTCACGCCTGTAGTCCCAGCACTTTGGGAGGCCAAGGCAGGCTGGTTGCTTGAGCCCAGGAGTTAGAGACCAGTCCAGGGCAACATGGTGAAAACCTGTTTCTACAAAACATACAAAAATGAGCTGGGTGTGGTGGCACATTCCTGTAGTTCCCACTGCTTAGGAGGCTGAGTTGGAAGGATCAGTTGAGCCCCGGAGCTTGAGGGTGCAGTGAGTCATGATTGTACCACTGCACTCCAGCCTGGGTGACAGAGCAAGACCCTGTCTCAATAATAATAATAATAATTTTTAAAAGCTTTTTAAGTATGTAAAGAACATAGCATGGTGCCTGGGCCGCAGAAAGCACTTTACACACTTTAGCTACAATTGTTATTACAAGAACCTTGTTATTATCCCCATCTTACAAATGAGGAAACAGACCCAGAGAGGTTAACTTCTTGCCCAGAGTCACTCAACTAATTAGTAGCCAAGCTGGAATTCAAGCTAGATCTGTCTGACTCCAGAGCCCGTGCATTTAACTTTATTAGTTGCAGTTGGAGAGTTCCACTTTTGCAGTTGGCCTCCCTAACTCATTTGATTTAGGAGTTCTCAAACAGGTGTTGTATGAAGTCCCCACTATGAGGCTCA
Source organism: Homo sapiens (assembly GCF_000001405.40). Lineage (NCBI taxonomy): Eukaryota > Metazoa > Chordata > Mammalia > Primates > Hominidae > Homo > Homo sapiens. The sequence goes on along the minus strand of NC_000016.10, from coordinate 70,767,543 downwards.
GGCTGTTGCCAAGGGTCATGATGTCTTCAGTGACACCAGCTCTCCTGGTGTAGCTAGCTGCCCTGTAAATAAGCAGGCAGAAAGTTCTAGAAATCAGTATTTCCCAGCTTGTAGCCTCTGCTGATTGAAAAAATTTATAATTATCTGTATTTTAAAGAGCAAGTTCAATTTCAGAAGCAATTCTATTTTTAGATTTACCTTTCTTCTGATTTGATTAGAGATGTAACCCGAACACTGTAAAAAGTTAGACGTTACAGAAATGAAGTGCTGTCTCCCTGAGAGAACAACTGGAACTTATTATTATTTATTGGTAATATCAGAAGCATTATTCAGTAAATCTATATTTTAATAGTCACAGCAGCGCCATGCATTTGGAAACTGTAGTACGCGTATGTGTAAGACATTCATTATAAGATGCTTTATGAGAAAATGCTCCATGAAAATGGAATTTTGCAGACACCTTGAAATAACTCAGAAGCCCCCAGGAGTGACTCGTCTAGACTTTTTGGAACTGATGCAGAAATGTATTTTAAACTGAGTGAGCTCCCTCTGTTCTTGATGGGTAAGGTAAGCCACGACAGCAGGGTGCTACCTCTCAGGCTCCGGCCCAGCAGCTGGGGAACTGAGCACATCATGCAGTGTGCCCTCTAGGAAGAGTGCAGGGTCCCAGAGCCCCAGTTCCCCTGCTGAGCATGTGCAGAGCTCAGCAGCAGCAGCCAACCCTGCCCAGCAGAGCAGCTGGGAGCCGACAGCAGCTGGGATCTTGACCCTCCCTTTCCTAGGCACTAAGATCAGTCTGCCTGGTCCTCTAGGGTCCACCTGCTTCCCATGACCTCCACCTCCAGCCAGGCAAGGGAAGAAAAGCCCAGGGAGAGTGTCTCCAGCCCAGGGAATGACTGCTTGGTACATGGCCTCATGGTCTCAGATGGGTCCCGTACTGCCTCTGGACCTGGGCTTGCTCATCCGTACCTTGAAGGATTGTGTTACCTGAACCATGAGGTTCCTTTTAGTGATGAGGTTCTGGGTTGAGTGCGGCAGGACCGCCTCAGTAGCAGCCTGAAGATGCCCTATACCTTCAGGTTCGCTGTGTTCAGGTGTTTGCTGTGGAGAAAGTTGGAGAATGTTAATACACGAAATGCTGCCAGTTCACATACCAGCTCCGTGATATGCTGCCGTTCTTTGGCCCTGACACAGCACCACTTGCAGGAGAGGCCCCACAGGCTGGCCAGCAGCATCTTAGGGCCACTGTGAGCCACAGAGCTCAGCTTGCCGAGGGGCCAACCAGCCTGACATCTTGGCCCTTTTGGATTCTTAGTGCACTGGTGGGGAGCACCAGGCTTCCCCCGTGTCCTCTGCCTCCCCTTGTTTTTCTTTTTTTTTTTTTTTTCTTTTGGGACAGGGTCTTGCTCTGTCACCCAGGCTGGAGTACAGTGACACAGTCATAGCTCACCATAGGTGAGCTGACAGCTGGGAGCTGGCAGCAGCTGGGATCTTATAATCCTCCCACTTCAGCCTCCCGAGTGGCTGGGACCATAGGAATGTACCACCACACCCAGCTAATTTTTTAAATTTTTCACAGAGACAGGGTCTTGCTGTGTTGCCCAAGCTGGTCTCAAACTCATGGCCTCAAATCATCCGCCTGCCTCGGCCTCCCAAAGTGCTGGGATTTCAGGTGTGAGCCACTGTCTACCCTTCTCATACAAAATTACACTGAAAAATGTGTGCTAACCTCCTTCCACGGACACCTGGAGCTGCCAGGTATCCCCTGGGTGCAGAGGGGCTGGTCCACACTGGAGCTGCCGTTCTGCTGCCCCTCCCAGGATACAGTGGAGGCGATGCCACCAGGGACTCTCTCTGAGCCTGCTGCCCTGGTCAGGAGGCTGTGCCGTGTGGCGGGTGAGATTATTCTGGAGTCAGACTGATCAGATCCAAAGTGCGGCCCCACCATTCCCTGGCCGTGTAATCTTGGCCAGGTGACTTCCTATCTGTGTGCTTCAGTTCCCTCTTCCCCGAAATGGAAGTGGCATGCTTTAGGCCATAGGGCTTTTTAAGGAGTGACTTGAGGCTGTGTAGGAAAGCGCCCAGGAGAGCTTTCACTTTTCACAGCCATCATGGCTGCCATTGTTATCAGAGCTGTTATTCCCCCCAGGGGCTCAGACACACCACTGATCCTGCCCCATGCCAGTGGAGTAGGGGACCTGGTCACGGCACCGCCCTCCTCCTCACCAGCAGCTCCAGAGCAGTTCCAAGGATCCCAGGGAAACAAGGAAAAACAAGGCCTTCCTCCCAGGGGGTACTGTTTCAGCCAAGCTTGTCACAGTGATTTGCCAGGCACGGGGTCCTCGTGACACCCTGGACCCTGGCAGCCTACATGTCCCTGTGGCTTCTGCTGGAAAGGGGCTCACTACAGACTTTGGGGCTCACAGGGTCAGGAAAGACCAGGTTGGGGTGGGGGTGGCTTCTGTTCACCTGCTTTGCATAAGGCCTTGGGCTGTAGGGCGGCATCTCTTCCACCACCAGGACATGAGCTTCTCTAGCCAGGGGATTCTTCCAGCCCAAAAAGTGTGTGGAACAGAACGCAAGGGAAGGAGCTCTGCAGGACGGGAAAAAGAGGGAATGGGAGATAAAACAGTAAATGCTGGCCGTCAGCTAAGGGAGTGGCTAGGAAACTGCCAGAGATGACAAGGAAACACTCAGAAAGTCCTGGCGTGGACTGTTGTGTGGGCCTCCGCGGCAGCCACGTGGCTACTGAGTGCCTGTTGGCTACTCTGAACCGAGGTGCACCGTAACGGTGAAATGCACACCAGGTCCCAAAGGCTTAGGACACAAAAGAGAATAGATTTTGTTGGGAATGTTTACATTCACTGTTATATTGATTACATGTTGAGATGCTAATATTTTAGATACATTGGGTCAATTAAAACAGCATTGAAATTCATTTCACCTGTTTCTCCTTTTTAATTGAAAACTGGAAGATGTAAAATTATATCTGTGACTTGCGTTGTATTTCTGCGGGACAGTGGACTTGAGAGAAACTGATTAAGAGATTGACGGGGCCAGTGTTTACCGCCCTAGACTCCTCTACCTGCACAGTACTGTCCCCGTCTGTCTCAGGCTAGCAAAGATTTAAGTGTTTCGATATCCTCAGAAGACACCAGGAACTTCCAGCCACGTGACCACTAGGGATATCACAGTGGCCACCCGCCCAGAGACTCAGTTCCAGGCTCTGTGGCTGTATCACATGCCCGGAGCTCCTGGCCACCAGAGGATAGATGTGCCCACTCTTGCCCCTGAAATGTGCACCATGGGGATCATCAAACCATATTAAATAGCAATTCCTCTCAGCAATTACAGAGCGCAGAATCATGCCCTTTAGGGATTCACATCAAATGAGCTTCAGAGAGGCTGCAGGCGAGTGAGGAAAGCACAGCCATCAGTTCCTGATGCAAATGAATAATTGAGCAGCCTAGAAATGCCACGAAGAGACGGTTTTATACCGGCAGGGGACTGATCTGCTGGCCCAGGTCCTTAGAAAATGCAACCCCTGGCCTGCACCTGTCGGCACCATTTGGGAAGTACAGTGTAGTGCCTCGGTAGGAAGGGAGCCCCTCCCCAATATCCCGAGGTTTTTCTACCCATGCTGCCCCCACCTTGAAAACCCAGCCTGTGCCAGGGAGCAGTGCTTTGGGCAAAAAACCAACTCAAGCCTCCCAGCAGCACCCGCTGTCCCGCAGGCTGCTTAGCAGAACTTTGGGGACCCGCAGGACTTCAGTCCACAGAAGCCAGGGGGCTTCCTGTGCCCACCAGAACAAAAGTACCTCCTGAACAATATCCGTTTCTCATAGGCAGAGGCTGTGTTTACCCCTTCCCCAACTCAAAGGAGCGCATTTTGGTCTTAACTCTCAAGGGTGTCTCTCCTAGGCCAAATGTGCTGAGTGCCCTGGTGCAGTGGCAAGGCACAATGACAAGCCTCGATCCCTGACCTCACTTGAGAAACATCCTTCAGATGGCCGGTGAAGGGCCTGGCGGAGGTCAACAGTTGTTATCGGGACCTTCCCTCATACAGTCCAGACCTGGTGGTTTTGTTTTTCCAAGAAAGGGTCTGAACTTAATGCCTTGAGCCTGGTCAGGTCAGCTCAGTGACTGGGAGAGGGTTTCTCCTCCTGTGCAAGCCAGGCTGGTGCTGGAGAAAGAAAAGGAAAAGTGAGTGGGAGCCCAGCAGACTGGTCCTCATCCCCCAAAACATGGTTATCATGGTTCCAGCCCAGCAGCAAGCTCCAAACTTCTTTGGAAAGGGAGAGAGAGAAGCCCCCTTCAAACCCCTGGGCTGGGCTGAGCTGGGATGGTGGGAGACCAGCAAGGATGTGTGGGATCAGGTTATCCCTGACCCCCGATCCCCCTAGACGGTGGTTAGCAGTGTGTGACTCAGGATGTGCAGGCCCAGGGTGGTGCCATGACTCCATGGGAGAGGGCTATGGTGGGCTTCACCTCTGCTCTCCCTCCCGATCTTACCCACAGCACTGAAAGAGCCCCAGTGACCCTTCACCTCGACGGGATCGTGCAGGTCCTAAACTGCCACCTCAGTGACACGGCCATTGGGATGATGACCAGGATTGCAGTTCTCAAGTGGCTCTACCACCTCTACATCAAAACTCCTCGGAAGGTGAGCCCTGGGCCCCTCCAAGCCAGGGGCCTCTTCTGGGTCCGCCTTGGTTTTCCAGGGCCTGCCCATAGTTGGTAGCATTTTGGTCATTGCCCTTCTAGGGAAACCCTGGCCGGCAGAGAAGTGACAGGTGCTGCGAGGAGCCCTCATTGTGTCGGGGAGGGAAGTGGTCCGTGCAGACCAGTGGGTCCGTGCACACCAGCGGGACACTGCACTGCACGTAGTCCCGGGGCGAAGGGAGCACTCACGGGCACCCCTGCTTCTCTGCCCTCCAGATGTTCCGGCACACGGACAGCCTCTTTCCCATCCTACTGCAGACGTTATCGGATGAATCGGATGAGGTAGGTCACCAACGCCACCCGTACTTATGGAACATCGGCTGCCCTGCCTCCCCTTGTTAGTGACTGAGATATGCTTATTTTGGTACAGTGCATCCTTCCTAGAGGTAAAGCTGTGTTTAATACTCACTTTGGGGCCAGGTGCAGTGGCTCACACCTGTTTTTCCAGCACTCTGGGAGGCCAAGGTGGGTGGATCACTTGAGGCCAGGAGTTCGAGACTAGCCTGGCCAACATGGTGAAACTCCGTCTCTACTCAAAATACAAAAATTAGCCGGGCGTGGTGGTGCACGCCTGTACTCCCAGCTGCTCAGGAGGTTGAGGTGGGAGAATTGCTTGAACCCAGGAGGCAGAGGTTGCAGTGAGCAGAGATCGTGCCACTGCACTCCAGCTTGGGCGACAGAGTGAGACCCTGTCTCAAAAAAACAAAAACAAAAAAAAAAACTCACTTTAGGAGTGAGGACTCTTCTGTAGTCCCTTCTGGAGCAGCTGGGGCAGAGTGTCAGTAAGGGAGGCAGCACAGGACAGGCGGGGAGCTTGGCTTGGAGTGAGGCTGCCCAAAGGCAAGACACTTAGTATCTCTGCATCTCAGCATCTCAGTTTTCCTCTGTTCAATGAGGGCAGTAACCATAGGGGGATGTGAGAGGGAAATGATCCATGTAAAATGCTAAGCACTGGGCCGGGCCCCTGCTGCACGCTCAGTTAGCGTTGGTTGTGTTACTCATTTCAGCTGGACTCCATTATGACCTCTAGTTTGAAATTGGACCCTTAAGCTTTGCCTTTTTGGGGCCACCAAGAGCTGCTGGTGCAGAGGGAGAGGCTGACCCAGATCCCAGGCAGCAGGAGTGAGCCCTCTGAGAGAGCTGGAGTACAGAGGCTGGCCTGGGAGGTGGAGGGGGCCCCTGGCTCTTCCTGTCATCTGGGCAGGAGTCTGCCCCAGCCACACACACCTTTCCACACTCCATTCTCAGCCATGCCCATTGCGTGGTGTTCCTTTACCGGGTTCCCCTGCCTCCCAGCCAAGCGGCAGGGTTTGCAGCTGCGCGTGCCCATTGCACGGCAGCATCCCATCCCTCCATCCATACCAGCTCTTCAGGCTGCATCTCAGATGCTGACGGTCCAAGCTGAGCCTCAGCCCACTTTCCTCTTCTGAGCGCCAAGGCACTGTGAGCTGTAGGCAGAGCTGTATCTCCATGAGGCAGCCAGCTCGTGAATCAACAGACCTGCCCACACTGCAGAGAGTGGATGAGGCTGGGTGGGGGGGATGGGAGAGGGCTATTGCTCACCAGTCCCCATGGAGTGAGGCTCCTCAGTCTTCCCTGGGCTGGTGCCAGGCTTGTGGGGGGCCCGGGCAGCTGTCCTGCAGCCTGAATTTGCTTTCCCGAACCTGGGCTGAAGAGAGAAATGGACAGGCAGGTATCAACCTCTAGGTCCTCTGAGGTTTTCTGTATTACCAGAAAAATCCAAAACAGATGGTCTGTGAGTATGCCCTTGGCCTCTCCTGCCTACCCCCCGCCCCCCCATGCACACACACACACACACACACACACACACACACACACACACACACACACACACACACCCTCTCTTCGTGCACCACCCCCTGCAGCGCGAGGCCCAGGTGGACTTGGCCCCGTTCTGCCTGCGAGTTGGGAGTGACTCACTGCACAGTCACAGCCCTCATTTCAATACAAAAAAGAAGAGCAGAACTTTGCTGATTGGTTCCTTCCCTAGGACTTCACTGGAAGCAGCTGAGTTTTCAGTCCTTTAAACTGAGTTGTTTAATCCCATCCAGCTTTCTGTGCTTGAAATTGGTTTTTGTGTGTGCGCATTGAAAGGGAGCAGGCGGAGATGCAGTCCATTAAACAGCGCTGTTCAGGCTGTGGCTGTGGAAACTCGATTTGCTGAAGTGCCAAATGTTGTCAGGGTTTTGGGGCACGTCTTGTGGGCCTGCACTGGGGAGGGTGTGGAAACTGCTCTGGGGGACAGTTGAGGGGTACCATAACAGCAGTGAAGAGCCTCTGCTTCCCCTTCTGTCTAGAGGAGGGATTTGGGGACCTTCATCATTAGTGATGAGTCCTGATCTTACCCCATCCGGTTGCTTTCCAGAATCACATTCCTAAGTGTCCCCTGCTTAATCTTTGGTGAGCCTGAGGGTGTGCTGTGTACTTGGCAATGGGAAAACAACCATGAACAAGACAAAGCCCATCTTCTCCTGAAACTTCCTTTCTAGGATATCTAGAAAGTGCCCTCTCAGGATTTTTCAAGTATTTCCAAACAGCCCTGATCTCGAATTGGAGCTCCCTGGGATTCAAGACTATGAAAGCTTGTTAGGTTAAGCAGGAACACAGCCAGACAGGCAGGTCCTCTCCTACCAAAGTCCTCACTCATGGAAGTTAACCTCAGTGCTCGCTGCGAAGGCTCTCACTTCCAGCTAGGCAGCCCCGCGGCACAGGTTGTCGTGGAAGATTCTTAACTGTAGGAAGTCATTACCATGGGAGGAATCGCGCTAGACCCTTCACTTGTGTCTGTAGAACCCTCACGACGGTTCTCTGCGGGGAGTCGTCTTACTTCCATTTTGCATTTCTAAAAACTATGGCCTGAGGAGGTCACATGACCTGCACACAGCTAGGAGGTGGTAGAGCCCAAACCCAGAGCCAGATCTGTTTGGCACTAAAGCCTGGGCCCTTAATCGCTTCCTCACCAGGCCTGAGTCTCACCCAGCATGCTCCCAGCCCATGTCAGCAGCAGGAGGCGAGCTTGTGTGTGGTTGTATCTTCCTCCTCATTTCCTCATGATTTCACCAGGGGAAGGTTTTGTGGTCTTGTTCCAGAAGTTCTTGAGCGTGGAGAGTATGGAGAGGTGTATGTGTTTTTTGTTGTTTTTGTGGGTTTTTTGTTTTTGTTTGTTTGTTTTTTTGACATGGAATCTCACTCTCGCCCAGGCTAGAGTGCGGTGATGTGATGTCGGCTCACTGCAACCTCCACCTCCGGGGTTCAAGCAGTCCTCCTGCCTCAGCCTCCCAAGTATCTGGGATTACAGGCATGTACCACCACACCTGACTAACTTTTTGCATTTTTAGTAGAGACGGGCTTTCACCACGTTGGCCAGGCTGGTCTTGAACTCCTGACCTCAAGTGATCTGCCTGCCTTGGCCTCCCGAAGTGCTGGGATTACAGGCATGAGCCACCATGCCCAGCTGGTATGTGTACTTTGAAAAAGCTCCCCCTTCAGCCCCCAGATCCTTCGTCCACTTTTCTTATTGATCTGTAGCAGCTCTTTGTATATTTGGGACATTCACTTTGTCATCTGTGTTGCAAATGTCTTGCTCTCCCAGGATGGTTGTGATAAACCCACATGCTCCTCCCTCTCGCTGAGAGCCACTGCTCGCAGGGGACAGTGTGCTCAGGTGTTGGTGATGCAAGAGCTGGCGCAGCAGAGCCTCAGAGACCCAGCTCTGCTGCCACCACCATCTCTGTCAGTCCCACGGGTGCGTGGCCTCGCTGGGGTGTCTCGTCTGCCATTGTTCCTCAGTTCCACCGAGTGACACCTCGTTAGTCTCCACCCTCTGGCATCCTCAGTTGTCTCTGCCTTCCCATTATTCAAGATAAGTGGCTGTTTCCTCAGCACCACCTGCTCCTTGCAGACGTTATCTGAAAATTCCTTTTGTCAAAAAGAATTTGCAGGTGTCAAATTAATATTCCTGGCACTGGAGTAGAAATCCTCCCATAGCTAGAGATCTGATTGTTTTTTAAGTGAAAATGTGACCCTGATTTCCACAGTGCAGAATGCAGGGTGCGTGCTCACTGCATCCTGCTGGGTCCCTGTTTGGGAGGTGAGACTGCTGCTTCCCCTGCCCAGAAGATGCCAGTTGTTGGCTGCCTGGCAGCTGGGCAGCCGCCATGCTGCCTGAGTGAGTTCTGCCTGTAAGATGGCCATACCCCCACCTGTGAGTATCCACGGGATGGGGGCCCTCTCCATGGTCCCGATGGTGGGACCTCAGGTAGTCCACAACTCCTAGGCACAGCTGCCTCCCAGCCTGCTTTTGGAACTCTCAGGGTGATCACAGTCTCCAGAAAATCCTGGAAGGATGTCTATTCCCCTGTGAGTGAACGTGAACATCCCAGACAGGTGGCCATGACCCTGGCTTGAATCCTAGCTCTAAACCTTCCTTACCGGGGACCCTGGCCAAGGAGTTTACCCTCCCTGGGCCTGTGAAAAGGGGATAATGATGTCTACACCAGCCTCATAGGCGTGTTTAAAGAGAAAGCGTAACCCCCTCACCCAGACCCTGGCCCATTATAATGACCTGTCTGTCGTTACAAGTATGTTGGGGGAACTTGGCGTCTCACTGTGGTGAACTCCCCCACCCAGGAGCCAGGCTCTTTCTCAGTCCTGTGAGCCATCTTGATGTCCTTCAGTAATGCTTTAGAGTCTTTTTTTGTAGGTTTTATTCACTTATGATGAGTACTCTCAGTGTTTTGTAATTTTGATGTGATTCTGAATGACTTCCCTCTCTGGTTCTTCCTTCTCTACCCAGGTGACACTGAGGCCTGGTGGTTAAGAGCACGGGCTTTGGGTTCAGGAAGTCTAGGAGTCCACCTTGGGCTCTGCCACTTGATGGTTGGTAACCTAGCCTCTCTGAGCTTTAGGTTCCTTATTTGTAAACAGAAAATAATAGTGGAAGCTTGCTCCCAGGTTTGTTATAAGGATGAAATGAGATCATGAATGTCAAATGCTCCCCTTGGGACCCAGCACACATAAACCCACGATAAGCAGTAGCTCCTCCGATGCAGGAGGTCATTTCTGTAAAGGGCCTGGAGATGCACATTGAGATCAGGGCAATGGGCTCTGCATCTGCTCCGGGTCCTCCCTGCTTCTGCTTCAGCAGCAAAACCCAGGACAGAAGCTGCTCTCTGTTTTCCTGCCTGTCTCTAGAGGCCGGAGGACCTCAGGGGTGTTTGAGGGACTTGAGTTCCATTTTGAGGTCATAGAAAGGCAGACAAGGACACAGTGGGCCACAGGACTGGCCTTCTGTGCATTTGTCTCCCCTCCCGTCTTCCCTTCTCCAGCCTCCCCAGCACTCCTGGGCTGAGGCTGCCCAGAGCAGGAGCAAGGCTGCATTCAGCATGAGCTCTACTCATTAGAGCCCCATTGTCAGCAGGTTCACAGCGCCACTTCCCCGACTCGCAGGCGGAAGGGCTCCAGCTGGCCGCCCTGAGTCCAGGGAGAGGAAGAGAAATGGCGTCGTCAGCAGAGGACCTGCATTGGAGCCTCCACAGCCACAAAAGCAAAACCTTTGAGATCGAGAAGGCAAGCCCTGCTGGGCTCAGTCACCAGCATGAACTGTTTTCTTTGCAGTTGGGCCTACAGAGAAAGTGTCCCCAGAGTCTTCCCAGCATCTCAGAGCCGGGGCGTCCTTAACACTTTGGAGAAGAGTCTCAACCCAGGAGGAACTCCTCTCTTCCCCCTCCCGTAGCTTCAGAGTAACAGAAAAATTGCTGATGGGAGTTTGTGGCTTTTGTGACTGGTGTAGATGCAAAGAAAAGAAATGAGAACCACCTTTCTGGAAAAATTGGAAAGTAGGATTCCGAGGACAGTATTCATGGCAGTGGTAACGTTTCTAGTTTGGGAACCCACTCACTGCATGAAGAACATGGGCCACCCATCACACCCACTGTGGCACGGCCATGACTCAGGAGGAAAGGATGGTAGGGGGCAAGGTCTAGGGAGTGGTGTAAGGGCATCTGAAAAGGAGCTTTTGTTGTAAGTTTCGTAAGGTACACCATGGGTACAGCGATGTACCCGGTCCAAGGTGGCCCGGTGCCTCCCCAACCCAGTGGTACCTGGGTTGAGGACAGGTAGCAGAAGTGCCTGACCCATGGGGTAGAACCCCAAGGGCTGTCCCAGCCTCTGCTGAGTCCTGAGGGGAGAGGAATGGGGCGCCTTGAGGGGCTCTTCACTGGTGGCAGATGCCCTATCCAGCCCTCCTTGGTCTTGGGCCTCTCAGCCCCTCACCAGCAGGGTAGGCGCTGGGAAGCACCCCCTGCCATGCCCTAGACTGTATTTTAAGGTGCGATTTGCTTTGGTAGGGGAGGAAGGGGAGAGTTCATTTGTTTTCATGGTGCAGGTCCCAGGAGAAATGGATCGGAAAAACTCAGGAGGTTCAGAGATCTGAAAGGAGAGCACTCACTGGGGCCAGGCCGAGTTGCCAGAAAGAGAAGCAGATCGGGGCTTGCCTAGGAGCCCAGAGGAACGGCCCAACTTGGGCTGGCAGTGCCACTGCTGCTGCCACGCCTGCCTGGAGCCTCAGCCCAGCCCAGAGCAGAGCAGAGCAGAGCTGGGGTGAGGCTGCCTGGCTTCCTGCCTCAGGGCAGAAGCAGCCCTGTGTATCACCCCAGCGTGCCCCTTTCCTTCTCCAGCCTCATGCCATCCGGTCCACAGATGTACTCCCTTACCTTATCCTTCCCAAGCAGTCCTTGTCACCGTGGTCAGGTGGGTTGGCCAGCTGGGTCCCAGGGCTCATCTGCCTGCTTTAAAGGGATTTAATTCTTGATGACACGGACTTTGGCCTGGGGTCCCACCTGGGGGAAGCCCCAAACCCCCGAGCTGTGCTGTGAGGAATGGTGGGAGGAAGCAGAGTGCCCCTAGGTTCCCAGGTGGCTGGGGCTGCTCTCTCCCGTCCCCCAAAGAGAGGAGCTGTTACTGCCATCCCTCAGTGTCTACCCCAAAATGGGGGCTTCCACTAAAGTAGAGGCCCCTTCATTTGAGGGCAGCTTAGAGAGCCAATGACGGCCCCTCCACCACCCCCGCTGCAGCTTTCTTTAGGAACCGTGGTGGGTCATGTGTCAACCCCTCGTATCAGTGGGAGGAGACTAGGAGGAGGAGAGGGCCCCAGCTGAAGTCTGCGGGGCTTGTGCCCCATTCTGAGTGCATTGCATCTGTGTCTTAATGAATCCACATGGTGGTCCAGGAGTGATCTTAGTTACCCCGAGGTGTGAGGAGGATCACTTGCCTAAGGTCACACTGTCAGCCAGAATTGACAGTCAAATCTGTCTGATTCCAGAGCATCTAAAACCTCACACAAGGTGTCACCTCACTGCAGAGCAGGGACCCGGCCCAGGGTGGAGGCACTGCCTTATCCAGGCCCAGGCCCTCCGCTGACCCCATAGGGTTTTGTCCTTGGCTGACCTTCAGTTCTAAATGCACCTTCTCCCTCTGTGCATTTAACTTTGACCTCATTCTCCTGCACCTTCCTTCCCAGGCCCCATGGGCTGTCCCTGGCTGCTCACTGACCTGGTGGCCCCTAGCCCCCCTCCAGGGCTCAGTCCAGAAGCCCTCTCCATCTTCCACCTGGCTGACCTTCTCCCAGAAGCGCTGAGGCCGGTGGCCAGGCCTGCTGCAGGGTGGTGTAGAAGCCGCCTGGGTGCAGATCAGGAGGGCCAGCCTCTGCCCCCACGCTGCCCGGCTCTCCACGGGACCAGGCAGGTCACATGACACCGCCTCACCTCGGTTTTCTTCCCAGGGTACTGGGGTTGGACTGGATGGTCTGAGATCCCTTCCAGCCCTGAATCTGTGTGGTCCTGACTCCACTCCCTGGAATACTAATGCTGCCTGCTCAGAAGCGGACAGTCTTCCATAAGAACAGTACTTGTTTTTCCTCCTCAGATTCTTGCCTCAGTGTTCACTTCCCTCCAATTTTCATTCCATCCACTCTCCAAAACAAACAAAAACACCCCTCCACCCCCACCTCAATTCCACAGATATCTTTAAAATCAGATCACGCAGTAAGATACGGCCTCAGCCCAGAGAATGGAGGGGTGCCGTGTCGGTGCCCAAAGAACTTGACTCCTCTTGCAAGAGCCCAGCCTGCAGGGGAGAGGAGCTGGGTGGGCACTGATGGCCCGGGGACCCTCTTCCTGAGGCACCCTCCCCTGGCCCTGCCGTGGGCAGGGGACACTGCCCTCTGTCCCCTCTCCCCGCGGCTGTCCCTGCAGCTTCTTTTGGGGGCTTCTGAGAACAAGTGAGAGGGAGTCATGTGCCAGGGAGAAGGGCCACCGCCAGCCAGCAAAGCAGCTAGACTCCAGCCACGGCCCTGAGCCTTCCTCCTCGGGGACAGCTAGGTCCCAGGCCCAGCAGAGGTACCAGCAGCCACTGCTGGGGGTTCAGAGAGGACTGTGGTCTTCTAAAATGAGGCTTGGCGGCAAATCGTTGCTAGGGAAGAGAGGGGAATGGCAAGGTAACAGTCCCAGAACTGTACCCACTGAGAGGGCCTCTACCCACCCCTCATTCTTCCAGATGTTCCCACCTTGTGGTGTCAGTGCCCACAGCAGCCACCCCAGAGCACAGGGGGACCCAGAGTAACTGCGGCCAGCCTTGCCACCTCCTTGCAGGGAAGACAGGACTGTGTGCCAGGAGGGTTTGAGTATTTACCTCTCCATGTTCCTTGCCCTGGGCAGATGGACCAGTGAGGACCCAGAGCTGGGCACAGTAACTGGTATGAATGGATTGGGGGCCAGGAGGGTGCTGCCTAGCTCCTGGTGAAGGCAGAGGTTGGGCTGAGAAGCATGGTGGAAAGGGAGGCGGCTCTCCCAGCGGCAGGGCCTCTGGGGTAGGAGGAACCCCACAAAGAGGAGCCAGCCCAGCCAGCCTTTCCCTGAGGCAGGAATGGGCGCTCTCACTCACACCTCCTAGAGCCAAGCTGCAGGGCGAGTTGCCTGCAGGACTGAGCACACTATCCAGCCCCGGCTCAAGCCACACAGCAGAGCCATCTAAACCAGGACTGTCACCAGAATTCCCTGGAGCTTTTAAAATCCAGCTGCTTGGGCCTCACTCCCGGCCTTCCTCAGTCGTCCCTCAAGCAGAGCCCGGGTGCCCAGGGGCTGGTATTTTTCACATGCTTCCCAGTGGGTTTGGTGCACATCTCTGGGAGCACAGATACAGACCAGCGTGAGATCTTGCTTAGAGACTGTAGGCCATATACCCCCAGCTCTCAGCCCTGGTGCCCTCTCCATGCAGCCCTAGGCGAGGCAGCCAAGCCAGGGCCCCCGGTTTTCACCCCACTTAGCGTTCCTGCGTCCTCAGAAGCCAAAATTTCTTGCAAGTCATGTGTTGATTTTTCCTCCTCTGGAGATGGCCAAGGCTGAATCAGCTGGATTTCCCAGGCACCTCCCTGTTGGCAAGTCACAAGGCCCACAGACTGGCAGGAGCTTGGGTGAGCCTGGGTGAGCCCAGGTGAGCCCAGAGATGTAGAGGACTGGGACCGTCCCCCCACTGCTAATGAGACCCACCATTTTCACACTGGCTTGCTCTGTTCCACACCCTGTGCTCTGCCCCTTGTGAGTGATCTTAGTTCATCTTCACGATCAGACAACCCTGTGAGGGTAGGTTCTGTCATTTTCCCCATTTCCCCTAAGAGGAAACTGGAGAAGTTAAGTAACTTGGGCCAGATCTCACTTATATGCTCCATGAAGCCTTGTTTATCTGTCCATCTGTCTGACACACACACACACACACACACACACACACACACACCCCCTCCTCCTGCACATCAAGGCTGGGCCAGGTTCCCTCTGTGTCTTTATGTCCCCCCGTCCACTCAGACCCTCTCCTAGCTCTAATCCCTCTCCATCGTGGCCTGTTAGCTGGGAGTTCTGTGAGGACAGTCCATTCAGCCCACAGTAGGTGCTCAGAAGCGTCCTCTGAGAAAGTGAACAAATAGAGGAGTTTGGTTGGATGAGGAGCTCATCTCCTTGGACGTGCCCCACATCTGGGGCCTGTCCTGCTGCATTGGGCCCTCCCACAGCAGATTGGAAGCGAGGCCTATGGGGTAGAGCCTGCATCCTTCGCTCGGGGACTGTGCGTAGCTTGCAAGTAAACCACAATGAAGCGGGGCCCTGGAGGGAGGCAGGAGCCTTCTCCTGGCTGCCGTGGCCCCTAGGCTTATCTCCTGGTGACAGAGCCATAGCGGGTATGAGTGGGCACCACTCTCGTGCTGCTCTCAGTGCAGCAGGCACCACCCCGTTCCCTGCCCAGCTCATGGAGAGAATTTATAACCCTGAGAGTGTACCCTCTGGGTCAGGGCCCAGGATGGTGCAAGTGAGCAATGGCTGGAATCAGCTGGAAGGAGGGGAGACCTTGGAATGGGTGGGAGAGAAGACGGAGGTCAGGGATCTGGTCTCAAAGGTGTCTTACCTGAGGCTGGCCTTTCTTTTCTCCTTTACCCTAAGAGGAATGGCCGCTAGAGTGTTCTCAGCTGCCAGACCCAGTGCTGGCACTAATGGTGCTGTCACTGTTAATCAGTGGAACCTAACAGTCAGCGTTAGGCGCTGGCCTCTGGCATATGTGGCACAGTGCTGGACACTGAAGGAAAGGTGGCAAAATGTTTAAACACAGAATGCTGTCCTCATCCCCCAGGGTTTGTGTTCAAAGTCACGCAACACAAACTAAGATTTATGATTTTTTTTTAGGTTGCTTTTGGTTTACTAAGACAAAACGTTTTCTATCAAGGCAGTTTTCTCAATGGGAAATAAAATGGGTCTAGGCCTAAGTAGTGCTCCTTTCCCACCACCAAAGCTAAGCGTTCTTTTAGGCAACACTTTCCTTCCTTGTTGCAGAAGGCAGGGCTGCTGTGACCCCGTGCAGACCAGGGCGTTTCTCAGGATGCCACCCCTTTCCCAGGCCAGGGCCAGGGCCCGATTGCTGCCTTCTGCAGCTCATGTTTACTTTGTGTCCAGGGCGGAGGCCTCTGGCCCCGGTGCCAGCTGGTGCCAATGCCTTCTTCCATGCTCTCAGCAGTGGAAGCCCTACTGTCCTTCCCATGGCTCCCCCAGGGGACCCTTCCTGGGTACAGCAGCCCGGCTTCCTAGGGTGTGCTCTCTGGCTAATGCCCCTAAACCAGGGCAACAAGAGCCATTCCATATGTGGTCAGGGACTGAAGAGGCTTGGCCAGCCAGGCTGCACCCCTCACGAAGGAAGGGGCCAGGCTCCTGCTTGGAGGGGAGCAGAAGACCCCAAGGTTTTCCAGGAATACCTGCCCTCGGGGCCTGTGTACTTCACATCAGCTCCACCTCAGAAGAAGTAGCTGCTGGACCTGACCCAGATTTCAGGCAAGGCCCTGCGACCTGACCGCTCCAGGCAGAGGCATCAGATAGCCTTTGGCAGTGGCCTGCACTGGCCAGACCTCAGCTTCCAAGGCCTTTAGCCTGAGTTCACCTCTCCCCGCCAGTACCAAGTGTGTCCGTTGGAAACATTCTTGCAGCTTCTTCCTGGCCAGGCCTGGAGAGGGCCCAGCTTGGGGATTTCCTGTCAACACAAGAAGGGTTCCCTCTTCAGTAGCTAGAAGGCTGAGTCAGTTGACTCCTAGGGCTCATCAGCCGACCAATGGCCTGTGTGAACGTTTGACCAAGTTTCTTAAGGATAAGTGGGTAGAGTGAAGTGGGCGGCCTCTCCGTCCATCCTCCTTGGCAGGAGCTGCTCAGAGCCATCCATCTTCCATTTCCTGTCCAACGCTGCAGGTCAGCAAGTATTTATTCAGTTGAGACTGAGTGCCTCGCCCTGGGACTTTATGTTCGGGAATCTTGGTGGGAGGTGAGAACGAGCCTCCCAGCCTCGACACTTGACCTTGCAAATCTGGTGTCCAGTCCCCAGCTGTTCCCAGGATGGTAAAGGAGCTGCCGCGGCACCCTGGGGAGAGTGAGAGCTGGGAGCTTTCCACACCGAGGTCTCCTAGGGCTGGTCTGGGACCAGGTGTTGGGACAGTGAGGGCCTGGATGGACCAGTCAGAGAAGAGAAGGAGCAGCCACCATCCCAGAGAGACTAGACTTCACCTGCTAGAATGCACTGGGGCGACAGCCTGTGGTGGCCCCACCCAGACACTCACCCTCCTCCCACATTGAAATATGCCCTTTGCTGGTGTAAAGTCACCACCGTGGAAGGCAAAAAGCCCTCTCCCCTCGCCCTGAGCACCCCCTCCAGAGCTGCTTTGTGAGATGCTGCCCACACCCAGGTGCCACCAACCCTGACCCTTTCACTCCACCAATGGCCAGCTCACTCCACTCCGAAACCAGGGGCCAGCTGATGGGCCTTCCCCACCCCCGCCTGTCACCATGGTAACGGCAGGCGCTCCTGCTCCTGCAGAATATTGCTTTCTTGTCCTTCCTCCCTCCCTCTCTTTCCTCCCTTCTTTCTCTCACACAAAAAGAAAGCACAAGTGTTTTATATTCATTTTGCAAAAAAGCTGTGTAGCGCATACTAATTGGTGTGGCTTCCTCCCGCTTTCTTTGAGCCTTTTCTCATCGTCAGAGCCAGGACTACAGGCCCAGCCAGCCTGCTCACTGGAAGGAGGACTAGGTCTGTTTTCCTGGAAGCTGAGGCAGGAGTGGCCTAGAAGCGTGTCTTTAGCTCTCGGGCCTTTCCTCCAGGCCTTGAGAGGGGCTCACAGTAAGCCAGGCCACTGAGATCGCCTTCTCCTCCAGAGGTTTCTACCTATACACCAAGGGTTGCAGGGTCTCCAGGTGGCTAGAGCACCAAAACTCTGGCCCAGCACAGAGGCTCAAAGCCAGGTGCAGCTGGAAGAGCAGCTCCCCACAGTCTCTGTTGCTGGGACCCAGGCCCCCTGTTGAGGTTGCCTCCCAGGGCCTTCCTCTCACCAGGGCCTCTCTTCCACCCCAGGCAGAGGCAGAGTCCTGGCCAAGGTGTGCATCGAGATTGGTGCTCCAGAGCCTCAAGGTCACCCCCTGGGCTGAGTCAGGTTTGCTAGCAACTGGGAGCGAAGCAGCAGCCGGACTGGAGGGGCACAGAAGCCGGGTATCAGCCGGCTCCCCACACCCCAGGCCCCACCTCAAGCCATTCCTTGCCCTCCATCTTGGTGGCCCCTTCTCCTCACCTCTAGGAGACTGAGGGAAGATGGGGATGGGGATGCTGTTTCGGGGTCCTGCTTTATTTAAAGTGCTGGAGGGGTGCTGTGTGTGTGTGTCTGTGCGCACAAGCGCACACAGTGTTGTCTCAGGCAGGGCTGTGGGCTTTTTGCCAGCCTCTGGGGACCAGAGACAAATCCTATGATATGTAAGCACAAGAGGAGTGGCTGGGATTACTGAACGAACCTGTAGACAACATTTCCGGCTTTAATTGTGCAATTGAAGTGTAATTTGCATTCATTTGCCATTTGGTGTTAAACTTTCTAAAATAAGAGAATTGAAAATGTAAAATATGCAGCTTTGCTGGCTGTGCTCTGCAGTGGGGTGGGAGGCAGTAGTACTGAGGTGGGCTAAGCACATTCTCTGCAGGGGAGAAAGCGGGGTTGGAAGCCCTTGGTGTGGGCACTGCTGTCCATGCTCAGTCACTAAGCCTGGGCCAGGGAACAGCTCAGCTGTGGGACCAGAAATCTTGGAATGGAAGTGGTGAGCCAGCCTTTCTTGTGTGCCCGCTTTTCGTGCTTTGCACATCAAGTATCTCTTGTAATCTTCACAACAGCCTGGCAAGGTCAAATCTCCATTGCGCATATAGGGAAACTGAGGCTCCCATCCTCTGCAAAATGAAGTTCAGACTTCTTTGTGTCATGAGCTCTTTTTTGGTTTATGGTTTTGTTTTTTTGTTTTGTTTTGTTTTTGAGACAGAGTCTCACTCTATTGCCCAGACCGGAGTGAAGTAGTGCGATCTCAGCTCACTACAGCCTCTGCTCAAGCAATTCTCCTGCCTCAGCCTCCCGAGTAGCTAGGATTACAGATTCGCAGCACCATACCAACTAATTTTTGTATTTTTAGGAGAGAGGGGGTTTCACCATGTTGGCCAGGCTGGTCTTGAATTCCTGACGTCAGGTGATCTGCCTGCCTCGGTCTCCCAAAGTGCTGGGATTACAGGCGTGAGCCACCGCACCTGGCCTTGTGTCATGAGCTCTTGAAGATCTGGCCCTGCCTACCACTTTGGCCTGATTTCTGGCCATACCCTCACCTCTGGCCCCATTCCCCACTCTGGAGCTGGCCCCAAAGCCTAGTTTCCTGGAATGTGCCACGTGGTTCTGCGTCCATGAATGGCTTATGCTAGGTAAGAGAATACTTTGAATGCCATTCTCTCCCTTCTTACTCCCTTGGCCAACTCATGCTCAACTACTTCCAGAGCCTCCTGGCTCCCCCCCAGGCATCATCACTGGGTCCCTGGCACCCGCCCTGTATTATCAGTAAATGCTCACCACCTGACTCCTCCGGGAGTCCATGACCTCACTGAAGGCAGAGCCTGACCTGTCTGGCCTTGTGTCTCTTATACCCAGCACAGGACTAGCCCACAGCAGCTGCTCAGCAGCTGTCTGGAGAGGGAGCATTGTGTGGTTGAAGTTAACTGGTCCAGGGTCAGGATTGGATGTCAGGACTGTCTGACCACAGCACCCTGTGTAGTGTTATCAGCAGGCTCAGGTTTGGGGACCAGAGCTGGGTTTGAGGTGGACTCGCTGTTACCTTGAGCAGGTGACTGTCCAAGTCTCAGTTCCCTTGTGTGTATCCTGTGAGGTGAGACTGGTGACAAGTGAGGGCATTCATTGTGGCCGGGAGCGAGGACAGCCTGCTCCTCTGGCCCTGGAGCCACTCGAAGGGTGGAGACAACCTTGCACAGGCCAGGCCTCTCGGTGGCTTTTTCCAGGCCTCTGTTCTGACAGGGAAGTAGGTACCTGCCGGATACCCAGCATGAATCAGTTTGTCCCCATGGCACAGGGATCTTGCCGAGTGCTGGCCTGGCCCCAGCCGCCCCGCTGGATCACACTTTCTCCTCACTTTCCTCCCCTGCTGCACGTGGCCACCAGTGTTGGCCGCCCAGAGGTGTGTGCCTCTGTCCCCCTGTGCAGACAGACCTGGGTGGGATGGGCAGCATGGGGGCGAGGGGGCAAAGTGATGTAAAGAGACACAGATCTCCTCACCGTGCTCCTCCTCTCCCCTGGATCAGGCGAGAGACACCAGGGAGTGGGTGAGACCCCACCACCTCGGGCTGTGGGCAGAGCAAGAGCAAATGGGTTAGGAATTAGGTTGCTGATTTAGGGTTTTGCCCCCCCCGCCCTTTTTTTGTACAATTCACATACCATAAAATTCATAAAAACGACTCTATTGTATACTTTAAAAGTATACCATAGAGTAACTTTTAGTATTTTTCGCAAGATTATACAACCATCAGTACTAATTCCAGAACATTTTCATGACCCCAGAAAGAAGCCCTGTATGTACCCTGCACCCGTTAGGAGTCACTCCCCATGCCTCCCTCCCCACGCCCCTGGCGACCACAAATCCACCCTCTGTCTCTGTGGATTTGCCTGTTAATGGAGTCATCATACAGGATGTGGACTTTGTGGCTGGCTTCTCGGCAGGTGTTTTCAAGGTTCATCCACGTGTAGCAGGTACTTCATTTCTTTTTATTACCAAATAATATTCCCTGGTGTGGATGTGCCACGTTCCATTTCTCCTTGTCTCCACTGCAGGGCCTTTGGGTTATTTCCATTTTGTAGCTATTAGGAAAAATGCCGCTGTGAGCATTTATATATAAGTTTGATGTGCACAGACGTTTGCAGTTCTCTTGGTAACTGCCTAGGAGTGGGAGTATACCTATGGCAGCTCTCTGGGTAACTGTTTGAGGAGCTGTTGGCTTGACTCTTGCCTCACTGTTTAATTTTGGATGAGTCATTCCCCCATCCTCCCCCCACCTCCATTTCCTGGTCTCAAGTCCCCTCCCTGGCCGTGCTTGGACAGTCCAGCAAGCATTGGTGTGCATGGCCTTTGTACATCCTGCCGTGGCAGGTGTGCAGGGGCTGAATCGGGCAGGACCGCGGCGTCATTCATTGCTGTGCCACTTCCCCATCCTGCCCTCCGCCCTGTGTCTTTCTTCTGTGGCTGAAGCAAAGAATCCCTGGAGGCTCTGTCCTCAGTGGAAGCAGAGGCCTCGGCCCTCCCTACTTCTAGGCTGAGACCCACCCAGGGCTCCCCGGCTCCTGGCCTGGGTGGAGGGGCACCCCTTGCTCCTGCCATATGACTGGGCTGTGTGGCAGCCATGTGTCTCAGCCACGTGGATTCATCAGCTCTCCACTCTGTGTGCCAGGCCACGGGCAGGGGTGGCTGTGACTCACCTTTACAGCCCCAGAACCCAACGCAGCCGCTGGCACAGAGCAGGGTCCCAGGGGCCCACAGACATCCCAGTCTCCATGAGTGGGAGAGGGATGAAGGGAAGGACAGAATTGGACAGTAGGAGGGGAGTCTGTGAGAGTGAGTCTGTGTGAGCGAGTGCCAGCTCCTGCCTGGATGAGGCTGGGAGATTGCGTGCCAACACGTGACACTGTTTGAAGACTGAGGGGGCGGGAATGGGTGAGCAAGCAAAGGGGTTCCCGGCCAGGGCTGGCCTAGAGGAACCAGGAGGAGAAGTGACAATTGGGCAGTGTGGGGGAGGCACTGGCACTGTGTTTGCATTGACAGGAATGGCTTTTGAGGGGGTAGGCCTTATCTTTTTTGTTTGTTTTCTAGATAAAATTTGCCCTTTTGAAGCATAGAATTCACTGGCTTTTAATATACTCACAAGCTTTTTGCAACCATTACCCCCATCTAATTCCACAACATTTTAATCCCTCAGTAGGAGCCCTACAGTGCTAACCTTATCTTGTATTCCCATATTCCAGCCACCTGGCCGGTCCTGGCCCACATGGCCCTGCCCATCAGGCTCTGTCCCACTTTCCCTGGTCCAGGGCTGAAGCCCCGGTTGCCGTCGTTATTCTTGGCCTGGGCTCAGAGTAGCCCAGGAAGAGGCACAGGCAACCACCCAGTCAACTGATGTTTGTTGGGCATCTGCTGGGCGCAGGGACAGTCCTGGAGATACACCTTTTGGGGGGACAGGCATAGTCCCTAGCCCAGAGCAAGAGAGGAGTGAGGGGCAGAAAGAGCAGGCGACCACCTGCAGTGTGAGGAGTTCCCTGCAGGATAAACACAGCCAGCAGAAGGTGGCCAGGAAGCCTCAGCAGCCCCTGGGGCAGGTGCATGCACACAGGCACACGCGCGCACACGCGCACACACACACACACACACACACACACACACACACACTGAAGCCCCTCCCAACAGGGCAGGTCCGTGGCCCCTCTCCCTATTGCCCATTGCAGCAGAGTGGTAGGCTGGACTTTGCCGCCCTGCCAGCTCTTGGTGCCAGGCAAAGATGGGTGCTGTGCGAGGAGAGGCAGCTTCTAAGGATACGGGGGCTGTAGAGCAGCCCTGGGGACATTGTGACACAGTGCTGACCTGCGCTCACACTCAGCACTGGTCCCACGCCCCACTCTGCCTCTGTCTCGGAAGAACTCAGCAGGCAGGTGGTCAGGCTGGGGCCTCACCCCACCCACATCTGTGCAGGGACACTTTAGAGCCACCGAGGACCACCTGACATGTCTGGACATTAGGAAGTCCTTTACCTTGGAGACCAGAGTAGCACGCCAAATGTGGAGGACGCTTTAGGGTCTGCAGTGGCCTGGTGTCACCTCTGCAGAAGCAGCTGTTCTGTGGCCCAATGGTGGGTGGGGCCGTGGCTACCGCACACAATAGAACATGGTCTGGAGGGCACTTTGGGAGCCTTGCGCAGCCTGCGGGCCTTGAAGTGCACACTGTGCAGATAACGCCCTGCTTCCTGAGTCCTGGGACTCCTGGGGACCCTCAGAGCCCTGTTCAAGGGACCCGAGAGAGGGATCGTGGGGAAGCTGACTCTCCGAACCTCAGATTCCAGTTTCCTTCCTCCAGAGGCCCCATTCACTGTAGTCTGTGTTCCCTTCATTCTGGATACTTTGTTTCACTTTTCTGAGCATGCCCCAGCTGTGGCCTTAGTGGCTCTTCCCAGCCTGCTGTCATCTGCAGACCCCTCCCACCCCTGCAGGTGGCTGTGTGCCACCAACCGCACCTCTGCCCAGGTCAGCACAGCTCTCAGCGGAGAGCTCATCCCTCCTGCCCCGCTTCTCTCCCCAGGTGATCCTGAAGGACCTGGAGGTGCTGGCAGAAATCGCTTCCTCCCCCGCAGGCCAGACGGATGACCCAGGCCCCCTCGATGGCCCTGACCTCCAGGCCAGCCACTCAGAGCTCCAGGTGCCCACCCCTGGCAGAGCCGGCCTACTGAACACCTCTGGTAAGTCTTCTCCTGAAGGTTCTAGCCTCAGGGGCCTTAGTGCCAGTGCCGGGTCTTAGGCTGGACCATGGCGGTCCTTTGGGTTGTTGCTCAGGAGCTCTGGAGCTCTGCCAGGGTGTGAGGGGTCTGTGGGTTGCTACTGGCGATCTCCCACCTCAAGACCGCCCAGAGGCAGGCAGCCCTAGTCCTCTAGCAGCCTCCAGAGACCCTCACAGGACTTTCTCTGCATCTCCCTGCACCTTTGATGCTTTTGAGCCATTGGCTAAACATAAAACCATCTGGGTCGGCTGCTGGTCTCTCTGCCTAGGCAGCATCTCTCCAGTCTGGAATCCAGGGGCTTCGGTCTTGGGGTCTAACAGGTGGAAGACTAGGTGGCCATTCCCTTCCTCTCTGAGAAGCTAAAAATAGCACTGCACGTGGCAGGCAGCCCAGGCAGGAGACGGCATCATTCACACAGGCTGTTTCTGGGCAGTCCTTGGAAGTAAAGGTGGCCGTAGCACCCCCAGCACTCGCCCCTCGGTCCCTTCCAGATGGCAGGCCAGCTCTTCTCCCTAGGCCTCGGCAGACGCCACTTCCCTCTGGCAATGCAGTCCTGGAAAATGCCTGAGGACACGTTTGGTAGTAAAGTTCCCAGTGAATCTCAGGTGTCTCCATGGGGGTCTCTGTCCATTGCGCCCCTCTGGACATCCACACAGGGCTCCTAGTTGGCCCATGCTTTTGTGTCCGGAATTTATTCCTTCTGGTGGGTTCTTGGTTTCGCTGACTTCAAGAGTGAAGCCACGGACCTTCACAGTGATTGTTACAGCTCTTAAAGATGGTGTGTCCGGAGTTTGGTTCTTCAGATGTTCAGATGTGTCCGGAGTTTCTTCCTTCCGGTGGGTTCGTGGTCTTGCTGACTTCAAGAATGAAGCCACGGACCTTTGCGGCAAGTGTTACAGCTGTTAAAGTGGTGCGGACTCAAAGAGTGAGCAGCAGCAAGATTTATTGTGAAGAACAAAAGAACAAAGCTTCCACAGCGTGGAAGGGGACCCGAGAGGGTTGCCACTGCTGGCTCGGGTGGCCAGCTTTTATTCCCTTTTTTGGTCCCGCTCACGTCCTGCTGATTGGTCCATTTTGCAGAGTGCTGATTAGTCCATTTTACAGAGTACTGATTGGTACGTTTACAATCCTTTAGCTAGACGCAGAGTGCTGATTGGTGCATTTTTATAGAGTGCTGATTGGTGCGTTTACAATCCTTTAGACACACAGTGCTGATTGGTGCGTTTTTACAGAGTGCTGATTGGTGTGTTTACAATCCTTTAGCTAGACACAGAGTCCTGATTGGTGCGTTTTTACAGAGTGCTGATTGGTGCGTTTACAATCCTTTAGACACACAGTGCTGATTGGTGCGTTTTTACAGAGTGCTGATTGGTGCATTTACAGTCCTTTAGCTAGTGTTTTTACAGAGTGCTGATTGGTGCATTTAGCTAGACACAGAGCACTGATTGGTGTGTTTACAATCCTCTAGCTAGACAGAAAAGTTCTCCAAGTCCCCACTAGACCGAGGAAGTCCAGCTGCCTTCACCTCTCACTTTGATGCAGCCTCACGTGTCATAAAGGTTTAGGGGCCTTACAGCCTCAGCCTCCCGCCACAGCCCAGCCGGGCTGGTCCCAGCCTGAGAGTACTTCCTTGGCCTCAGTGGGAGGCGCCCCAGCCCTTTTTGGCCCTAAGACCAGGCCCAGTGCCTGAGAAGTTCAAGGGGCAGCCGGAGACCTGCAGGGCTGCCTGTGCCCCAGGACATGCCAGGTGAAGTCATAGAAGGCCCATGTGGGGCCTTGCCCAGGAGCCCAGTTCTAGGCAGTCAGTGGCCGTGGTCGGGGAAGTGGTTCCCACATCCTGACCCTGGGACCCCTGCTGGGACTCCCACCCTCTGTCCCTCGGCAAACGAGTCCATTCTCCGTCCTGTGTCCCCAAGTCAGTACATGGGGGCCAACCTTAAGTCCTTGGGACAGATGGCAGGAATGCCAGAGGTGGAGTGTGGGGGCCCAGCAAAGGGGGTAGGAAAGGAAGAGAGAAAAGGATATCTCTTCCTTAGGAAGGGAGGGTCGGGTGGGGAGGAGCAGCAAGAACTGACCGGAAGACGGGCAGCAGCCAAGAGGAGGCATCCTGCAGGGAGGAGGCCTGGGCAAAGGGTCCCTGGGGGTGCACCCTCGGCTCTCCCTCCCCAGGAAGCAGGCGCCACAGCCTCTTCTCTCCTCCTCAAAGTGGCAGCAGCAGAGAACTTGAAGGCAGCACAGCCTTGTGACAGGGCCAGGACACCCAGGCCTCCCAGGCCCTCTGTGACCTGTCTTCCCTATGTTTTATCTCTTCCTCCCGGGCACAGAGAAGCTGATGACTGTGATTTAGGCTCCTGCTCATGGAAGGAGGACCAGGAGACTGCCGAGGGCAGCCTGGGCCGGAGGGAGTAGGACGTGTGCCATGGGGGAGCAGAACCTGACCCGGGGGTCCCTGGTGGGCCCTGCAGCATCAAGCCCTTTGCGCTGCTTGGGCGGCAGGGCCAGGGGCACTATATGGCAGGGCACCCTGAACCCCAGCTCCTGGCCGTGCCAAGATAGGCAGGCCATGAACGAGGCTATGGCAGTAGAGACTCTTGCCCCAACTCACCGAGGCTGTCAGATTAGCTCACATCAGCCAGGGACTCCCTCGGAATTCATAGAAGAACGACAAAGCATGCCAGATGGGAAGAAACTCCATCCTGGAAAGAACACCAAGGAAGTGCCTGCAGCCAGTCACACTTCTTGCTTCAAGAATCCACAGCCAAGGAGCAGTGGGGGCTGCGGAAGGAGAATCCACAACTCTCTGGGCCAGGAGCTCTTAACCTGAGACTCACGTGTGGGCCTCAAGGCTCCAAGCAGATCCATGTGTGTGCACATGCGCGTGTCCACAGCTGGCATCAGATTTTACAAATGGGGCCATGATTTTAAAAGGTCAGCTTAAACCAGTAAGAGAACAGCCAGGGGAGCCAGAGTGTGCCCTGCTTCCCCGCCCCCCCACCTCCGCTGCCCCGGGAGGGCACGTGCCAGGCACTGAGGATGTGTGGGGTGGTGCTGAGGTCAGAAGGCATGCAGGAAGTGCACATTCATCCCTCCGCAAGCTGCTCCTTCCCAGACTGCTTCTCAGGCATGCAAGGGGCTCTTTCTGTCTGTTTCCATCTGGCCATGCACATGGACAAGGCTGTGAAGCCATACCCTCTTCCTGTTTGGATTCTGCCTGCCTCTGGCTCTCCAGGGCGCAGCCCTGAGAACTTGGAGAACTTGGAGGCAGCAGTGCTGTGTCCCTGTAGGGGAGATTGCCCCGAAGGCACAAAGGGACTGTCTGGAAAGCCTCGGAGGCAGGGAGCCTAGCAAAGGTGAAGTCGGTGGCATCTGTAGGGAACCACATGGTGCGGATCACACGCAGCAGTGGAGAAGCGAGTCCATCACATGCCTGGGTAGCTGCCGTGTTGGCCTAATGCACCACAGCCATGGTTCCCAGGGCCCCCCGAGGCAGAGTCGCCCACATGGGATTTTCCTCTCGCCTGGCCTTGCATAAACATCTCTCCCTCCCTCGCAGAGCGGTGAAGGCAGAGGCTTCTCCCACCCTGCCTCCCTCATTCCTCACCTGTGCAGAGCCGCAGAATCGGGGAGAGAGTGGCCTGGGGGCAAACAGGATGGGGAGCAGCCTGGGCGGGCAGCTGTGAGGGAAGCTGGCTGAGGGACACCACACTTTCCTGTCTCCCACCCCTGGGATCTCCTGTGTCTCCTCCTTTTGTATTTCCTGTCTCCACTCAGGGGAGTCTGCGGAGGTCCTGCTGGCTCTGGGGACAGGGATGTCAGACAGGCCTGTGGGCCCGCCGTACCCTGAGCCTGTGCAAAAAACTTCAAAGGACAGAGGAGGCCTCTGGGATGAGCCCTTTGTCAGAGACATGCCTTTCCTCCCGGGGCCTGGACATCTATGCTGCCAGAGAGGGTGCAGCCAGGCCTGGGGAGACCCAATCAGCCTTTAGGATCCTTAGCCATGCACAGTAATGTGTCAGTCTGAGGCCAAAGGTCACCCTAGGACTGACGTTTGCCCCTAAAACCCAGTCTTCCCTGACTTTGCCTGCCACGGGGCCCAATGCTGCTGGGATAAAACTGTTCATGTCGTAAGCCACGTTGGCTCACTCCTATAGTCCCAGCACTTTGGGAGGCTGAGGCAGATGGATCACCTGAGGTCAGGAGTTTGAGACCAGCCTGGCCAGCATGGTGAAACCCTGTCTCTACTGAAAATACAAAATTTAGCTGGGCGTAGTGGTGCGTGCCTGTAATCCCAGCTACTCGGCAGGCTGAGGCAGGAGAATCGCTTGAACCCAGCAGGTGGAGGTTGCAGAGAGCCGAGATCACACCACTGCACACTAGCCTGGGCAACAGAGCGAGACTACATCTCAAAAAAAATAAAACAAAAAAACTGTTCATGTCAGTATACCTTGCGGGGCTCAGTGGTCCAAGGTGTTTTTATCCCTGGCTCTAAAAATGGGTGATAATGACCTGTTCTTATTTGGTTTCATTCCTTGTAGCCCAGGACAGTGTATTGTAGCCAAATGTCAGCAGCATCTTCATGTCACCAGACAGAAACAAGTTCTAGCAGAAAGCCAGAAAGCCATTTTCCCCAGTAATCACGGCAACAATCATCATGGCTGCCAGCACTGGCTGAGGTCACGTTAGGCCCTGCCCTGCTCTGAGCACTCACGCGTGCTGGCTTTTTGGGTGAGCCCCTGGGGTCCTCACAGCAGCTCTGAGAGGCCAGCACTGTGTCATTCCCCACTTGTTTGGGCCAGGAGCCTGGCCCGAGAGCCCACACTCCTCACCCCACTCAGGAATCCCACCTGCGCCAGCACTGGAAGCTTCCACAGCCAGAGGGGAGGAGGAGAGGGGCCAGGCCATGGGCACAACCTGGCAGTGATGGGGGCATCTCTCCTCTCTTCACAGTGACTTCAGAGACCCCTTCCTGGCCTCAGGCCACGGCAATGCCTCATTTCTTGTCATTTGCTGCCCGCCACCACTTCCTCCAGCCACACCAGCCCCAGGAAAGCACCTGTTTCTCTTGAAGCCCCTTCCTCCCACTCACCCCTCCCAGCCTCAGGAAGCAGCAGTAGGGATCACGAGCACTGGGGTCAGAGGGATCTAGATTCACAGCCCTGCTTTGCCCATCCATCCCGTGACCTCGGACAAGGGTCCTACCTCACTGCTACTTCTTCCCTCTCTATAAACCAGGTGCTGGGGTGCCTGGGGGCTCTGTGAGCTCCCACATGGCAAGGGCTAGGCTAAATGCTCCCTGCATGTGAAGGGGGCCTTTGCTTGTGTCCTAGTTATTACAGGCCGGTGCAGAGGGCCCCTGTGGGAGGCTTCCCTGGAGATCCCAGCTTCTCCTGCCCCTCTGTTCCAACACACTTGCTTATCTCAGGCTGCCTGGGTGGGTGGTGAAGTTCACATCTGTTCCCTCCTGGCTGTGACCTCTTAGACCCCCAGCTGGAAGTGCATGCGGAGGCTCCTCAGCGTCGCCCAGTGCTGGGTGATTTGTGTCATCAGCTCAGTTTGAATAGCGTCATGGCAGGCCACACAGGCCAAGTTTACTTACCCCGGAATCCCTGGCACCAGGTGCCCAGTAAGGGTCAGTACCTATTTTTGAAAGTTTATTAAAATAATGGAAGGCAGGGGCACCAATCACCTGAGCCTGAGGCCCCCGGCACTGCTGCCCAGAATGGCATCCTCTCATACCCGTGCTGCCAGGCCCTCCCTTGTCCAGTTGGAAGCCCCAGCAGTCCAGCCCCCCTGCTCCACCAGCAGGGGGTGCCTTCCTCCACACCCTCTCCTCGCTGCCTTTGGCCCCAGCCCTCACCCTGCAGCAATAGCTCTTTCCCGGTGGCAGACTGCTATATGACCTCTCCACTGCCGCGTCAGCTGGAAGTCCCCACTGGGCCCTGCTGCATCCCATCGGCTTCTCTCTCGCTCTGACCTGAGCAGCTGCAAAGTCTCCTGGCTATGATTGATGCCTCCGGCGCTCCTGTCCTGCCGACCCAGGCCGGCCCACAGATGAGAAAGTGATTGCCCCTTGAGTGGGTTCCCGAGTTGGTGCCATTGCGGCGGCCTTTGTCTACGTAGCTGTGCACCCCCTCCAGTTCTGCAGACTCTACACCCCCAAGACCCTGCTCAGCCTCCCTTTCTCCCAGCCACTTGATTCTTGGGGGAAACTGCCCCTTCCCCACCCTGTCCTCTTGGTTCCATACCAGCCTCTCCATCACCCACCCCTTCTGTGGACCACTTCCTGTGCCAAGCACGACTTGATGCTCTTTAGCCCTGCCTGGTTCACAGAAGAGGAGCTGGCCTCGGAGAAGGTGGTGCTGCCTCCCCTGAGCGGCCTCTGGCCCTTCCCTTGTATCCTCCAGGCAGCAGATCTTGAGCCCACAACGGGCTGTCCGGGCACATGGACCCCAACCCCAGCAGGGAGGGAGGCCGGAGTGGAGCAGGGACCCTGCTGGGCCTGAACTGGGTGGCTGACGTTTTCACATCTGGTTCTGTTGAACTGTAACTCGCGTTATGTACTGAAGCCAGGGTTATTTTTATCCTGACATGTGAGGTTTCTTCACGTCATAACCACAAAACTCAATCCAAAACATCCCGGGGCAGGTTGTTTGTGAGACGTTCTGTGGATTCTCATGTCACCACATCAGGTTTCACTTAGTAACATCTGCAGGGCTGGCTCCCCGGCCGCCCACCCCGCCAGCCTGGGTTTCTGTGTGGAGTGCGTCTCTGTGCCCCTGGCCAGCCGCCGGTCACGTGCACTTCCTGCCAGGGGCTGGCAGGCTCCTCACTTGCCCAAACCAGAAATACAAGGCACAGTGGCCTTCAGCTGAGGGATGGCACTCTCCCTCATGCTCCTGCCCTCTGCAGGATTGGGGAATGGAAATCCCACTCTCCTGGGCCCCTCAAAGAGAGCCTGTCTCCCGAGACACACAGCCGGGTTGTGGGCCCCCCTCTCCCTCGCCCCCTGCTGCAGCAGCTGCCCACCATCTACAGGGGGCTGTGCCTCAGTGGCACCCCTGAGTAAAACCGCTGAGGTCCTCGGAGCGCAGTGTTGGAGGGCGTGCCCTGAGCTGCCCCGTCCCGGCTCCCACTTTCCTCATGCGCCTGCAGCACCCAGCCCAGGACCCTGCTTACAAGAGCAGATGAGCCAGAGCCGGAGGTGGGCGGAAGAGCAGGCAGCAGTGAGGCGGAAATCAGCATACTTGAGGGGCCCATTTCTCCTGTAGTCACCCTCCCGGGGTGAGCTTGTTCTCTCTCCACCCATCTCCTCCTCCTGAGCCTGCAGCCCTGCCTCAGAGAGCATCTCAAGCCAAAGGGCAGCTCAGATCAACAGAGTGGCTGGGGGCGATGGGGGCCACTGAGGCTGGGAAAGAGCGAGCAGCCCCCACCCTGTCCTGCTGAGCACTGAGGCCTTTCCCATCCCTGTCCAGCCCGCCCTCCCTGCCCCTTCAAGTGTGGCCCCTTTCCCCACCTCCCCTGCTGGGAAAAGACTGCCCTGCTCAAACCTGTGGTCTCAATGCAGCCCCTCCCAAGGCTCCCAACCCTGTCTTGGGGAGGGCAGAAAGTCTTTAAGCCTTGGGAGCACTGTGAGGGCTGAGCTGCACTCAGCTGAGGATGTGAATCGCTTGCTGCGGCTTCTCGCAGCTGTGACACTGCCCTCCTCCTCCCTTCCACTAAGGGCCTCAGCTCCAGGGTCCAAGGGGCAGCCTGGACATTGAGAGTCCATTTTGGGTCCACACTAGGGGCTGTGGCTAAGGAGTTCAGAGTTGTGTCCAGAGCAGCCCAGCCCTTCTCTTCTGCCATCTTTAGCCAGACTGTCAGCGGAGAGATGGGCTGATCTCCCTCCCCAGATGTGTGGGGGTCACAGGTGGCCCCCCTTCTTCCTCAGAGCATCCTGATAGAGCACTGTGAATTTGTGCCAGAAATGAAATCTCCCCACTCAGACATTTCAGACCAGCCCCCAGACATCCATTCTGAGACTCAGAATGAGAACGGTCTGCCCTGCGCAGTGCTCTGCGCTATGGGACGCTTGCTAATAAAAAGGAGCCCCCGTGTACTGAGTGCAGACTGTGCGGCAGGCTCCGGACCCGGCACATTACATGTTTTTATCTCATTTAATAGGGGCTCTTACTGCACTCACTTTACAGATGAGGAAACTGAGGCTTAAACACCATGCTCAGTGCTTCCTACTGCCCCTGTGAGGCTGGAACGGCCCCGCACCTCTCCCCACTCCAAACAAGCACCTGGGAGAAGCTTGCAGTGAACAGGGTGCCTCCAGTGTGGGCAGCATGAAGCCAGTGCCCTCCAGCCAGGCCACCACGGCCTACCAAATTCATCTCCTGAGGGAGGGAACAGTGAGGCAGGGCTGTCTCAACAGCTGTCTCTGCAGCCACCTCTTTAGAGATCAGCCCCCAGCTGGGCCTGGGGTAACTCGATCTATAAGAATGTGACACTTGATTCTGCAAACAGCCCCTTTGGGCCAGGGAGCAGAGACTCTTTGCCATTCCAGAGTCACTCAGGACCTCCCAAGCCAGGCTGATTCAGGCAGGGACCCAGCACAATGCAGTCCAAACAAGAAGTGGAATGAGGCCTTTCCTTGAACTGGCCTTCTCACTCAGGGCTCCTTCATGCCGCTCACGCGAGCTGTCTAGGAGGTTCTTGGGATTGAGGATGCTACAGTTTGGAGGTGTGGCTCTTGGTAAGGAATCCCTTATAGAGTGATTCACAGCTGGGAAAAACAGCACAGAAAAACGCCTTTTCTAGACCCAGCCATCTCCCCGGCAGGACCATGAGAGGACATACAGGAAGTCTGAGCTCAGCAAGAAAGACGGAGCTCCTGGGAGGAGAGTCTTGCTGCTGCTTCCTGCCCGCTGGCATCAAATACAGTCAGTCTGTCCAGACGCCTCCGTGAGATTCACTTGGAATACTCTGGATGGTTCTGCACATTCTTGTTTTGTGCTTTGGGCTGATGCTTCTGGGAACATCTGATGCTTCTGGCCAAGTTTGGTTCCCAGATCCTCCACATCCTGCCTATCTTGTGCTTGTGCCTGGCCATTTCCTCACTGGTCCAGGGAGAAAGTGATGGCTCCCACGCAACTTCTGGACCAGAAAGGGGCCAGCCTGGAAAATGATGGTCCCAGATGCCTCTGTTGGCCGCTCTGCATCCCCCAGTGTCCTCCCTGGGTTTCCAGAGAGCTGCGGCCAGGTGCTGGCTCCATAGCTCTTCACAGCGTCATTTCCTGCATCCTCAGTCTCAGCTTGGCAGGACCTGGGTTTCCGTCTTTATGCCATCTTCTGCCCTCCTGCATAGCAAGGCACCACCTCCTAATCTGTGAGCCCCAAACATGTCCGAACATTAGTGCCGAAGAGACAGGCAGCCTGGCAGAGCTGCAAAGGACATGGGCTCTGAAGACCAGCTGCCTGGGTCAGCAACTCTAGCACTCGCCAGCTATGTGACTTTGGATAATCCTTACCCAAATTCACAGCTCCTCTGTGTATATAATGGGAATGGTAATGGTGCATATTTTTCAAGTGTTTTTTTTTTTTGTTTCTTTGTTGGTTGGTTTTTAGGGTGTTAGATACTATGTGTGAAGGGTTTAGGCAGGTCAAGCACATAGTAGGTGCTCAATAAATGGTAGCTATGAATTGGCTATTAAGATATCATGTTATACTGGAACAATTAGATATCCATATGCAAAAGGATTTAGACCCTTTCCTCACACTGTATATAAAAAGTAACTCAAAATAGACCAGAGACCTAAAATACATCAGCAAATCTTTATGACCTTAGATTAGGTAATTTCATAGCTATGACACCAAAGGCACAAGCAACCAAAGAAAAAATAGACACATTGGGCTTAATCAGAGTTAAAAATTTTGTGCTTCAAAAAAATTTTTTTAATAAAAAGAGGCTGGGCACAGTGGCTAATACCTATAATCCCAACACTTTGGGAGGCCAAGGCAGAAGGGTCCCTTGGGCCCAGGAGTTTGAGACTAGCCTGGGCAACATAGGGAGACCCCATCTCAAAGAAAAAATTTAGCTGGGTGTGATGGCACAAGCCTGTAGTCCTAGCTACTTGAGAGGCTGAGGCGGGAGGATTGCTCGAGCCCAGGAGTTTGAGGCTGCAGTGAACTGTAATCACTTCAGTGCACTACAGCCTGGGCAACAGAGCAAGACACTGTTTATTAGGCTGTTCTTGCATTACTATAAAAAAATACATGGCTGGGCGCAGTGGCTCACACTTGTAATCCCAGCACTTTGGGAGGCCAAGGCAGGCAGATCACGAGATCAGGAGATTGAGACCATCCTGGCTAACATGGTGAAACCCCACCTCTACTAAAAATAGAAAAAATTAGTCAGGTCTGGTGGCACACGCCTGTAGTCCCAGCTACTTGGGAGGCTGATGCAGGAGAATTGCTTGAACCCGGGCGGAGGTTGCAGTGAGCCAAGACCGTGCCATTGTACTCAAGCCTGGGAGACAAAGCAAGACTCTGTCTCAAAAACAAAAACAAAAACAAAAAGACCTGATTGAGAGTAGGTAATTTATAAAGAGATTTAATTGGCTTACAGTTCTGCAGGCTTTATAGAAAGCATGGTGTTAGCATCTGCTTGGTTCCTGAGGCGGCCTCAGGAAGTTTACAATCATAGTGGAAGGCAAAGGGGCAGCAGGCAGAGGAGGCCAAAGCAGGAGCAAGAGAGTAAGAGGAAGGTGCCCCACGCTTTTAAACAGCCAGATCTCAGCAGAACTTGCTGTCTCAAAGTAACACTAAGGGGATGGTGCTAACCCATTCATGAGAAATCCACCCCCATCATCCAGTAACCTCCCACCAGGCCCCACTTCCAACACTAGCAATTAAATTTCAACATGAGATTTGGGTGGGGACAAATAATCAAACTATAGTATCACCCTGTCTCAAAAAAAAAAAATCAACAGAATGGGAGAAAATACCAGCTGATGAATGGACAAACAAAATATAGAATAGCCGTATTCCATATTTTGGAATATAAAGTGGAATATTATTCAACCCTAAAAATGAGTACAGAACTGATACATACTACAACATAGATGAACCTTGAAAACGTGCTGAGTGAAAAAAGCCACCTACTGCTTAGTTCTATTTATAGGAAACATCCAGAATAGGCAAATCCATAGAGACGGAAGGTAGATGAGTGATCGCTAGGGGCCATGGAAGTGAGAATGGTGAATGACTGCTAATCAGTATGGGGTTCCTTTTGGGAGTTGATAAAAATGTTCTGAAATTAGTGGTGATGGCTGCACAACTTTGTGAATGTCCTGAAAACTACTGAATTGCACACTTTAAAAGGATTAACCTTATGGTATATGGATGATATCTCAATAAAGCTGTTTTCTTTTTAAAGATGTCCTGCCTTGGGCCGGGTGTGGTGGCTCACACCTGTAATCCCAGCACTTTGGGAGGCCAAGGCAGGTGGATCACCTGAGGTCAGGAGTTCGAGACCAGCTTGGCCAACATGGTGAAACCCCACCTCTACTAAAAAAAAAAATTACAAAAATTAACTGGGCGTGGTGGCGCATGCCTGTAATCTCAGCACTCAAGAGGCTGGGACAAGAGGATAGCTTGAATCCAGGAGGCAGAGGTTGCAGTGAGCCAAGATCACACCACTGCACTCCAGCCTGGGCAACAAACCAAGACTCAGTCTTTAAAAAAAAAAAAAAAAATTCCTGCCTCAGGCACAGTGAGTGAGGATCTCTTCCATCCCTTGGTAACTCCTTTCACAGAGCTGTGGAGGTTGGCATATATTAGAAGGGATGTCCAGGGAAGATACCAACGGGCATACAGATACGCTACCCCAGACCATCCAAGTATTCCATCAGCCTTTCCCTTGTCCCCTTGGTGCTGGGTACTTTACCAAGGGGCGTGTGTGCAAGGGAGGTCTGGAAGGGATGGTGGTATCTGTACCTCGGTGTGTTTTCTAGCTGGGACACGCGTCAGAGACATTTGTGCTCCTGGTTAGAAAGTCACCTCAGGCTTTGAAAGTTTTCAGAGTTCTATCCTAAAAGAGCATCTTTGCCTGAGGATGAGGAAGAAAGAACTTTTGATTTCAAAAGTAAAGTTTAAAACACTTTGTAACATTTGTCGGTGTCTGCTGTCCGTAATCGAGTGGCTGTGCGCATCATTCCTTTTCCTCAGGTCAGATTAGGAAAGGAGCTTGGCTTTTGCCTCTTGTGGGTCCATCAGTTTTGTTGACCATTGAGCCACAATGACTTGACTCACTGACACAAGTACCTTACCCATTTATTCTCTTTGACTTCTTGTTTGTCCTTAATGGCCCAAATAGATCTTGAGTGTATTTCGTTTACTGGGATAATGAGTAGAGTTTGTTTTTTTAAAAAAATCATGGCACCTAGCAGGGTCTTATACACATGAGATGTTCACTAAGTGGTTTAGGCTTGGATGAAAGGGTGGACAGTAATGGGATTTTTTTTTTTCAAGTTACGAGTAGGACTTTAACTAGTGGGCATTTTTGCAGTAAGCCAAGTTGTATTTGCTTGTGCAGACTTGCCTTTTTCTCTGTTGCTCCATGGCTCTTGATTAGAGATTTTCCCTCATCTTGTTATAACACCCCCCACACACATCTTTTTGGCATTTATAGTTGTTTATATTCTGTGTGGATCTCATCACCCTGTGGACACATAATCAGAATAAATGCTGGCTCTATCCCTTTCTCTACAGGTACCAAAGGCTTAGAATGTTCTCCTTCAACTCCCACCATGAATTCTTACTTTTATAAGTTCATGATCAACCTTCTCAAGAGATTCAGCAGCGAACGGAAGCTCCTGGAGGTCAGAGGCCCTTTCATCATCAGGTCAGCCTTGGCGGCGCGCTTTCTCCTCTTCCTCCCACGGCCCCGGCTTTTCACTTTCACGCCATTCAAGTGTCAAAGCAGCCACCTTCTCTTTCCCTTCTCTCTCCTCCTTTTCCTGACCTTTGGATCTGTAAGAAATGAAGAAGGTTGCCCCTTCATACTGGTTGCTGATGCTTCTGACATGAAACAGACAGGTCAGTGTTGATGTTTTTCCGCACAACTGAATTCATTTTTTGCTTCCTGAGTTACTATCTTCCCCTGAGGTGGAACAGCCTCTTATTCAATGCCATTGTCAGGCTTTTGGAGAGGAAAGGAGGTGAGCCAGATGGCGTGGGACATGGGGCTGTGCTCCAGGCCCAGCCCCCAGTGCGGGATTTAGCCAGGCTTGGTGGAGCCAGGCTCCTGAGTCATGTGAGCCCAGCCCAGGATGGTGCCAGGGCACCAGCCCCAGAGGCTGGAGGCATCTAGAACTGTCATCACCAGCAGCATGGCTGGGGCTGGTCTTTTGCCTCCAACTCAGCTCCAAGAAGTAGCAGAAGAGTGGCCCAGTGTCACCCTCAACCTGGTGAAAGCTAGAGCAGGGCACAAATTCCTCCAGCTTCTACACCAAAGCCAGGTGGAGGAGATTTCTAGAGTAGTCCGTATGGCCCTAGGTGCTGTCCAGCCGTGGTTCTCAGCCCTGCAGGTTAGATCACTGGAGAGGCTTTAAAAAAAGATGCCGTATACAAAATTAGCCAGGTGTGGTGGTACATGCCTGTAATCCCAGCTACTCAAGAGGCTGAGACACACAAATCGCCTGAACCCGGGAGGTGGACGTTGCAGTGAGCCGAGATCACACCACTGCACTCCAGCCTGGGCGAAAGAGCAAGACTCTGTCTCCAAAAAAAAAAAAAAAAAAAAGCCTGGGCCTCCCTCTGATGAGTGAAATCGGAACCCCTGGGGTGATGGGGTTATTAAAGTGGTCTGGGGTGCTTGGGGACTGAGTAGACTACCGACTACCATGGTCTGGGGGTCAGGAGTTGAAGGAGTCCCGGCAGGGGCCTAGGCTGTATGGGGCTTCAAGGCAAGAAGGAGCCTGGGGAGCTCATCTTGCTGTAAACTAATAAGCAGCTTCAGCCTGTGGGCCACAGTGAGGATCAGAGACCTTACTCAGGGGTCAGCACGGAGGCACTGACAGGGCTTGAGCAGGGGATCAACGTGACTGGATTTCTGGCTTGAAAGACAACTGTTGCTGGGGCGAATGGGTTGGAGGGGCTGAGGTGGAGCCAGCTGGGAGGCTGTTGTCCAAGCAGAGACTGTGGCAGCTTGTGAGGGGGATGGGAAGCTGCAGCCGGATTCGAGAATGAGGATTCGAGACTGAGTAGGAAGTAGATTTGTCTGGTGACTGATGTGGAGAGAGTGAGGGGAGAGGGAGCTGGGAGTGTCAGGGTGTCCAGGCCTCTGGTTTGGGCAGCGGGTGGATGGTGATGCCAGTCCCCGAGGTGGGAGCCCCGGAAGAGTGGCAGGGAGTGAGGAGGGGGTGCATGTTTGAGTTTGAATTACTTTGGGGGCATCAAAAAGAAGGTATTGAAGAAGTAGTTTGCTGTACCAGGCTCTCCAAGGGGGTACCGAGGCCCAAGATACAATCTCGAAATTGATGGCATAGTCATTCATTCATTCATTCATTCAACAGATGTTTACTGAACACTAACTCTGTGCAAGGGACCATTCTAGATGGTTCTGCACTTGTGGAGCTTTCATTCTTAGGGAGTTCTTAAGAAGAGGTCGAGTGAGAGGGAAGGGGTCTGAGGCTGAACCCTACGTGTTCCAGACTGTAATGGTTGGGGAAAGAAGGAGAAGCCAGAAAAGGAGGCTATGACGAAGGGCCAGAGAGGTAAAGGAAGCGGCCAAGCAGGGAGATGGCAGGAGGCAGTGAGGGAGGTGAGACCCGGGGATGGTCTGCTGCGAGCCGCTGCAGGAGCCTGAATGCTGCTGGGGGAGTTGAGGGAGTGGAGCGTACAGGAGGTGACCGGCCAGCTCAGGAGCTGAGGTGGAGTTGAGGGCACCCTGGGGATGGGGCCGCAGAATTGAGTTGTGGGAGAGGACAGGCCTGCCTGACCAGAAAGACAAAGAGCAGGACCACAGTGGGGGACAGGGCTTCTGATGGTCTGGCCACCAAAAGGATGCCCCTGTGATAGTGGGGAGGCTGTCACCACCCTCTTGCTTCTCTGGGCTCTTCTAGAGCAGGGCTTCTCGAACTCAGCGCCGTTGGCATTGGAGCCGGATAGCTCTTCGGGATGGCAGCTGTCCTGCGCCCTGTAGGATGTCAGCAGCATCCCAGGCCTCTGCCCCCTGAATGCCAGTAGCACTTGCATTCACCCAGTTGGGACCGTCTGAAATGTCTCTAAACATTGCCAGAGGTCCCCTAGGGAGGAGAATCACCCCAGTTGAGAACCACCGTGTCAGAGAGACAGAAATGGATTCTTAACCTTCATTGGCCAAAAGAGGAAGATTTCCATGGTGTTTCTTCCCATCACGTTGGCCAGTTTCAGGTAGGGAATTGAGGTAGAGGTTAGCTATGGTGCAAGAGGCCCCCCCACCAGGAAAGCAGCGGAATGTTCCCACAAGAGTGACAGTTAACATCATGTGGTTTTCCAAATTGCAGAGGCATCAGTACTCATGATGAGCTCTCCTTGCCTGGACGACTTTCAGGGAGTCAGTGGAAGGAGAGGCCTTTGGAGGAGGAATCTATAGCTAGAGTCCCCTCTGGAGAACTGGGCTGAGGTGGGTTTTCCACCCTGTCTCAGCCCCACATGACCAAGACGCATGGCGAGAAGGAGTTTGGGGTAGTAACCAGCATCTCCAGGCTGCATGGAGCAGAAGTGCAGGCCCCATGGGCATGCTTGCATGCCCTCCCCACCCGCTCAGGGCCTGAGGCTCTGTGAAGCTGGAGGCCAGCCCACTGCCATGTTCCCAGGTGCAGACTCCAGGCCAGGGAGGCTTTGCTTGCTTTGCAGTGCATCTCCTGGGCTTCCTGGGCTCACGGGAATCGTCATTTTGCAGAAGGGAAAATAAGAGGAAGTAACGTGCCCACTGGGCTGGGCAGGAGCTGGGCTGCAAACTCCTGCACTCTGCTAATTCAGCAGCCGCCACTTTGTCCCTTCTGTGTGGGAGTGCAGAGCCTGGTGCCGTGAGAGGCCCTGAACATCCTGCGTGCCAGGACCACCTGAGGCCCAGCTCCTCAGCGTGCTCAGGAGCTGGGCCAGTGGGTCCTCCCTTCCCACCCTCCAGGGGCTCAGTATGGCGATCGCTTGCTCTTCTGGGGCTCAAACCTGCCATGGGCCACACTGGGTTCTCAGTGGAAATTGAGGCTGGCCTCCAGGCCTCACTCCCACCCGCACAGCCACAGAAGGTCTCTTAGCCATTGGCATCCCCACTAGAAGCCCAGTGGGCTGGGACAGAAGGAACCTTGTGGCTGGGCCTTTCACAGAGGACTGGGTCTCTCCTAGTCCTTCACCCGGTTTCTCCAGACTGCTGTCCCCCAAAAGCAGCACCCACACCTGTCAATGTGCATCCTGGCGGACAGCCACCTGGCCCAGCTGGTTCGGGAACCTGCTGCCCACTCTGCCAGCACACCAAGCCATTGTCAACCAGCTCCAGGGTTGCAGGCCCAGCCACCCAGTCTGGGGGCACACACAGCATCTGACATGGAAAAGGCCCTGCAAACATGTGGCTTCCTCCATCCTCCCCATGCTCCTGTGGGGGGCTGAGGCCGTTCCAAAGAGCTTTGTTGAGGTGGAGGGGGGTATCCACCTGCCCTCCTGCTTCTCCATTGCACTTCCTTTTCTCCTGCGATGACTTTAAAGAGGGGCATCGTTGGCTGGGTGCAGTGGCTCATGCCTGTAATCCCAGCACTTTGGGAGGCCGAGGTGTGCGGATCACGAGGTCAGGAGTTCAAGACCAGCCTGGCCAACATAGCGAAACCCCGTTTCTACTAAAAATATAAAAATTAGCCAGGCATGGTGGCACATGCCTATAATCCCAGCTACTCGGTAGACTGAGGCAGGAGGATCGCTTGAACCCAGGAGGCGGAGGTTGCAGTGAGCCAAGATCACACCACTGCACTCCAGCCTGCGCGACAGAGCAAGACTTCGTCTCAAAAAAATAAATAAAAATAAATAAATAAATAAAGAGAGGCATCGCGATGGTTCCGCAGATGCTGGCATGAAGCCACAGGCCTGATGAGGAGCACAATGATTTCTTAACCCCCTCTTTAGCTGTTAGGCAAACTCTAAATTGTTCTTCTCAGCCTCCAAGATTGCACACTGAGAAAGAAAGGAAAGAGATTCTTCTGGCCAGCAAGTGAAAAGCTGTTCTTTTGGCAGGAGTGTGTTTAGCTCTGGGACCTGGAGCGGCTGCTATAGAAAGACAGAGGCATCGGGAGTTCTTGAAGACACACATCTGGTGGGGGTTCTTGGCATTGAGGAAGATGCATGATTTCCCTAAAGACCCTGGGAGCGTTTCCTCTTCCCCAGGCAGCTTTCCCAGGCCGCACCTCCATGTCGGAGTCAGTGGGGGTGAGAACGGGGTACCCAAGCTCCAGCCAGGCTTGAGTGGGTTGGACTTCCTGTCGGTGTCCACACAGCCTCCTTTTCTGGTGGACATAACGGTTGAGATGCATGTCAAGGTGAAGCCAGTGGCTTTAAAACCTTCATTTTTTAGCCAGCTACTCTGGCTCCAGGCCCTTTCCTTAGCAGCAGGGAGTTGAGGCCAAGCTCACAGATAGAGCGAAGATGGCGACATGTGCGGTGGGGTGCTGTACCCCCACTCCCTCCACGGGACTTTGCAGGACTAAGGCAGATGAGCCTCCCGAGGCACTCATTTGGGGCTCAAACCCCAATTCCTCCCATTTTTAACTGTGTGACCTGTTTCCAAGGCCTTTCTGCTTTGTCTGTGACGCAGCGATGATAGTGCCTGCCGTGTCATAGTGTGGTGGGGTTATATAAATGGCGCATGTCTCAGCCCCAGTGCTGGCTGTGTCTGATAAAGCGGGGCTGTTGTTCAGCCTCCCCACAGGGCTTGTGCTTCCCAGGGTGGTCTGTGGAGGGGGAACCACACCCCTGAGGGGATGAAATCATGGCACCTTCCGTGCCGAGAGCTGGCTCCAGTGCACCGGCCCTGTTGCCCCAGTGCCCAGGGCACCCACCAGCGGCCCGGCCCGGCTCCGCTAAAACAACTCTGCCCGGAGTAGGTGTTGGTGTGCGTTGCCTTCCCCCGGCCTCTTCCCACCCTCCATGCTAATGCAGGCAGAACAAGCCCAGGCCTTGTCTCCCCGTGAACCATCCACTTATCCTCAGTAGAAAGGAGAGGAGGGAGAAAACCCAGCCTCTTTGATAAACTGTGATATGAACTCCAGCGTGACCCGACAGCTGTGATCTTTACAAGGCCTGCTTCTGTGCTGGGAAGCGAGCAAGTCTGAAGACAGTCGCTCTGCCTGCCAACACGGCCCTCCGGCCAGCCGCGCTTTGGCTTCAGCGACTGTGCATTTTTCCCCTCCTCTTCCTCCCTGCCGCCTTGCAGAGAGGACTGGTGGAGAATGCTTGCATCTGTAATGAGCCACTGTATGCGGTGAATGCCAGGGCCTGATCCGAACCGGCCCAGTTAATGGTAGATGAGGTCCGAGCCACCTCCCAGGAGAACAGGGCACTCCTAAGATGAGGCGGGCATTTGGAGAGGATGGGGCCCACAAGGGAAAGGAGGAAGCAGTCATGGGACTTCTTTCACGAGATCCTGACCCAGAGAAGCCCAGCAGCAAGGCTTCCGGTTCATTCTGGGCCTCCTCTCACCTCTGCTACAGACAGGCGTGGCAGCCTGTCCAGCTGAGCAAATGCTCAGTCCCTAATATGTGCCTCTGCTACTGCCCCTCCCCAGTGTCCTGGGTTTGCATAAGAGCCCTTGTGTTGGGAAGAGGGGGAATAGGTGGAGTGGGGAGCTGATTGGTCACTGAGGGGGTGGGGGGCCGGGCAGCCGCTAGAAACTGGACTTGTTTTTAATTGTGGGGCCTGGGGGAAGGGCCTGAGAAGAAACTCTCTTTCATGCCGTAATTGGGAAATTCCACTTTGCTGGCCTCGTGCATTCTGCCCTGTGGACAGGGCCCTTGGCTGGGGCCAAATCACCAAGGTGTCCAAGGCCACCGGCCGTCTGCACCACTGGCGCCCCTCCCAAGCCCAGCTCCCACATCAGGCTCTGTCATCCCCTGCAGCTGCCGAATCTCGAGTCCATTTGGCATCGGGACCCCCTCCTCACTCTGTGAGTCTTTGTGCGGTGCCCCCTCACCTGCCTGGAGGCATTGGCCGGGCCCCCAGAAGCCCATTGTGCTGGTGCTAATGGATGGCGAATTAGAGTGAAGTGGCCAGACCAGATCCCTGTTTGCCTCTGGCCCCAGCTCACAAGCTAGAGCTTCTAGGCGGCCCCACTCTTCCTCTCACCCTTTTAATGGATTGCGTTCATTTGTTCAGGATAAAAATAAATTGCTGTGGCAAATGTGCACCAACCTAAGTCTGTTTGCTAGAAGAGGCCCCGATCCACCTACCCAGAATGCAGATGGGTTTTGATCTTTCATAAGTCCGTAGCCGTATCGATTGGGCCCCCAGCTGAGGGGAGGGAGACAGGACATTGAACAGGCAGGAGGAATTCTTCCACAGAGCTTCCTGCTTCCCTCTCAGCAGAAGCTTCTCTTCTTGCTGGCTTGAGTTGTCTGTCCAGCTCCTTGTGTGAATCTTCTGGAGCTTTCCACAGCCGTTCCCCGCCCAGGGGCCAGGGCTGAAGTGTTTTTGTCGCCATGCAAGGGACGCAGAGGAGTGTGTGCAGCAGGAGCCGCTTTACACAACCGGCTCCCGGCTTCTCATCTCCTAATTAGAGACCCCTTCGCAATGGGAATGGCAGGGGGACCCAGGAGGCCCAAGAGGCCCAGTCTGACACACAGAAAAGACTGTTGGGAGAAAAAGAGTGCTGCCTTCCCAGGTGAAAAGATGACCTTGTGAGGTGCAAAGTTCAGGGAGCCCAGAGAGCCTGGCCCAGCCTGCATTCCATTGTTCCCTAGTCCATGGCAAAATGACCAGCGTCCTTGCACCTCACAGAACCATCGGAGGTTGTTCCCTGTTGACCCAGAAGTGGCTGGAGATGGAGTGGGGGGTGGTCCTGGCCTTGCTCTGCCTCCTCCAAGCAGTCCCCACAGTGTCATACACACTGGCACTCCCTGTAACAAGGGATGGCTTTTCTCCTGCAAAATGGATACCACATGTGGCAGGCCTTGCTAGACCAGGCTGGGATGAATTAGGTCTGACCTGGGGTATGAGGGGAGTAGAGGAAATGCTGGCCAGAGGGAGCCCTGCACAGTGTGCCTAGGGGGCCCAAGAGCCTCAAAGGGGTGGCATCTTGGTGTTTGCGGGGTCCACTGGGCTTTGAGCAGGGCTGGTGGGAGGAGACTAGAGGTCACAGGTGAACTTGGCAAGAGGTGGCCATGTGTCCTTCAGGGTGACCCCTGTCCCCACAGCCCAAGCAGCCATGCTCCCACTGAATCAGCGGTCACCCCCACTTCCAGGAGCCCCTGTGATGGAGGGGAGGACCTGGCAGCAGATTGGTGGGAAAGCTCCCCTCCTCGGTGGCCACCACATGGCACACGTGGTCAGACCCCTCATCAGGTTCACGCTGGCCCCTTGCCAGTCTTTCACTAAAAGCACGTTCTTTGTTGTCTGCACACCTGAGAAGCATCACCTCCCCCAGCCCCATAGCTCAGGCAACCAGCAGGGCTGGTAGGGTGATGGTCAGGAACAGTTTTCAGGGGCTGAGAACTTGATAATGGATTTCTTTCTGAAGCTTGAGAAGTTGTTTCTAGATGGGACCTGCAGTATTCTCTGGATCTCACTATTTAGACTTCACCTAAGGATGCCAGGAAACTTGGAAAGATTTGACATTGGTCACTCCAGCAGCTTCATTAATTAACAAGTAGCTAATGTGTACCATAATGTGGTATCATTTATTTATTTTTTGAGACAGGGTCTCACTCAGTCACCCAGGCTATGAAGGGTGACTGGGCTTCATAGCCAGTCACTGGGCTATGTGGAGTGCAGTGGCACAATCACGGCTCACCTCGCTGTGACCTCCTGCCTCAGCCTCTCAAGTAGCTGGGACTATAGGCACACACCACCATGCCTATTATTTTTTATTTTGGAGTAAGAGGAAGTCAGTTATGCATTTTTCTTGCACTTGGTAAATCTTTTTTTTTTTCTTTTGAGACAGGGTCTCACTCAGTCACCCAGAATCAAGTGCTGTGGTGCAATCTCAGCTCACTGCAACCTCCACCCCCCGGGTTCAAGCAGTTCTCATGCCTCAGCCTCCCGAGTAGCTGGAATTACAGGCGTGTACCACCTGTGTAATGCCT
Source organism: Homo sapiens (assembly GCF_000001405.40). Lineage (NCBI taxonomy): Eukaryota > Metazoa > Chordata > Mammalia > Primates > Hominidae > Homo > Homo sapiens. The sequence goes on along the minus strand of NC_000016.10, from coordinate 70,723,072 downwards.
GGCTAATTTTTGTATTTTTAGTAGAGATGGGGTTTCACCATGTTGGCCAGGTTGGTCTCAAACTCCTGACCTCAGGTGATCCACCCACCCCAGCCTCCCAAAGAGCTGAGATTACAGTCATGAGCCACCTCACCTGGCTACATTTTTTATTTTGTTGTAGAGATGGGGTCTCACTATGTTGCCCAGGCTGGTCTTGAACTCCTGGGCTCAAACCGTCCTCCTGTCTTGGCCTCTCAAAGTGCTAGGATTACAGGCATGAGCTACCGCAGTCAGTCAGTATCATTAAAAAATGCATATACAGTGGTAGGTTTGGAACTGGCCCCTAGAAGCCATTTTCCATCCTCTGCCTCCTTGGGCCCTGCCTGCATCTGAGCCAGGACAGACAAATGTGGGTGCCCTTTGTCTTCAGCGTATTTAAACACCGAGTGTGTCTTGTCCATCGTTGTAGAATGCGTTTCTCAGGAAGCTCTTTCTCTTGTCCCGGTGTCCTTTCAGCGTGTTTCCCTGGGTTGCCCTTGGACAGCCCCGTGCGCTTCTCCCTTCTCTCTCCGCCTGCGATTTAGCAGAGTCACGAAGATCACAGAACCCCCACAACCCTGGCCCCGTCACAGAAACACACCCAAAAGGGTTTCTGCTGCATGCGGTTTGTGAAAGGCCGCCCAGACCAGGCACCTCTTCCATGGGGAAGGAGAGAGCTCCTGTCTCTGAGCAGGGGTGATGTGGCCCTCGGAGGGGCCTGGCCTGGGGGACCCATGGCACAGAATTCCGCCTCAGATGGCACTCGCCACCCTGCAAGGGAGCATGCAGTGCCCGGGGAAGAGTCCTGGATGGGCCAAGTCCACTTCATAGCCCAGGCGGGGATGGCCACCAAAGCGGCTCTTGGGATCTGAGTGGATGAGGGAGTTTTCTGTAGTTCAGGGCTCAGATGCAGTGAGTCCCAGGAGAGTGGGGGCCTTGGGTCATTTGCCGTTGTCCTCGTCATTGTTCCATCTTTTAAAGGCACCTGTGGCACCTGAGCATCTGCCCTCGTCCCCAGTCCTAGGTTCTCAACTGTGGCATTGGGAGGTGATCTGCAGGGTACTGCATAGCCATCCAAAGACCCCAGAGCTGAGGTGCCCTCCACCGGGCCTGGGGTCCTGTGCTCCTGTGCTGTGGGGAAAGAGAGAGTGATGGCCTGATGGTGAGACTGATGTGGGGGGACACGCCTGCCATGAGCACCATCACACAGGCCCAGAGGACACGTGCTATCCAGGACTGGCACCATGGGATTCACCTAACCCTGTCTGCAGAGCAGCGCCAGATCCGCCAGCCCGCAATCCGCAGCTGGAGGGGCCTGGAGGGTTCGTGTTCTGCAGCCCAGAGAGGCACAATGGCTGTCCCATGCAGCAGACGGGGACAGAGCTGAGACGAGAGCCACGTCTCCTGATCTCCACACACCAGGACAGGACCTCAGACCTGGCAGCCAGGGGCTCAGCCTCATTAGAGAGAAGCCGGGCCCTCCCATGGGGTCGCCATCCTACCCAGGGTTATTTAGCCTGAGGAAAATCCCCACAGAGACCTCTCCTGATGTGACGCCATCCTTGTCCTCCTCTTCCTTCTCTTCTCCTCCTCTGCTTCCTCTTCCTTCCTCCCCCTCGTCTTTCTCGTCCTCATCCTCCTTTTTCCTTCCCCACCTCCTCCTCTTCCTCTTCTTTCTCCTCCTCTTCCTCGGCTTCCTGTTTCTCCTCTTCCCTTCCTCCCATCCCCATCCCCAGGGCTCTCATCCCTGCCCAGGATGGCTCCCACTGACTCCACCCACTCAGGCAGAGGTGAAGCACCAAGTCAATCTATACGTCCTTTCTGGCTTCCTTCTAGGCCCCAGCCCCACCATGCCGGCCTGTCCCTTATTCTGGCCCACTTCTGGTCTGTAGCCGGCATACTCTCCCAGGAGCTCCCTGGCACTTTGACGGTGAACATCTCTCCAGGTCTGAATCTCCCTTTTGACTCTTGCTCAATAGGACATGTGTCACCCCCTCTTCTCAGGGATGTGTTTTTCCCCTGGCTTATCGCAGTGGCTCGCATCATCCACTTTGGCCTCTTTGAAGCCAAGCTGAGATGATTCAAGTGCACTCAAGTCAGCGCTCATTTTTTCTGGTCCTCCACCAGTCTGTTTTGAGCCCCGTCTCTCACTTTCCTTTTTCGCAAGCTGCTTCCTTAAGTGCTAAGTTTTGTGTCTCTTTATTCCCTCAGAAGGGGTGTGACCTGCCCCGGCCCCAGTCTTGAGCTCCAGCTCCAGACCACATGGGCGGATAGCCCCAACATGGGGCCATCGGGGCCTCCTCAGTACCCCAGGAGAGCATTTGCTTCCACCTGATTGTGGCACTTGTGTCTCCGTTTCACCATCCACCTCGTCATCAGTAAACCTGTGTCCTCAGATGGGCCCTTCTGCCCCCAGGCTTGCTATTTGCATATCCACTCCTTTCCCTCTGAAGGAAGAACAGTCATCCAAACTTGACAACTCCCAGCCCTTCCCACTGCTTCAGAGAGAAAGGTGCCTTGGAAGCTCCACCGTGCCCGAGACACTGTCTTGTTTTCAGCTTGGTCTTGCCGTCTCCCCGGGAAGCGTTCTCCCTTTCTTACCACATAACACATGCTTCAGCACCCCAGATGTGTCTTCTTTCCTCGTCCTGATCAAAGCGGTGTGGCAGCCTCAACTCCCTCCAGGCTCGATGCCTGGATGTCTTTGGTGACTGTAAATTTAAAGAACGTACTATTTGAAAGTGCACAAATCATGAGTGTGCTCTTGTAAATTTTCACTAACTGTGACACCAGGGAATGAGCCCTCTGATCAAGAAATAGAACATTTCCAGCACCAGAGAGGTCACTTTCACGTCTCCTGCAAGTGACAGCCCCTCCCCGCCTCCCTCAAGTACTGACTCCAACACAAGAGGTTCATCTTGCCTGGTTTTGAGCTTCATATAAATGGAACCGTACAGCTGGTGCTCTTTTCACAAAGCCTGGCTTCTTTGGATCCACATTGGGTTTGTGAGATTCGTCTGTGTTGGATGTCACAGTAGTTCACATTTCCATGGAATATTCTGTATGACGATACCGTGATTTATTTATCTCTTCTAGTATTGATGGGCATGGGGGTTATTTTCGGTTTGACACTATTATGGATAATGCTTTCTTATGTGCCTTTTGATAACCATATAGACACATTTCTATTAGGTATATACCTAGGAATTGCTGGATTGGCAAGCAGACATACCATGGGCTTAGGGAGGTACTGTCCAAAGTGCTTGTGCCAGCTTCCACTCCCGTCAGCATTGTGGGAGAGTTCCAGTTGCTCCACGTCCTCACCAACACTTGGTATCATCAGTCTTTGATTTTAGCCATTCTGATTAGGGGTACAGTAGTATCATCTTGTGGTTTTAATATGCATTTCCCTAAAGACTAATGAAGTTGAACAACTTTTCATAGCTTAGTGGCCTTTTGGATATCCTCTTTTGTGACGAGTCTGTTCAAGTCTCATTTTCCCATTGAGTTTTTGGTGTTTTTCTTATTGATTTGTGGAAGTCCTTTGTATATTCTGAATCTGAGTCTTTCTCAGTTGTATATACTGTCATTATCTTCTCCTACTCTGTGGCATGCCTTATCACTCCCTTAATGATGTCCTTTGATGAACAGACATACTTTATTTTTAATCTAGTCCAGGTAATCAATTTTTCTTTACAGTTAGCATTTTTTTTGTTTTGTGATGCTTTTTCGGGGAATTAGGAGCTCATGGAAACATATCCATGAAGCCGCCTGTTTCTGAGTGATGATTGTTCCGCATTCCCAGTAAGCGGATGCTGAGCATGATCCACCTGGAATCGAGAGGTGTTTTTTCTTAATTCTTGACAGGGTCTTGGAAACCAGCTAGTCCAGCCTGTTTGTGCTTTGTAAAAGCAAAGTTTCCTAGCCATCCTGCCAGCCCTCCCGACCTGCCAGAATCCAAGGGGCTTCTGCGGCAGCCAGGCCAGCGGTGGTCTGCAGCCTGGAGCTGGGAACCACTAATCTTACTGTATTGGGCAGCACCCTTTGGGTGGCATGTGGTAGGAACCCAGGTCAAAGGCACCAAAATGAGCAAAGGAACTTCACTGGCCTCTGTATCCAGACCAAGACCAGGGTCAGCAAGATCTCTGCAGTCTTTGTTTGAGGTCAGCCATGCTGTTTTGGTCTCTTCCAAGTGGCAGAGACACGGCCACCACATCGCCTGGGCATTGCATCCCAGCCAGTTATGATCCAGAGGGAAGCTCTGATTGGCCCAGACAGGGCCAGTGGCAGGGAGGTGGGGCTGAGGGGTGCTGTGAGTGGCAGCCCTAACAGAACCCCACGTGGAGTTGGGGAGCAACAGCACACCTAAGGAAAGGGGTCACTCTTCCCACGAGATGCTGAGCCAGGAGAACCACAGGGGCTGGCCATGTGGCTGCCTTCCCAAGCACAGTTTTCTTTGTTTTTTTGTTTTTTTTTTTTTTAAAAAGGAGTCTCATTCTGTCACCCAGACTGGAGTGCAGTGGCGCAATCTTGTCTCACTGCAAGCTCTGCCTCCTGGGTTCATGCCATTCTCCCCTGCCTCAGCCTCCCGAGTAGTTGGGACTACAGGCGCCCACGACCACACCCGGCTAATTTTTTGTATTTTTAGTAGAGACGGGGTTTCACCATGTTAGCCAGGATGGTCTCAATCTCCTGACCCCGTGATCCGCCCGCCTTGGCCTCCCAAAGTGCTGGGATTACAGGCGTGAGCCACCGCACCCAGCCCCAAGCACAGTTTTCTTAAAAGAGAAATGCAGACGGGGATCATCACTATCTCCTCCTAATCCCTGTGAGACTGAGTGACGAAGCATATGGAAAGTGCTTAGGAGACAGCCTGGCACCTAGTAACTTGTGCACTCAGTACCAGAAGCAACTAGTAGATAACTGTGAGGAGCCGAGGAGCTCCCGGGGTGGGCAGTGGCTGGTCACAGAGCCAGGCTTGGCCCAACTGCTCCCTCGGGCTCAGCTCCTGGAACGCAGGTGTTCTGGGGTTGACTCACTTTCTCCTGTTTCTAGAGAAGAGTAAGAGAGAAAGTTATAGAGTCATTCAGATGAATACTCAAGGCCGGGCGCGGTGGCTCATGCCAGTAATCCCACACTTTGGGAGGCCAAGGCAGGCAGATCACTTGAGCCCAGGAGTGCAAGACCAGCCTGAGCAACATGGTGAAACCCTTGCCGCCCTACAAAAAAAGAGAAATATAATTAACTGAGCATGGTGGCATGCGCCTGTGGTCTCAGCTACTCAGGAGGCTGAGGCGAGAGGGAGGCTTAAGCAGAGGTTGCAGTGAGCTGAGATCGTGCCACTGCACTCCAGCCTGGGTGACAGAGTGAGACCCTGTCTCAAAAAAAAGAAAAAGAAAAAAATGAATACTCAAACCCCAGCACTCTCCCGTCTTCTGTCCCCCAACCCACCCAGCAACTAGCTCTTGTCCAGTTCTGTGCAGTCAGGACTCTGGACGGCACATGGCAGAAAACCAATTCTCACCCTTACAGGAAGAAAAACAAAGGTATCAATACTATTCAGTGTGCCGATCTATATCCGGAAAATACATTCTATACTTTTTTAAAAAAAGAAAAATAAAGGTAGTGTGCAGGCAGAGGCGAGGATGGGCTCATTTAAAACTAGAAGTTCAAGGCTCAGGCCACCTCCTGTCCTCAAGTCCTCCTCTCCCCCGCCACAGCTGGCTCTTCCTCCTCCATCTGCCCCATTAGTGGACAGGCCACCCGCTTTGTGGCCAGGTGGCTCGCTCCGGCCCTCTCGGCACCCCAGCCTTCAGCACCTGTCCTGGGCTCATGTCCCATGGGACCCATCAGTGTGGCCAGAGTGCGCTGGTGCTGATTGCCCTGAAAAGGGTCGGGTGCCCACCCTCAGACACAGGAGCAGGTGTCATGGGCCGTCATGGTTCTGGAACCAGAATCCAAGGCCATGGACATCAGGAGGCAGAGCCAACAATGGTGTGGACCTGGTGGTCTGGGTTTAAATGCTCACAGAGGAGGAGTGTGAAGTAGGCCCTACCAAGGGCCACCATGGGGGTAACTGAAGGAGTGACTTTTTCACCTCCAAGCAGCCAACTCCTTCCTTCCTGCAGGAAAGTGGGAGGGTGAAGCTGTATATGTGACCCAGTGACCCTCCAGATCCACAGTGGGAGCAGGCAGTGAGGAGGTGGTGGCCAGGTATGGCCTCCAGCTGATTCCTCCTTTGTGGCCTCCTTCCGCCAACAGCACTATTTCTGGAAGCATCCATGCAGGCAGAGCGGATGGGTCTTCTACCCTTTGTCGCGTGTGGAATTGGGACGCAGGCCCAGCACCTCATACCAGGGCCCGCTTGGGGCCCTGTCTCCATACATGTGACCCAGGCCTGGGTAGCCGCAGGGCCAAAACTGATCAGAGTCCCAGAGAGTCTCAGTCAGGGAGAAGCCAGGAGGGACCTTATGGGCCAGTTGGGTTCTTTCATACAGAAAGAAACTGAGGCTTTGATTTCTCCTGTAAATATTTACTGCCTGCTGCCTTTGTACGGAGGAGGGCCTGGGCCAGGCCAACATGGGCCCAGCCTCCACAGACCGGGGAGAAGGTATTTCAGGGAGATGGGAACATCTTATAGGGGCTGGACAAGAGCACTGGGGAGTTCATAAGGAGAGAGCTCCCTGGCTGGGGAACAGGGGTCAAAGATTCACTCACTCCACACAGAGGGGCATTCCGCAAATATTCCTGAGTGCCTGGGATGTGCCAGGCCCCATGCCAGCTGTGGCATGGCTCACGCCTCCCCCGGGGCTGCAGCCTCATGGGAGGGGCCCACAGGGACAAGTAACAAAGAAACAGGTGACCTGGTCTTGTGATCCATGCTCTGAAGAAAACACTGGGGGAGGTGGAGGGGGGTCCTCAGGTCAGGCCTGTGAGAAGGGGGGTGCCCCACAGCGTCAGTAGAGCCAGGAAGCTGTGACCTGGATCTGAGGTTTTCTGAAAGCATAAAAGTGCCCTAGTTTTCCCCTCTCCTCAGGCTCCGCTGAAGCTATGCCAAGAATTGGCTTTTAAAGGCTGCCTGAAATGTGGTTTGGAGCCAAAAATCTATAGAGCCAGCGCATTTGTGACCTTGTTGAAAATGCTTACTGAGGAAAAACAAGGGGGTGGGATTTGGGATTTTCTTTTTCCCTTGTAAAATTTAAAAATACATGTATCTGTCTGGTCTGTCCCCACCCCTTCTCTATCCCGCCTGCAGGCCCTCACCTTGGCCCGACAGCCCCGACTCCACCGCATACGCGTCTTCCATTAGCCCACACCTCCCCCATTCCCAATCCCTGGCCATCTCCCATGCATCAGTAATGAAAAATACCAAGTGGGTAAAAATAAGGAGCCCGGTTATAGCCCTGGAAATTAGGCCACAGCTGTCAGGCCGGGCAAGAGCGCTCGCCTCTCTGAGAATGGAACCGCCGGGAGCAAGAGCTCGGCCCCCTCCCTGCAAGGGTAGATCAGAGTTTCACCCAGGGGGCGGCAGGGCGCTGCTGCTGTGCTGGGCAGGCAGGGGAGCCAGGAAGCGCCATGTATCACTGAGCAACCCTGTCCTGGGTGTCCGTCAGTGCCTGGCACAGTGCCCACCAGTGGGAACACCGCAGTGGGCAGAGCTAGTCCCTGCCCGCCAGGGTTAGTCACGATTGCAAGCATAGCATCGCACAGTGGTGATCCTTGGTGAAACAGATGTGGGGGAGGGGGTGCCCAGCCTGTTGGGGGAGTCTGGGAAAGCTTCTGAAACGTGACATCTAAGCTGAGCCAGGAAAGATGAGTAGGAACTGGTCGGGGAAGGAGTGGGGGAGGTGTTTCTGACACAGCAAGCAGTCTGCTCAGAAGCCCAGAGACCAGTCCCCACACCCTCTGGGCAACCTGGAGTGTGGCTGGGAGGCCCCTGGTGGCCTTACCTCTGAGGTACCCTGTGAGCCAGTGGAGGGCTGAAGCAGGTTCAGAAAACCTCCTACCGCTGTGTGAGGGTGCCCAAGTCCCTGAGAGGAGCCTTCAGATAGGCAGTGGGCATGTGCCAGGCTGTGCCTGAGGTGGCTGGCTCACAGAGCTTCCAGTGGGACGGAGGGAAGTGGGGCCCAGGGCTCGCCAGTGGGGGCAGGTGGTGAGACCCTCACTTGTTCACCATGACAGCTGTGGCCCTACACACTCTCCTCTGCCATTAGTCTCGTGAAACACCGCAGGCTAGTTAGGAAGCCGGCTCAGGAAGCTGGCTTGACCAGGGTTCTTGCTGCTGTGTCATTCTGGAAGGTTCAGTGCTGCTAGGACAGGCAGTTTAAGCAGATAATCTGGACTAAGTTTAAAACCATCTCGACACCGCAGACATCCCTGCCATGGACTTGTTTGGCTCTTCAGGGTACGCTGGCTTCAGTCAGCTAATGCCAGGTGCCTGTGAACTCGGCCAGCTTTCCTTGTCCACTCATTTTTCCTGAGAAGAGTCAGCTTTTTCCTTCCTCTCCCATGAGCTGAGCCCCTCCTTCCAGCCCTTTTCCTGAAGAAGACCCCCACCTACCTCTGTTGGAAGCCCCCTGCCCCCACAGTTGACAGGTTCCTGGAGTCACCTCCATTCCTGCCCTTGAAGCGTGAGCGGCTGTCCCGGTCCAGTTCCTTCTGCTTCTCCTGGGCCCCCCAGTAGCATAGTAATTGGTTTCTCAGATCTTCAGCTGCGTGCCCCGTCTGTGAATATTTCCCAGTCCCTGACCCTCGCGGGAAGACCCATCTATGATCTTACCCCTGTGGGGATCCTCAGGGGAGAGAGATGATGGAGAGATGACTGATCCTTCCAGTCTCTTCTCTCATTCCTGCCAGTGATGCCTAAAATAGAGAGCAAAATTGCCACCTCTCTGCCCCAGCCCCCTCCCCGACCCCCGCAGCCCAAGGTCGCAGGCCCCCAGGATGGGCCCTGGGCCTGGTAAGCAAGCAGGCCACAGGAGAGGGGCGCTGGAGCAGCTGCCGAGTGCCCTGTTTCCAGCAGCTGCAGAGATTTGTATCTGCAGTTACCGCTCCTGGAGGGTCACAGCCTCCGTTTCATTTTTGTGGTGTTTGAAGAAGAGTTCAAGCCTTTCTCCACGTATACACAGGCCCACAGGCCCAGGTTCGGGCTTCCCACAGCCAGCTAATGGGTTTCTAGGAGAGAAAAGATAGCAATCAAATATATGCCCACAGGCTGGGCGTAGTGGCTCACGCCAGAATCCCAGCACTTTAGTAGGCAGAGGTGGGTGGATCACTTGAGCCCAGGAGTTCAAGACCAACCTGGGCAACATGGCAAGACCCCATCTCTACAAAAAAAAAAAAAAACAAAAACAAAGATGCTCCTGAGCAGGAGAGTGGGGAGCCCAGGAGGCAAGTGCTCTGGGTTGATAGAGGGTCCCAGAGGAGCAGACATCTGACTCACAGTGGTGTGGCCTCTGGGGAAGGTGCCTCCCTAAGATTTCATCATCTGTGTCTCCTCAAGCCTGCCCTCTTCCACGTCCATTCCCCTGGCCATTCTTGACTGGGCTCTTCCCTACCCCCAGGGGAAGGACGTCTGGAAAGGCAGCCCGAAACCCTTTGTACTTTAATTGGAAGAAGGTGGGAGCCTGAGGCAAAAGTGATTCAAACAGCACCCAGAATGGTGGTCTTCAGGGCGGAACTGTGGTCAGCGTTTCCATCCTCAGACCCTGCTCTATGCTGGTGGCTGCAGCGCGCCCGTCATAGCCAGGCTGTTCGCGCACGGTAGCTTTTTTGCTCTAAGTGGAGATGGGGGCTTCGTCTCCATTGATAAGACTTTCCTCATCTGCTGGCGATTCTATTTTAGGAGAAAGCCTCCCCCTGTAGTAGGCACTCCTGCCTCAAAGTGGAGCCAGGCCTTTTTTTTCGTGCTTGTATTATGCTAATCACTCCTTGCAAGCAGGCAGACTTTGTAGGAGGTTTGCCTGGTTTTAGATGAAACATACGCCTTTGAAGCAAAGAGCCACCGTAGCTAAAAATACCTTTTCCTGGCTGTTGATCCTCTCATTTGTAAAATGCATGTTTCCATTGTTAAACCTGCAGCAGCCCCTCTAGAGAGGAAAGCTCCACTATCGTGGCCAGGCTGGAGCACCCATGCCCTGGGGAGGTAGCACCTTCCCCAGCCCTGCCCGTGGGCTCCGTCGCCAAGCCTCTCCAAGAAGGAGTCCAAGAGAAGCACACAGAGGATTCTCAATACTTTATTTTCTGTTTAGAAATATTAAACCACATACAATAAAAACTGAAATAATGCAGAATGGTATAGCAGTAAATGGGAAAGACCCCTGACCACCTGCCACCTCCTCCCTCAGAAGTAGCCTCTGGGTCTCAGCTTGGTGTGTTTCCTTCTGCAGCCCTTTCTGTGCATTTATCAGCATGAGGCTCGGTCTGGTGCTGGTTTGGCAGCAGTGGTCTCTGGACTCGGAGAGCTCTGCAGCTTGCCCAGGTCCACCGCCTTCACTGTCTTTGTGCAGAACACATCTCCCTCCGGATCCTGAGCCCGGCTAGACACTGCCTCTACGCTCCCAGCCTGAGCCCAATGGCTCAGGGTCACTGTCCCTCCCCACGGAGGCTGCCATATCCCAGTATTAAATCTGTCCACCCGCCTTTCTCTGTCGGTGGTTACCTCGTGTCTTTGCTCAGAGGGGCAGTGGCGTGATCCTGGTGGGGAGTGGAGGGAGCAGGCCTCTTGCCCACCAGCGCAAGTTCTGCTATAGGGCGCCTCGCCTGTAACCCAGAGCTAGGACTAAGACATGTCCCCTCGGGTGACTTCCAAGGACGCCTCATGTCTGGGGCCCTCTTATTTCTCACGCGTTTAATCCAGGGAAGATTTCCTGGGCTGGCAGGGAACATGTGGATGAAAAGCCTATTTCATCCGTCTTAAAATTCTCTGAAAATGGCTGATCACAAAAGGAATTTTTTCAGCCTCCCGGGAGGGGGTGGGGGAGGGTACAAATAGGAGAACCCCTCCCCTTCCATTTGGCCGAGAATAACTGAAGGAGCCCCCTCCCAGCCATGCTGTGGCCCACCACTACGGCTGTGGCACCTCCATCCTCCCAGTCCTTTGAGACTCTGATCTTTTTACCGGCCTCTCAGAGGCCGCCGTGAGGCTGCTCTGATATTTGCTCTTTGTTACCACTGGTGAGTATTCATGTTTAACTTCTCGTCCTGTTTCCTGACACTTATCTCAGTGCTCTTTAAGTGGGCACTTATAAAGCCTAGAGAAAGCCATCTCAGTTCATAAAATTTCACAAAACCCCTGGACTAAAGATGTGAAGACAAGAAAGGCACTCATGGCTCTAGCTCCTAATCACAGCCAGAAAGGCAGGAATGGCCCGTGCCCAGGGCAGCAGCTGTGAGCTGTGCTTCCTCTTGGGGTGCTGGGGCTATGCAGGTGGGCCAGGCCACATGGCTGTCAGGAGGCCAGGGAGAGTCCAAGCACAGGTCTTGCCCAAGAGCTGACCTCTTTATCTTTCTGTTTGAACAGAGGAGGCCAGGGCTGTGCACAGCAGGCTCGGGACCGTGAAGGTAGAGACCAGCAGGGAAACAGTGAAATGCCAAGCAGAAACGTAAACCAGGACCCAGACTCTGCACAGGTGGGGGTGGGGCCTCAAGAAGGCAAGTGTCAGGGCCTTCCGCCTAGAGCTCCAAGGCCGAGCCAGGCCCTGCTGCCACCCATCCTCTCAGACTCCTGCCAGAGTCTCCTCCTTCCCTCAGGAGGGCATGGCCATGCCTGAAGCGATCAGGCCTGGTGAGGCAGTTGCAGGCAGCAGGTCTCTGGCCGCCCCGGAAGCTTGTTGAGAGTACAGATCGTGGACCTCCTGGAGGTGAGGCCCGCACGTGGTCCATGCATACAGCCAGGCTCTGGGGTTCCTCAGTTAGGGTATTCCTGGCTTGAGGGACCCTCTTTGTTCTAGAGGGTAAATGCGCAGCCTTCTGGGTGGATGAGGACACTGATGGGACAGGGGCTGGCGGCTCCCCGCTGAGGGACGTGGAGCTGAAGCCATGCGCATGGCGCCCAGGGCAGAGCACTCGAGGTGCCCCCAGAAACCAGAATGGCAGCCCCTGGCCGGAACTCCTTCAGAGCGCAGGAGGTCCTTTGAAGGAAAGTTGCCACGGGAACACGAGAGACTAGTGAATCACTGTAATCACCCAGGGCCCATGACCAGGAGGACAGCCCATCTGGTTAAATAATTTGGGGGAGGGAAATGTTGACACGGGGCTATGGCCATATGAACACTGGGGCTGCTGGACCCAAGTTGGGTCCGTGGCTTCAAGGCCAGAGGGGCCGAGTGTGGGCCCTGCCGAGGCCTCCGTGTCTTGGTCCAGCACCGACGAGGCAGAAGGGGAGGCTCACCATCTGTAAACTGTGGAATACGCAGCAGCTGGAGTGCTCCCTGGCCTGGAACAAAGGGACTAGTTTGGGAATCGTCGCCTGAAGTAAAGGAAAACAAACAGCTTGGTGATCAGAACACGGGCAAGGGGCGTCGCCAGACATTGTTGGGGCCGGAGTAGCTCTGGCCACCTTACTCGGGTCCCAGCACTGCTGTCCCTCACCCGCCTCATTCCTCACAAGTCCCCCTGCGGTTTGCAGGGGAAAATGGCAGAGATGCAGGGATGCCTTTCCATTACCCGTCCCAAGACAGACTCAATCTCCGAGGACCCTGTGTGAGGTCACATGCCACAGGGTGAAGGGGTGTCTCTGCCCTGGGCATACAAGCTGCAGGGAATGGGTGGGAAGGGGAGCCAGCCAGGGAAGGGAGGTCTGTGTCCCTTGCAGATGCCACAGAGCATGGGAACATGTTCATGGGAACATGAGTGCCAGGTCAGAAACCCAAGTTCTGGCCCCTCTGTGGCCCTGGCTGTGTGGCCTGGGACCAGTCCTTGGCTTCAGTTCCTTCCTGTCCCATGCGGGTGGCAGGGGCGTGCAAGGGCAGGCAGGGCCAGGAAGCAGCGTGCCAGGCGGTGGCGGCCTCCTCGTGGGCAGGGCTGGCCTCCACGGGGGCAGCTGAGCACATCCTCAGGAGGAAATCCTGCTTAGAGGGTTCAAGCCCAGAGGGCTTCAAAGGGAGAGAAAGGTTACAGCTGCAGTTCTCCAGCAGAGCCCAGGAGGCCCCAGGGCAGGTAGGGTTCAGGGATGCCATTTCCCTGGCCATTTCCCTGGCAGTGTCAGCCAGGGAATGTATCAGCCAGTTCAGAGCACCAGCCTTGGCCATGTCTCCCTGGGCACCAGGAATCTTTATATTAAAATCTCCCCAGCCTGGACCTCAGGCAGTAGCTGGCCTGACTCCCATACTCAGGAGCTGCTGCTCCCAACTGGTTTCCGGGAACCTGCTGTTGGAGTCAGCCCCGTGGACTTTCTCCGCTGGGTCAGAGTTTGGGTCCAGGCTACAGAACTATGGCTGCAGTTTCAAGGCCCTGCTTCCCTCTCGTACCCTTGGAGACAAACCATTGCCCTAGGAGGGTAGAACTAAGTGTGGATCACAGGCCAACACCATCCCAGCCAGGTGTGGTCAGTGCCATCCACCCACAGAGGTGGCTCCAGCGGGAGAGTGGGGTAAAAGGAGCTGGCTACAGATATGCTGCCCCGGAGCCACAGGAAGCTTCTGGAGAAACTCGCTCCAGTCCACACCAGAAGGCCCCAGTGATCTCTGCAGCTCAGGAGGTCCAAACTGTCTTCCCGGAAAAGTGTGTCTAAGGCTCTGTGCTGTGTAGGCCCTGGAGCTTGTTGGGGGACAAAGGGGTGGGTGGGCAGCAGTGAGTACTTGGTGCTGGGGTTAGGCTGACCAAGGGGGTCTTTGGCAAGGCCTCTCATCTGTGCCGCACATGGCATTCTCTGCTAGAAAGGGCTCTGGGCTGAAATCACAAGTGGCCCATGCTGAGGAGTTGAATGTACACGATGTTCCTAATGTACTGTCATTTGTGGCCAGGATTAGGAAGGAAATGGTGATTCCAGCTTGGAGGAAATCCCTGTGGCAAGAGAGGGCAGGAGCCCAGCAGGGACCCAAGGGCTTGGGCACTTCTCAGCACTTCTTGGAGTTGATTATCATGGAGACAACAGGATTTCCTTTAGTGACCAGTCCCTTTGTTTTCATTTGCACTGAGGATTCAGCATGCAAGAAGGTCCCTGCGGCCGTGCCAAGGCTTCATGGCCGGGGGACAATGGTCTCCAGGCAGGGGCCAGACCGGCCGCACTCTTGCCCCTCCTCCCCGCACCCAGCTGTCTCCTCACCCCGGCCTTGCCCTCCTCACACTGCGTTTTTCTCCAACACCAAGACACTATCTCAGCAGATACCCCATCGGTCCTTCCTGCTATCTCAGCTTCAGAGCCTCCAGCACAGGGTTACACGCCTGTCCCCAGCCCTCGCCATCTGACCTGCATCCAGCCGTATTCTGGGGTGTGTCTATGTGGGATAGAAGGCGCAGCCTCTTTTCTAAGACACAAACGCAGACCTCATTGTGAGTCAAACACCTGCTGAGTTCCCTCACAGGGACTCCTTGCAGAATGCGAAATGCTTCCGCCAGAGCCAGACACCCGCCAAGAACCCTGATAACACAGTTCAGAACCCACCTGACTCTGAAGCCCCTTGGCCTGCAGTTCCATGTGCATGCCCAGCCCCACGGCCAAAGTAACCCAGGCCACCTTGTCCCTTCCTGGAAGTTAATTTTCTGTCCTACAAGCATTCATCTCCCCCATTGCCTGTAGGGGCCCAGCCCTAGGCCTTGTGGTGTAAGCTGAAAAGGAACCAGGGCTCAGGGAGGGCCCAGGGGCCAAGTACCACCTTAGGAAGGAAATTGGTGGGAACTAGCAGCAGGTGAGGCAGGAGACAGGGGAGGGCTGTCCTGGGAAAGAACAGGGGGCTTGAGTACCTGTGAATGGACACAGGGGACGGGGTGGTCAGACTGAAAAGACACATGGAAAATAAGGCCAAGGCAGGTGCGGTGGCTCACGCCTGTCATCCCAGCACTTTGGAAGGCCAAAGCGGCAGATCACCTGAGGTCAGGAGTTCAAGACCAGCCTGGCCAACATGGTGAAACCCAGTCTCTACTAAAAATACAAAAATTAGCCAGGTGTGGTGACGGGCGCCTGTAATCCCAGCTACTCAGGAGGCTGAGGCAGGAGAATCACTTGAACCCAGGAGGCAGAGGTTGCAGCGAGCCAAGATCACACCACTGCACTGGATGACAGAGCGAGACTCCATCTTGAAAAAAAAAAAAAGAAAAAAGGCCAAGCCAGCCCGATGGGCCAAGGTAGAAGATGACTTCCATTCTGAGGAGAAGGCAGAGCCCCTCCCGTGGCAGCAAGGGTCATCTGACTCCACCCTGGGCAGTTCAGAAAGCGGGAGTCAACTTGCTCTCTAGAGCAAGCCCCAAACTTAGGGTGAGGGACCTGCTAATCCTGGGGGGCTGAGGCTTCAGCTGCCTCTGTGAGACTGTTTCGTTTTCTGTGGCAGCTCCCACCCAGATGAGACCTTCTATGGAGGTCTCTAGATGAGCCCAGCACAGGTGTCTGGGACCTCCCAGAGCCCGATGGCACCTCCTCTTGCACAGAGGGACAGATGGCTAAGAGGACTGAAGGCCTCTTCCTGTGCCCCTCCTCCCTCCATCCCCTTTCCACCAGCTCCCTACAAAGCCCAGAAAAACAAGTTCCGCATCCTCCTCCTCCTCCCACCCCACTCCCTGCAAGAAACTTTTAAGTGTACCAGACACATCGACTGCATTAAACAACGATGAATTTTTAAGGCATGAGTTGGCAGGGTTACCATGGCTGCCTTTGCCCTGAGGGGCACACTGCCGAGGATTGATTGAAATAAATAAAACAGATTTACAGTTTTCATACTTGGAAGCAGAGAGTTGGAAGGGAAGAGAGCAGAGGGGGAGGGGCAGGATGCAGTGAGATTCTGGAGCGTTCTGGACTAGAGATGGGAGGCTACTCCCTCCTCTCCCTATCCTAAGGTTATACTGACCCAAAAGCTGCTTTCTCTTTAAATTCCTAAAGGATCCCAGCTGTGGGGCAGGAACAAGGCAGGGAGGAGGCCCTTTTCCGGTGGGAGCGGTCCAGGCCTTCTCTGTAGTTTGTAGCCTTGATATTAGGTTGCACCTCAGATTTATTGGCCGTGAGACTCCAGGTGTCTCCTAGGAAAGTACTGGGGTCCATTGGCCTTGGACCACTGAAGGGGATGGATGTGGGCACCATCCAGCATCCAATGTAGAAAGGAAACAAGGGCTATCCAGGCGTGGTGGTTCACACCTGTAATCCCAGCACTTAGGGAGGCCGAGGCGGGTGGATCACTTGAGGTCAGGAGTTCAAGACCAGCCTGGTCAACATGTCGCTACTAAAAATAGAAAAATGTGCCTAGTATCGTGGCACATGCCTGTAATCCCAGCCACCAAGGCAAGAGAATCGCTTGAACCCGGGAGGCAGAGGTTGCAGTGAGCTAAGATCGCACCATGGCACTCCAGCCTGGGTGACAGAGCAAGATTCCGTCTCAAAAAAGAAAATAAACAAGGGCTCGCCCCTCTGTGCATGGTCAGTGAGCCACAGGCAGCTGGGGATGGAAATGAAGGAAGGAGGCCTGGCCATAGGGAGAAGGGAGGGGCCTCTGAGCCAGGATGCCCTGCCCTCAGCAGGCACCTGAAGCCTGTTGCCCTCCTGCTGGTTTGCCCAGTCCTAAGGCGACTTGCAGAGAGACCGGTGGAGTCCACCCAGCCCACACTGTCCTCAGAATCAGCATCCAGCCCAGCCTCTGAGGGACCTGGAGCCAGGACTACCTGCCCAGTCACCCATGTAAGAACCCCATCCCCATCCACAGCTGCCAACAGCCTGCCAGGGAGCACAGCGATCGCTGACCCCATGCCCCATGACACCCTCTGACCAAAGAGCTGGGCTTGCAGGCAGGGTCCCCACCAGGCCAGTGGGGCTAGAGAATTGGACCTGCTGGGGTGGGAAATGAGCACCACCAGAGGGTCCTGGTGCCAGACTGGAGAAGCAGAGGCATGAAGAACCCGATAGGGTTCTTGGGGTGGTTGGGCAGTAGGAGGAGACCTTCCTGTATCTGTATCCAGTGAGGCCACTTGTGTGAACTAGTCTAACAGGAGGTACCGAGCAAAATCACCCACACTCTTGCCTCTCATGGGGCCACCAACAAGGCTCCACTGGGAAGGATGTCCCATCGATGGCACGCGAGAGTGGACAAGGTGGAGCATAGGGGAAAACTGAGGAGGTGGGGTACACCCACCCCTCCTGGAACTTGCCAGCTGAGGCTTCTTCTGAGTCCTCTGTTCATCATGGGGAGGGCAGCGTTGCGGGGCCAGTGAGGGCTGGAGTAGAGAGAGCAGCTGAGGGCATGCCGGGCGGGAGCAGGCGCCCCCAGCCTCCACGCTCATCTCTCAACCTTGCTGTCTCTTTCTAGGGTTTGAGTCCAGGGTCTGTCCCCGCCAGGCCAGCTGTTTTCCACGCTGCTGGTGGCTTATTGTTTGGGATAGTCAAGAATGTCAGAGGCCCCTGGGAGGGGATGGTTGCTTCAGTCTCCATTTCCCCATGAACTTCTCTTGAGTTCATCTGATGCCCTGTCCACATCCCTGCCCTTGAGCGCCAGGTTGGCCCACCTGCGCAGAGAGGCAGGCTGCGTCCACCAAGGGCCCTGCAGGCCAGTGCTGGCAGAAGGGCATTCCTGGGCCCTCGGCCTCTCCTCCTCCCAGGCTGAACACTCACCCAAAACACCCCCACCACGGGTCAGATGCATCATCTGCTGCTGCCTTGGTCACCCTCTTAAGAAGCCAGGCCCAAGGAAGGAGGGGTGGGGAGGGCAGAGCCTGCACCCAGTGAGTGCATGGGTTCCCATCCCCAGCAGATGGCTCAGCGTCCTAACAGTCACTGGGCAGGTGGGGGCGGGGGGCCAGTAGCATGCCCCTGCTTGGTGACCAGAGCCAGAGGAGGGTCCCCAAAGGGAGCCGGCACAAGTATCCCGAGCAAACAGCAGAGGGACCTGGGAAGGATCAGCCAACAGTGAGGATGGGGAAGTGTTTCTGGCCTTGGTCACTTCGCTGGTCCTGTTTTCAGAGGGTGCAGGGACATGAGATCATGGGAAGTTTCATGTCTTGCCTGAAGCCACATGGCAGAGTCCAGCTTCCCTAGGGCGGAGCACGGCAGGGAGCCAGAATGTCAGCTCCCCACAAGGAGACCCAAGCTCCGTCCTTTGCCCTCCTGGGCCTCACCTGCAGCACGGGGCTCTGCTCCTACAGACACCTGGCGAAGGAGCCATTCCCCAGCTCCTCCCGAGCGGGCTCCGGCTGTCCCTAGCCTCTAACGTGCCAGGCTCTGCCCTCCCCAGGCTCCCACGATGAGTCTGTCCTAAAAGGAACTGCTCCCTCTCTCCCACTGTGAGCTGGCCCTCCTCATGCCCTGCTCCAGGCCTGCAGGAACTAACCAGGTGGGGAGAGGCCACTGGCCACAGCCAGCTGCACCCTCAGACAGCAGTGTTTGCACAGCCCCTCTTCTGCTGCTCTGCACACAGCCCCAGGCAGGAGGGGTGTTGGGGGGTAAAGCCCCCAGGAAGTCTTGTCCTCCAAACCAAGGCCTGGCTTTGCCCAAATCAGTGACCTGTCTTATCCCTGGAGGAGATGCAGTGTGTGGCCCCTGCCCCCAACCCAGGAAAGGACAAAGAAGACAGTGCCAGGCTCCAGGCTCCCATCCATGCCTTTCTCCCACCGCCCCTTCTGTTACCATGAGGCAGGGCTCCTGCCAGCCTGGACCACATGACCTTAGGGCGTGACTGGCCAGTCTAGAGCCACCCAGACACTGCGGCACCTACAAAGCCAGTTGACACCTTACTCCTCCTGCCCACCCTGGCCCAGGTTTCACCTGAAGCAGGGGCTGTGTGTGGATGCCAGGTGGGGGTTTGGGAGAGCATCTCCCACAGAGGCCTGCGGCTGTCCATGGCTGGCACCTGATGTGTGCTGATGCTTGCCAGTGTTAGTGATGGGAGGGACAGTGACACGAAGGCTCACACCAGCCCCTGGCAGGTGTGGTGCAGTCACCTCCAGGCAGATGCTGCTCCAGAGCAGTGGAGAAGGCTGCAGGGGGATGCAGAGCCACGTCTCTCCTACCCTGGTCTCAGCATGAGCCTTAGCCTTGGCCTTGGAGGCTGCCCCAAAGGGAATGTTCATGGGCAAGGCTGTGTAGTCTCAGTTCTTAAGGCTAAGTGACCGCCCCCTCTGCTGGGCTCCGGGAAGTTCAGAGCAGGCCGAGGGCAGGTTGCTCTTTTGAGAGCGCCTGGGTATGTGGCAGAGAAACCAAAGAGAAGCTGGTCCCGCCCCCAGCACAAAACCAGACCTGGAAGGGGGAGCAGCTGTCCAGGCGGCAGCCAGCAGCCCAAGACGGGGAGGCAGAGCTGCGTCCACAGGGCCTCTGGGCTGTGTGTGAAGGACACAACCAGTGACACAGCCCCTGCTGGGCCAAAAGCTCCATTGCCACTGAGGGAGGAGCCTTCCCTAAATGGCGTGTGTCTTTGCCTTCTGGCCACATCCCCCCTGCCTGTGCCTGAGTCATCGGGATATACCAGAGGCCCCCTTACTGACTTGACACACTCCCCTGTGGACCCCTGCCCTCCTCCAGCCCCATGGTGGGTCTCCAGGGTGGTACAAGAGGTCCCCTATGCCCTCCCAGACCCTGTTCAGGTTCCCTCCCACCCCAGCTCTCTGCCTTGTTTCCAAGCACATTCCAGGCCATTGTCTCATGACGAATAGCGTTTTCATGCGGGTGTTGGAAAATATGGGCACATGTTTAATGCTTGCAAGCTGTGCTCCACTGTTGACACTGCGCTTGGGAGCCAGGCAGGCAACTCAAGCTGGGCTGGGGCTCAGCAAAGAAGTGATGATGCAGCAGCCCTGCAAGGCAGCCATCTGCCAGGCCTCCGCCGGGCAGGGACAGCCCCTGGTGCCCACTCACAGCAGGCACTGGGGAAGCAGAGTGGTGAGGAAGAACTCAGGTTCTGGAAGTCGATTCTTCTAGGTCTGAATACTCTGTTCCTCCTCCTCCGGTCAGCTGTGGGTCCTCTCTGAACCTCAGATTCCTCTTCTCTGCAGTGGGGGTGATAACCCTGCCCAGGTTATGTGAGGACTCAGCATGACACTGCGAGTGGAGCTAACCCAGAGCCCAGTGCCAGGTGCGTGGGAACTCCAAGGCCACCTGTCTGTACAGATCCCGGTGTGGACTAGGGACTGTAGTGGAAAATGGGCCCTCTTTCCTCCCTCCCCAGCTTCCTGACTCAAGGGCCCACTTCTCACACCCTCTGCCCTGAGCCTTGCCTGTAGTAAGGGCCCCGTGAGCTGGCCAACACTTCCGCTATTATTACTGTCTTCTTGAGGCTTTGCAACGCAGTGATCTGGGTTTTCCTTCTCCCCAAACCTAGGGTGACCTGGGGTCAGGCAGGATGCGGCCCCCACCTCCTTCCCAGCAGTAGGATGGGAGTCATCCTCAGTGGAGGCCCCTCCGCTGCCAGCCCCAGAGCAGCCTCTCCAGGCTCTTCCTCCTGGAGCAAGGGTGGTTGAGCGAGCGGCTGGAGCATGACATGGCCTCAGCACTGCTCTCTGTGGTGCCTGCTCCCGGCCTCTCCTCTCCCTTTCCCTCTTGTGGTGCTTTAATTAGCGATGCTCAGAGGGAGACACCTCACTCAGAGGGAGACACCTCGTGAGGAGGCTTGTGCTCCAGAGTCTCCTGGGATGAGCTGGCTTCCCAGGCCTCTTCGGCCAGCAAGAGAGTGCAAGATCTGGGCAGGGCTTGGCCTGATGGGTGACAAGGGCAAAAATGTAACATCAGACTGCCGTTTTCCACACACTGGTGTTTGCACAGCACAAAAAGGCCTGCCTGGGCATGAACAGAGAGAATGCGCTGGCCTGGCGGAGGGGGTGGAGGGTCAGTGCACCTACCGTTCTGTTCGGGAGACCCTTGCTTCTTGGGGATGAGTGCCCTGAAAGAACTAGAACTTTCTCTTAGAAGGGGCTGGTAGGAGGGGCCTGCATTTCAGACTGAGGCTTCATCAGGACCTGAGGTTGGAGCCCAGGCCTCGATGTCTGGGAGGAGCCTGCCACGTGCCATTCCTGGCCAAGCCATCTGGCCAGGGCAGAGCAGGCAGAGCCTCTAGGGCCACGTGGGCTTGGCGAGGTCAGGAACCAAAAAACCCAAGAGGCTAGAATGCCGTGAGTGGAGGAGGGACAGCAAGAGGGAGGCTGGAGAGGAACCAGCGAGAGGTGTGAGACCCTATAGGCCGAGGTGAGGGGCTGGGTTTGTTTCAGATCCAGGCGGAAGCCGCTAGCAAATCCCAGCAGGGAGGGGCATGTTCTGATGGGCCTGTTTTAGGATTGTCCAGTTGGTGTGTGGAGGGTGGACTGTGGGGGCAGGAGAAGCAGCAGGAGGCAGATCCTGAGACATGGGGAGATGGACCAGGCAGGAGATGCTGACAGCCCCCTAGGCATGGGGGCGGGTGTGTGGGGCAGGGTGGCCGTGTAGGTTGTGCTCCCAGGGTAAGGCCCCCATACGTGCCAGTGGACCCAGCAGAGGGACTGGGGGTCAGGATGACTCGTGGTTTGGGCCTGAGCAGCTGGGTGGACAGTGCCACCGTTTACTGAGATGAGGAGGGGGTTGGCAAGTCTATGGGGACACCAAGGGCTGGTTGTGGCCCAGCAAGGTTTGAAATGCCTGCTAGGTGGCCAGGCAGGGCCTTCCACCAGGCAAGCAGCTGTTCCATCTAGAGCCCAGCAGGGGCTCAGGGCCGGAGGGCATGTGTGGGAGTCACTGATTGGGACCACAGACTACCAAGAGGCACAGACTAGAGAGAGAAGAGCGGAAGGGCTACCCCAGCCCTGGGGGAGAGGTGGGAGGAAAACCAGGAGAGGGTGGTATCACTGGTGGCAAGAGAAGAGTTTCCAGAAAACTCCACTATTCCTGACCTTCTGTAACACAGTCAGCATTCCCCAGCTTCTCTGGGACACCAGGAGGTCTGGGTGCCCGCTTCTCCTCACCACCAGCCCCTCTTCCGTCCCTCCCTCCGCACCCTCCTCAGCCTGCCCTCACATGGGCACCACCCTGCCCTCTGCTGCCACAGGTCCCGCCTGCCGGCCTGGATCCCTGGAGAGCGCTGCCTGGCAGCGGCTCAGCTGTTGGCCTCTGTCATGGAGACGGCACCAGCTGCCGGCGACGGGCACTTGTGACCATTTGTCAGAACGCCCCCCTTCCTCCTGTGCCTGCCCTTCTGGAACATTTCTGTCCCACAGCCATGGAGACAGGGCTCATGGAGGGGTTGGGGGACCGGGAGGGGCCAGGAAGCACTGTCTGGGCTCTGCAGCAGGGCCACCACCTCCTGGCCTTTGGCTTGAGGCTGCCTGGCTGGGCTTTCCCTCTGCAGCCAGCAGCTCCCCAGAGGACTAGCCTTACATGGCTAGTTCCACACACTAGCCTTACATGGCTTGTTCCTCGTCCTCAGGCTGCCCTCTGAGAACTTCCCCCTATTTCACAGATAGGTATTGCCCCTAATTAAGGTGGAAAAATTGTGCGGAGACATTGAGATCACACCGCTGGTAGTTGGGGACACCAGGCGGAGGCCTTCACCTCCCACCTAACCCCAGGGGAGCCCCCGGCATGGCAGGGTCCTGGTGGCATGCGCGGGGAGATGAAGCGGCCCTCACTCGTGCGGCCGCCACCCCCTCCCTGTGCCGCTTGTTTCTGTTTCTCGTGGTTTCTTGCCCAGGCCTGCAGGCTCCAGCCGGGGCAGGCTGGAACGGCCTGCCTACTGTTTGCGCTTTGTGGTCTGGCCTCTTTGTTACCAAATGCTCTGGGGTTGCTTTGGGGCTGGGGGTGGGGAGGAATCTTCTCCAGCCTGGCCCCAGAGCCATGGCTGGCGTTCAGGGGCATTTGGGAAGCTGGGCCCAGGTCATGCGGAGCGGAGGCTGAGTCCAGCGACCTAGGAGGAGATGGAGGTGTTTCAGGCCTCCCACCAAGAAATGTGGCTCACGTCACTGAGCACCCAAGACCTCGGGGCCTCCGACGCCGTGTTGGAACTGTGGTGATGCTTCCCTGGAGACGGGATGCGGCGTCAGGCACTGGAGCTTAGCCCCAGACGGAAGGTGGTGTGGGCAGGGGTGCCACGCTGCCGCCAGCCCAGCACTCAGGAAGCGCAGTGCTGCACACCACCCTCTCACCAGCCACCCCGCTCATGCCCCATCCTGCCTGCATCATGCTGTTTTGGGGAAGCTCCCGAATCCCTGGGACTCCAGCTGGGAAGCATTGCCCAGGTGCCCTTCCCCTGCAGGCCAGGCCTCCAAGGGCACGTGGAAAAGCAGCGCGGATTCCTCCAAGCCTGTCCTCACCACCCACTTCTCACTGCTCGTGTCATCCGGCCCAGGGACCCTGAGGAATCTGCTTTTCTTCATCCTCTGGGTTCCCTTTTTGCCTTTTGTATAACAGGGAGGCTCCTCTTCACAAAGTCCGATCCTTAGCCCTGAACGACTCTTAACTAGACAAGAGATGGGAAAGGGGTCATGGCCCAGGGACCAGCGAGCCCTAAGTGACTCTGGCCGTAAGTGACTCTGCGACCTTAGTCAAGTCACTTCACCAGAGTTTCACCATCCGTACAGTGAAGAAAAAACTCAGGGTCATAACGCTGATCCCACACGGATCTGTGCTCCAGGCCGCAGGGTACAGCCCGAACAGTGCAAATCCCTGACCTCGGGGGCTTCCAGGAGGAGGAGTGGGGCAGTAAACAGGTGACCGATGTGTGGAGAATTGGCTGGATGAAGATGAGTTCTAGCAAGAGAAGAAAGCCCAGCAGGGGACAGGCGTGTCTTGGCCTGGGGTGGGGGCCATTGCTCAGACATGTGGGAGTTCAGGAAGGTGACGGGATCTCAGGAACTATTTTGGGTAGCTGGAGGCCCAGCTGTTTCTCTTGTGCCGGGAGATTAATATAGCGTGGGGCGCCCTGGCGTGGCTAGGCCCAGGTAGGCAGTGCTGGGAGGCCTAGAGGCAGGTGCGGCATTCCCCCCACCCTTCCCCGCCCTCCCACAACCACAGGCCTCAGAGTCATGGCTCCACACTGGCCTCAGGAAAGAGCAGTTTCCCCAGGACGCTGCAAAACCAAGAGGAGGCCTCCCAGGCTGAGACACAGAGCCTTCCAGGTCGGCCTGCGCCCTGACCCCAGTCTGCCTGCTCTCCAGGCAGCTGTGCCTCCTGCTGAATGCGGAGAACATCTTCCACTCAATGGCAGACATCCTGCTGCGGGAGGAGGACCTCAAGTTCGCCTCGACCATGGTCCACGCCCTCAACACCATCCTGCTGACCTCCACAGAGCTCTTCCAGCTAAGGAACCAGCTGAAGGACCTGAAGACCCTGGTAGGCTGCGTCCGGGACTCCATCCTCAGGCGTCTCCTGCATGCCAGGGGGCACACCCTGTGTGAGCCCGCCCCTCGGCTGGCCCCAGGAGGCTCTCAGGGAGAAGACGGGGTTGAAATCGAGACTTCCCCTGGTCCACTGGGAAATAGGGATCCCGGGTGAGTGGCTGCGCAGCACTAACCATGGGTGCGTCACGTCACCCACACTGAGGTCTCTGCCCGCAGGAGGGTCCACGTGTCCACCCTGACCCCCCAGCAGCCCTGCCTTTTCCATTGGTTGACACCCCAGTCCCACTCCAGGCACTGCCCCCTTGAAAACAGAGGCTCTGCTGGCCGTGGGCCCACCCTGCATGGTGGTGCCACCCTCTTAGGGCCAGGCCTCTGGGTTATAACCTTGCTGGCGAATCAGGGGTTAACAGCTCTTCTCGCCCTCCTTGGCCTGGCCCCTCTCTCCCACAGCTGGGCACATCTGGCTCCTAAGGCACCTGTCATAAGCCAAGGTGTCAAGTTTGTTGCCCATCCGTCCCAGGCTCTGGATGGGGATGCACCAACGACTGGTCAGAGAGAGCAGAAAGGACACTCACTCACTCTCACTCCCCTATGAACAAGGAGAGACGCGGGTCCCAGGCCTCTCGTGTCCCGGCTGGGGTGGTGGCTGCAGAGGCCGTGCGGGGACAGGGGTCATCCTGGAGGCAGGGACTCCAGGGGTTTCATTTCCCAGGTCCCCTGCCGGCTCAGACCCTGCTTACACCCTCCCCAGGAGCCTCGGGGATATCCAGGCCCATGTCTGGGGGCATCTGGGGCCAAGTGGCTCTGCACGATCCAGGCCACAGCCCTGCCTCCCTCCTGTGGTTCCTTCCAGACATTCGCAGAGGCCTTAAGAATTTTCCTCGGGGGCAAGGGCTCCCCCAAGTGTGGGCTGGGTTCCTGGGTGGTTTCCAAGTGTTCGAAGTGGACTGCAGAGGTGGGGAGGAGATGGCATTTAAGTGTGCTTCCTCCCTTCCCTGCCCACTCCCCCATCATCATCCCAGCCCCATGGGGCTCCGGGACCACAGAGTTCTTTGGGGTGGGGAGGGGGGACAATTACTGTGATTTTGCCAAGGGCAGACATGCCAGCACAAAGGACAGCCACTCCCAGCCAGGCCCTCGCAGCCACCACACAGCTCTGGGACTGGGAGGTAATGACAGGGTCTGCGAAGGAGCTGTCAGCATTTCCTTTGTGACGGCTCGTTCCCAGCCGGGGTGCTAAGCTGGCTCTGGCTGCCCCCGACTGAAGGCCCCTGGGACTTAGACCTGTGGCCCTTCCCTCAGGTCCCCACGTGGACCGGGTAGGGGCAAGGAGCAGGCGTGTCCTCACGGCTCATGCCTGTTCCCCCACAGGAGAGCCAGAACCTGTTCTGCTGCCTGTACCGCTCCTGGTGCCACAACCCAGTCACCACGGTGTCCCTCTGCTTCCTCACCCAGAACTACCGGCACGCCTATGACCTCATCCAGAAGTTGTATCCTTCCTCTCACTGTGGTTGGGGTTGAGCCTCTGAGGGGCAGGAAGGGGCCGGCTGCCCCCTTTCCACCCAACAGGCGGGCCCAAGTGCCATGCTCCTGTCCCCACCCCTCCACTCAGCCTCAGGGCTTGTGACATCAGGGCTGCCAGGACACTGGGAGGGGAGGGACGTATTTGGGAGAGCGAGATTGGCAGCAAAGAGGGGCTCTTGGAGGGGGAGCTGGCCCGGGAGAAACCCTGTGGGTTGGGATTGGGACTGAGTAGGCCCAGCCCGGCAGGTGCCAGCGGGTGATGCTGGACCATCTTGCTGGGGTGGGAGAGAACCCCAGCTCCTGCCCCTGGGAGAAGGTGGCTGCCCTCTGCTCATTGTAGTTCCTCCTGGGCCTGGTGTGGGGGTGGGGGAGAAGGCCTGGAGCTGGGAATATGGGTGGATGGCTGGGTGAGCCTGCAGGCTTCAGCCCAGGCGTGGGCCTTCGGGGGCCACAGAGCTAGAGCCCGACAGGCTTGAGGATGACACACTGGGGAGAAGCAGGCTGGGCAGAGGCCTCAGAAGCAGGAGGCACCCATTCTCACCTCAGCACTGCGCTCATCAAAAGGCATCCAGAGTTAGATGTTTTGTTTTTTGAGGTGGAGTCTTGCTTTGTCACCCAAGCTGGAGTGCAGTGGGGCGATCTTGGCCCATTGCAACCTCCGCCTCCTGGGTTTAAGTGATTCTCCTGCCTCAGCCTCCCAGGTAGCTGGGATTACAGGCGTTCACCACCATGCCCGGCTAATTTTTGTATTTTTAGTAGAGACAGGGTCTCACCATGTTGGCCAGGCTAGTCTCAAACTCCTGACCTCAAGCGATCTGCCCATCTCGGCCTCCCAAAGTGCTGGGATTACAGGTGTGAGCCACCGCGCCTGGCCAGATTTTTTTTAAAACACCAGTAAGCAAACTAGCCCCATCCATGGGTGCCTGACATGTAACCCAGGATTGGAGTGCTATTTAGAAGGCAACATGACCAGCCAGGAGTTGGGAGTAAGGAAGAAGGGACCAGGAGGTGCCTCAGTGGAGGGCTAGGTGTGGCCCTGCCTGGCTCCCCACAGTGTGCCTGCTTCCCTTCTACAACCTGGATTTGCTCCTCTCAGCCACTTCTGTCACCCAGAGACTGGCAGGCCACTGCCCAGTGCCGCAAGCTTGCTGCAGCCCTGCTGGCAGGAAAGGAGAGAACCCTTCCTGCCCAGCCCTCCCCCAACGGGCTGCAGCGCTGTGATAAGAGCCTCTCCCAGCCCGGGAGGGTGCAGAGGAGACAGCTGCTAGAGTGGAACCTGGAACTCCTGAACAGGGGAGTTCCATTTAGGACAGAAAGGCGAGGAACAGGGAAGAGCCTGGTGTCCTTTGTGCGCCAAATCCTGCTTCACCACAACCAGGCTCTGTGCACAGGAAGCCAGGTGCAGGGGGGGAGGGCGTGTGGTGCTGTGAGCTGCGGCTGTGCTGGCCCAGCAGACAGACTTTCCTTGACTGCACACCCAGTGGGGACCTGGAGGTCACCGTGGACTTCCTCGCAGAGGTGGACAAGCTGGTGCAGCTGATTGAGTGCCCCATCTTCACATGTAAGAACCACCTCCCACCACACCTCGCGCCATGAGTCCAAGGCTGCCCTGGAGTGGGGTGGGTGAAGTCAAGCTCCAGTTGGTCTCTTTTGGCTGGGGAGGGAGGAAGAGCAGTCACCCCAGGGAAGCTTCTGGAATGTTGAGAATGTGAGACTTATAATCCCAGCACTTTGGAGGCTGAGGCTGGAGCATCTCTTAACGGCAGGAGTTCGAGACCAGCCTGGGCACCATAGTGAGATCTCATCTGCACAAAATTTTTTAAAAATTAGCCAGGCATGAGAGTGCATGCCTATAGTCACCACTACTCAGAAGGCTGAGGTAGGAGGATCACTTGAGCCCAGGAGGTTGAGACTACAGTGATCTGTGACTGTACCACTGCACTCCAGCCTGGGTGACAGAGCAAGACCCTGCCTCAGAAAAAAAAAAAAAAAAAAGACTGGGATGATAGGCCTGCAAGGCCAGCCAGAGCAGGGCTGGGGCACGTGGCATCAGAACCTGGATCCTGCCTGTATCCCTCACAGTGAGTCTCCTGGACATGAGCCAGCGCTGACAGCAGAACCCCCTTGAAGGCTGATACCAGGCCCCTGGGCTGTCCCCAGCCACCCCTCCGGGTCTGCTGCCTCTGCTCTGGCTCTCTGAAGTTGTGGGTCCCGAGTCCCTCTGCAGGTGCTCCTGTTGGCCCAAGAGCCATGCCTGTACCTCTCTGAAAGAAGAGTTGGCATTTGCTGGGAGCCAGTGGGCAGGAGCTGCCTGCTTAGTAACACCCAGGCTGAATGTGCAAAAGTGGCAGCTGGCTGGGGCGAGCACAGCTCTCAGCACCTCAACATACACACTTTGAATGACGCTTATGTGCTTATAATGTGCAGAGAAGCCAGGAGGCCACTCTGCTGGTGGCCACCTTCCCTGCCAAGCTGGCCACCCGGCCTCTCCCACTCTCTGGCAGCGTCTCTGACCCGCCCGGCCTAAGCCCATCAGCCTGAGCCCTGGAGCCTGAATTGAATGCAGGGGCTGAAGAACACCCGTTCCCATCCCCTCCTGAGCCCCCTTCAAAGGGCAGCCTCATCAAGCAGCAGGGTGCCGTAGGAACTGATGCCCTGGAGACAGAAGAGCAGGGGGGAGACCCTGCTCTCCGCAGAGTGCGCTAAAGCCTGTCCCAGGTGTGCCCAGCGTGACACTTCCCCGAGGGCCTCCCAGGGACACAGGCACCCACACGGCCGCCTGAGGTCAGATCCTAAAAAGACCCTGCTCCTGCTGCTGGTCTGTCCTGACTCATCTCTCCAGTTGTACATTCTTGGCATTCCAGAAGCATCCCTAGGATGACTGCCCTCCCTCCCTGACCCTGGAGGAACTCCAAGCACCTTCTCCTCAAGCCCAGGGCTTTGCTGGGGCAGGGTAACAGGAGAGACACACCCTGGTCTCGCCCAACACCGTCCCAGCCCTGAGTCGCCTGGATCCTAGAGGTGGCTGGTGTGGCCACCGGCAGTGCCTGCTTCCCAAAGGCCCAAAGGGAAGAAAGGACTGGAAACAGGCTCGCGCTTCTGCTGGGCAGCCAGGCCTAGGACAGTGGTGGTGGGGGTCTCTTCTGGAGGGCGCCAGCAGGCCTCCATTCCTCTGCTCCCTGCGCACCAACACCCTGGCCCTAAGGCCTGGTGCTCAGGTTCCCTTTGTCAGCGGGACCCCCTGTGTGGCCGCTCCAGGGGTGACATAGTCCCTCTCCCAAAGCACATGGCATATCCTCCACAAACAATGCCTGGACTGGGCCTAGGGACACAAGGAAGTAGAAGCCAGTGATTCTCCTGGAGAGGCTCGCAGAAGAAAAGTGAGCCCGTTTCCAATCCCACCTCCCCTGTGCGCCTTGGGGAAGCTGGGACTGCCTTGTGGTACAGCCAGCCACCAGCGGGGTCCGTGCTGCAGCTTGGGCTGGAATGAGTGCTGGGCAGCCCCCCGGGTGCATCTCTTTCCCCCGCCAGGGTGGTGGCAGGGCTGGCATGTGAGCCGGAGCCCCAGAAGCACCTCCCAGACGCTCCGGGGCTTTGGTGTGTGTCTCGCTACACACAAAGGCGTTTTTCCATCCTGCCCTCTCTTAAAGCTGTCCTAATCTACCGTCTTTCTCTCCAGCACACCCTATTTATAGCTCTCCCGTGCTGGCACGTGTGGAGCCAACTGGAGAATATGTTACACTACAGGCCCCGAGCCCTCGTATCACCAGGGAGGCAGCTGAGCGGGGGGCGGGAAACAGACCAGGCCCCACAGCGTGTCTCGGGGTTGTGGGGCTGAGGTGACTGTTGGAAAGATCAGACAGGCAGGTGGGCAGGTGGAAAGGAAGATGAGATCATGGAAACGGCTAGGACACTCCTGGGGGAGGTGGGGGCAGCGCGACTGGCTGTGAAGGAGCCCCTGACTCGCTGGAAGCCACAGCCACCTGGCTGGGTCCACACAGCTGGGTCCTTGGGCTGTGGGTGCCATGGCACCAAGTCCCAGGTGGTCCTGGCCAGTCGGAGGCAGGCAGTGTGGGCTGGGCGTGTCCCAGAGCAGTGCCAGGTCCCTGACCCCTGCCCTCTGCCTACCCCAGATCTGCGCCTGCAGCTGCTGGACGTGAAGAACAACCCCTACCTGATCAAGGCCCTCTACGGCCTGCTCATGCTCCTGCCGCAGAGCAGCGCCTTCCAGCTGCTCTCGCACCGGCTCCAGTGCGTGCCCAACCCTGAGCTGCTGCAGACCGAGTGAGTGCCGGCTGGGGACTGCTGCCCCCGCCCCCTGAGCAGGGACAGGCCCAGAGGAGCCTGGTGAGGAAGGGCCTTGCCAGGGGCTGCTGAGGCCTCCCTCACTTCAGCATCCCACCCCTTTTGTCACTGTGACCACCATCCCCCCCGCAGCCACTTGCCCCTTGGCCTCTTGTGTCCACATCAGAGCACCGAGCAAGGGATTCTGGGAGCCCTCACACGGTGGCCGGGAGTAGCAACACTTCCAGGCAATCAGGGTCCAGCTCAGTGAGGCTATGCAAAATCTAAAAACTCTGAGGGCATCTGGAGTTACCCAGACAGAGGACCCTGGAGAGAAACACCGGGCAGGGGGAGGAGTTCCTGCCCCAGCTTAGAGATGGGGGCCCCAGTGGCTGTCTGTGCTGGGCACCTCCCAGGCCTCACATAGCCCCTCCCCACCCTGTCTGTGGCAGAGGCTCAACCCTGGGTCACTGGGAGACCCCATCATTGCTAGGACCTTCTCAGCCACTTCCGGGGTGGGGTGGGAGGCAGGGGTACACTCAAGGCTCCCCTGCTCAGGTCCTGCCCATGGAAGGAACAGGTCCTAGGCACCCCTCCACCAAGAGGCCCAGCTTGGCAGCCTCTGGTCAGAGGAGTGCCGGCTCCCACCCTGAACCCACGGCTGGCCCCTACCCCAGAGCCTGTAGGGCTGCATCTATATTTGGTAACCCTTGGAGGCTTTGCCTCATCCACAGGCATTTGGCATCCGAGATGGAAAATTTCACTTGTCAGGTCGCCATGGAAACCAGCAGAGCCACTGAGAAGATTTACGCTGAATGGAGCGCGCCCAGCTTGCATCAGATGCCCTGTGTGTCTAGAATTCCCTCCCAGGCTGTTAGAGCCACTCAGCAGGCCTGGCGCCTTGCTCCAGCAAAGGGCCTCGGGTGCTCGCCTTTGCGATGGACACAGGCAGCCTTGAGACAGGCCTGCCCGGAGGCCCTGTGCCCTCCACACCGCTGGCATCGGCTCCCACTGCCCCTCCCACCCAGACTGGCCCTCGGATGGCTGAGTGTGGGGCACCTGATAGGCTCTCTGCCCCAGGCCAGCTGGAGAGGCTGAACCCCTAGAAAGTGTGGCCCCAACCAAGACCGGCTCGTGCCTTCCCTGCCCCATTTCCCCAGAAGGCAGTGCCCTGCAGTGGCAGGACTAGGCCTTGAGCCGGTTGCCACCCCAGCTGCTCAGGGTGCTGCCAGGTGGTCCCCAGAAGACAGCACCTGATGCAGTGTCCCCAGGGGAGCAGGGTCAGCCATGGAGCGGGGGCGCATGTGTGGGTTCCTGGGGCCGGAGTGCTGTCAGCTCCCGAGAGACTCCGAGAGAGGCCTAGAAGCCACACCGGGCCTTGCTGGCCCAGCCTTTGCCTTGGCCCTTCAACGCCCCATAGTGTTAGGGTCAACCTGGCAGGCACCCAGGAGGGGAAGGTGCAGCCGGAAGCAGGGAGGAGGCAGGAAGGGCTGCTTCCCTGTGACCTCCAGTCTCCCTGTGGGAACCAGCCTGCCTTCCTGGGAGTCCTCCTGGCCAGGGAGCCAGCCCAGCCTCTCCCGGGTCTCCGAGTGCTGATCTCCTCGTCTTGGGAGGGGAGCAGAGGCTCAGAGCAGTCAGACTCCTCAAACCAGGGTAGAACAAGTTTGCAGAGGGAAGCTGGGAAAATGAGGCTTTCCTCAGAATCTCCCACGGTCAGTCAGGGAAGTCTTGAGCCAAGGGGTTGAGGCCTCTGGGTAGAAGATTCTGAGGGTCAGTGGATGCTTTGCAGGCCTAGAGTAGGATCTGGTGTGAGCTCTGCCATGGATTTGTTGTGTGACCTCCAGCAAGCCCAGTGCCCTCTCTGGGTTCTTGGTTACTTGGTCAGTAAATGCACATTTGGACTAAATGGGTGTGTGAGACACCCCCTAGCCTTCAATGCCCTGGACCCCCAGCCTTACTTTGCAACGACCTAGGAAGAGATACCATAGATAGGGGCACAGAAGCAGTGGGCATGCCAGGGGACTTCAGAACAGCTGGGGGAGGGGTCAGATTGCAGGGTGGGGCCCAGAGGACGGCTCACACCCTGGGAAGGGAGCTGAGGACAGTCCCAGCCCTGGGAGGGGCAGACAGCTGGCAGACAGGGTCGAGTTGCGGGGCAGGCCTTGGAGCTGGGAACAGCTGGGAGAGTTTTGTACACTCCTCGCCCATCCCTGGTTCTGTGTGCTCCAAGTGCCATCAAGGCCCTGGGGACCTCAGCTCCCCCACCCCCTGGCTTCTGGGCCACTCCCCAGTGACTGTCTCCTCAGTAAGGCAGGAGGGAACCTCTAAGAAAAAGCTGGCAACAGGTGCATGGGTGGGATGGCAAGAGTGAGAGCCGGCCCTGAGTCCTGGACTTGCCACACTGTGCTGTGGGCTGGCTGGCCTCAGCCTCGGTGCCCGAGGGTGGTTATGGACCTACAGAAGATGTGCAGGGCCTGAGAGCAGCCATCTGCATTAGGTGGGGCAGGGAGAGCGGGCCTGGCCTCTGTGCTCAGCAGCCCAGGCAGTGTCACCCACCCCCGGTGACACAGCCCGCCCTGCTCCCAAGATCTCAGGCCAGGAAGGGTCTGCCCATCACAGGGAGCAGGACTTCTTGCCACCCTAAGGGCCCAGGGAGCAGATGTGGCCCACTCTTCCCACCCCGACCAACCCTGCCACACCGACGCCATCTTCCCGGGTTTGCCATCCAGTGCTGAGAGCATCTCTCTAAAGGCCCCTAAGCTCCCCTAACCTAAGGCCTTGGCTTGCCAGGAGTGTCATGGGGAGCAACGCACAGACCTGTGGGTGCCCAGCATCAGAAGACACACTTTAGGGTCACACCTGTGGCCTTGGCCTAAGTGGGTTAGAGGAGCGTCTGGCCACACCCTGGACTTAGGGCTGCAAGCTCCGGGGTGGCCCTTGGCCTCCTTAGAAGTCCAAGCTGCTCTCTTGGAGCAGTGGCACCTGGTTCCCAAGGTTACTGTGCCTGGGAGGTCCCTTCCCAGTAGCAACCACAGCCTAGAACACTGCCCACAGCCTGGCCCTCTAGAATGGCCCCGCCCAGCTGCTTTTGATCTTTGTTGAACTAAAGTCAGCTGAGCCCCGCTAGGGAGCCAGGAGCGCCAGGCCCAGAAAAGCAGCAGCCGCAGCCGTAGACATGTCCAAGATGTTTTCTGGTGGTGCATCTTCAGCAGGGAGGCGGGAAGGGAACAGGTGTGGGCAGGCAGAGCTGAGCAGGGGTGCAGGAGGCCGCCTCCGGGCCCCAGATGGCATCTCAACTGTGGGAAGAGTCCCCCTGCCCTGGTCCTGCCCAGCAGGCTGGTGGCCACCTGAAGCAACTGTCAGGCTCTGGCCGTTGACTCTTCCTGCTGGACTGAACTCATGGCCAAGAGTTCGTTTTGGGGGAGCTCCTTTTTGTCTCCCCCAAAATGGCCTCCTTTATTTCCACCCTCAAGCTGCTGGGCCCCGGCTGGCCTCACGTTGGAGGGGCAGAACTGTAGCCACAGTGGCACCTGCCAGATACCTAAGCTGGGGCTGGATACCAGGTGAAGCTCTTACACATCGTGTCAAGGCATCTTGGCAGCCACC
The DNA here is from genome assembly GCF_000001405.40 of Homo sapiens. Lineage (NCBI taxonomy): Eukaryota > Metazoa > Chordata > Mammalia > Primates > Hominidae > Homo > Homo sapiens. The sequence continues at coordinate 70,689,214 of NC_000016.10, read as the reverse complement.
CCAGGGCCGCTCCTTAGGTAGCCCTCGCTTTGCAGATGAGGAAACAGTCACATGCTCAAGTCACACCGCTAGGAAGCGGTGGAGTTATGGTTGGGTCCAGGTCTGTCTAGATCCTGTGCTCTGCCAGTGCCTGCACCCCCCTTCCCGGCCCCGCCGATTGGCATCTTTTCATAAACTTGAAGGGCCCCAAGACTCTCTGCTTAGCTGAGCAGCCCACAGTCTTCCTGAGACCCCTTCCCAGGTCCACCAGGCCTCAGGGCCTGGAAACAGATACTTCCTAGCCCACATGGATCTGCTCCTCCAAACCAGTGAGGCCAAAGGGAGGGAGCAGAACATTTCATGAGACACTGCTGGAGGGTGAGTAGGAACAGGACAGGAGCCCAAGGGGATCTCATCGCCAGGGGCAAGCTAAGCACTGGGCTTGACAGGGACAGCAAGGCTACCGCATTGCACCATTATAGGGAGCATCATGCACACTAGCTGTGCAGTGCACAACCTGTGTTGCTGTACAGAGCAACTGGAGAGGGTGGCAGCAACAGGAATGTAGGAGCTGTAGGCATGTCCAGTGGTGAGACCGGCATTCCTCCTCCCAGGGACAGTGAGTGACTGCAGGCCTTGGGGCCCCAACACTCAAAAACAAATGTCCTGCCAAGTGGAGGGCCCGGCAGAGGCTCTTCAGCAATTCCCATTTTCCCCAGTCCTAGCCCTGCCTCTCAGAGAAAGGGCCAAGCTGCCACCTCCCCCTTCTCCCCAGACCCTGTTCCAGGCCCCAGCTGGCTTCCTGGCTGGCTGCTAGCCCTGGCTTTCACCCCAAAGGGAGCCACTCGTAAACAGGAAATGCTTCCCAATGCGATGCCTGCTCTGGGCGCCATCGCCAGCCCACAGGCCGAGGGCAATAGCCAAGCAGCAGTGTTAGCTGTTCCCACCAACTGCGGAAGAGGGGGATGCTCAGGGGCTTCCCAGCTCTGGGGCCCGCCATGACGGAAGAGTTGCCAGGCCTGAGACAGACGCCCACAGGCCGAGCCCACCAGCCTGTGGCTCTGCCTCTGACCCCACTGCCCTCCAGCAGTAACCCCCCTGTGAGCTGATCCCTGACACTGAGCATTTCTGCTCCCTCTTCCCAGAGACAGTCTAAAGGCAGCCCCCAAGTCCCAGAAAGCTGACTCCCCTAGCATCGACTACGCAGAGCTGCTGCAGCACTTTGAGAAGGTCCAGAACAAGCACCTGGAAGTGCGGCACCAGCGGAGCGGGCGTGGGGACCACCTGGACCGGAGGGTTGTCCTCTGACAGGCCTGGCACGGAGGAGGGCCCACCGAGTGGTCCCATGAAACACTAAGGGTCGTCACGCCCTCCCGAGGAGCTCAAGGACCTGCCTGTCAGGACCAGGGCTGGGCCTGCCAACCCAGGGCAGTGTTGGGGCCGGAGGCTGCTGTGTCTGCCCAAGCTCCTCTCAGAGTCCAGTCCCCAGGCCTCCAGCGCTGTCAGCTGCACCCTGGCATTCTCACAGAGCTGGCTGCCCACCCAGTGGGGGGCTATAGCCTCAGAGACCACTCATCCTCTGGAATCAACCTCTTTCTAATACCCTCTTGGAAAAAGAGCTTGCCCCTCCTCCAGCACACTAGAGCTCTGGCCTTGTGTGTATATGTATACATACGTGAACACATGCCTGTGTGTGTGTGTGTGTGTGTGTACTTGTATGCACGTAGGCACCAGCACAAAGATCTGAATGATGCACCCCACCCCCACCCCAATAAAGAAATAACAGAAAACCCTCAACCCGAGCCGGCCTGCTCCTTCCCAGCTGACACGTGCAGCTGTCCGGGGGCCTCACCCTCTGTCCTGGAGATCGGGTTTCATGATGGCCCCAAGGAGTACTGGCTGCCCCAGGGCCTGGTCCCTGCACTCACCTGAGTGGAGCCATGGGCCTAGAGCCTAGGTCCCCACCTCTGGAACCTGCACCCTCCTGGAGAGCACCATGCACTGCCTGCCCTGGAATCCTGAACCCTGCCTTCCCCAATCTGCCTTTCTCATCCTGACTCCCTGGGGCAATGGGAGTTCCCCACTGGGGACATGGGAGCTGAGCCCCAGGAGTTCCTGGATGAAAGGGCAATGCACACTGCAGAACACTTTGCAGATCTCGGGGCAAGGGGAGGAAAAGCCCAGAGCAGTCCAGGGAGGGGCAGGTGCCCCAACCACTGCTGCAGCTGAAAGCCCTTCCTCACCGGGAGTGGTACCACCTGTCCCCAGGCTTTGGGAACCCTGGGCTTGGTCTCCTAATGAGCTTGTAATTGGCTCCCTCCGGCCCATGGAGTAGGCGAGAAGGAGCTTGTGCCTGCTCTTCCCCAGAGTGCGCTCCCCCATCGTGCTGCCCCCCAGGGTGGGTTTCCCTGCCTGGAGTCTCCAGGACAGGCTGCGATTGACATTGCTACCCCATGCACGTGTGTGCATCGCACCCACCGTGGACTCAGGCAGCAGAGACCAAGGACACTCCAGCTCTGCTCTGCAGGTCCGACATTAGCCCCCACCCGCGAAGAAGGAGGTTGTTCAAGGCCCAGGAGACTACCACTGCCCCCCAAATGCCCAGCCTTGGGCACCCCATCCGGGTGGCATCGGCACCACTTGGAGAAGGAGCCAAGGAACTTGGAAGGGTCCGAACTTGAGGAAGGTCTGTGCCTGCGATGAAACGTCCCAAGGCGGGCGGCTCCACGATACCCCGCGCCCTGCTGTGTGCGGTGTATGCCACCCATCCAGCCCATGCACCGACCCCATCCCGCCACTGTACCCACTGCCTGTCTTTAGAAGCGCGAGAAGCCCCCCGCCCCAGACCAAAGGCCAGAAGATATCGTGGAGCCCCTGCCCGGGGGCCGAGGCCCAACCGCCAGTCCCGCTCCTGCGTGGGCAGGGCGGGCCCCGCCCAGCGCCGCCCCCCGACCCTCGGTGGCGCCCGCGCCCGTCGGCCCCGCTCGCCGGACCAGTCTGGCAGCGCCCGGGCTCGGATTTCAAAGCCCTGGTTTCTGGCCGTGAATGGGCCTGCGCCCGCGCGGCCGTTCCCACAGCCCCCTCCCGCGCGGCCCGCCCTCCTTCCCTCCCTCCTCGCGGTCCCCCCTCCGCCGCGCCCACGTGACGCCCGATCCTCGGCGGCTCGGATTACCGCCGCCGTCAGTCCCCGCGCCGAGGCTGCGCCGCGAGCTGCCCGCGCCGCGCCCCCCGCGCCGCCCGCCAGCCCCGCTGCGACATGGCCCGCGCCGCCCGCCGGAGGCCCGCGACCCCGGAGCGCGGCGCGGCCGGCCGCTGAGCGCAGCCTGGAGGCGGGAGGCCCGGCCCGGCCTCGGAGCGAGCGCCCGCGCGGCCTGGCCCCCTCCCTTGCGCTGCTCCCCGCGCTCCGTGCGCCTAGCCGCCGCCGCGGCCCGGCCCAGCCAGAGCATGGAGACGGCGGAGAAGGAGTGCGGCGCCCTGGGCGGGCTCTTCCAGGCCATAGTCAACGACATGAAGGTAACCGGGGCGCGGCGGGGCCGGGCGCGCGGCGACGGGTGCGGGACCCCCCGGGGACGCGTGGCGGCGGGTGGCCGAGCCTCGTGTGGCCGCGCGCCGCGGTGTCTGTGTGTCCTTGTCTGAGCGCGTCCTGCCTGCGTCTGCTGGGCGCCCGTGTCTCCGGGTGCCCGTCTGGGGGTGTGGGTGCTCGTGTGTCGGGGTGTCCGTGCGGTGCCCGCGGTGGCCCCGTGGGGTCCTGACCCGAGCCTGTGCACACGCAGGCTCCCTGCGCCCCAGACCGCCAAACCATGAATGGGGTTTGGATCCAGGACCGACTCTAGGGCCCTTTAACGAGTCCGGGGTCTTACCGGCCTCCGCCCCCTTCCACCACCATGTTCCCCCACGGCCCCGGAGCCCAGACAATGCTGTCACCGCCAAAGCAGGAAAAAATAATAAAGCGGAGAACCGTTAACTCCTTCCCCGCCGACCTAGGCCTCTGCACCCGACCGTGAGACTGCGTCCCCCAGCCCCGCCCCACCCCCACAGCCCCAGGAAGCTCCAGGACTCCAAGGTCTCCAGGCTGAATGTCCCTGCATCCCAAGGATAGGCCTTGATCATCACCTTGGGAGGAGGCGGGATGAAGGTTGGGGTCGGTGGAGCAACCCCAAGGAAGCGCTTTTCCTACCCCATTACCACCCTGGGCTCTCAGCTCCGAGCCCTCCTTGTCTCCCAGGATTGCTTAAGGTCAGGCTGGATCCAACCACCCATTCATTCCTCACCCCACCAGGTGGGGAAACTGAGGCCTGGAAATGGCTCAAGGTCACTAAGGAGACTATTGGACCCTTCCCCTGACCTCAGCCCCCATTTTTCCTCCTGGGAAAATTAGTGGGTTCCTCTCCCCAAATGAGGCCAGGGTTTGGCAGGGCTGCCCTACGCTGACTAGGCAGAGAGGGCCCAGCTCCAGTGATAGGGTGGGGGCCAGGAACCAGTATTCCTGCCCTCCTGCCGTGCCCCCTTTCCTTAGCCTAGGATGAAGGGGCAGGATTTGGGGGCTGGGAGAAGGGGAAAGAACGAGGCACCCCACAGGATCTCCCAAGGGCCCCCACCCCCACAGCCCAGCGCAGATTCTCCAAGTGCACAACACAGAATCCCACCAGGCCAGGGATGGGGGTGACACCACCCAGTACAGTGCTGCTAGGACAGGCCCCGTGAGGGGTGGGGGTTGCTGGCAGGTTGGAGTTCGAGGCTCCCGGTGCTGCCAGGACAACAGCCCCAGGGACAGCTGCCAGATCTCTGCCCCCGGAAGAGGCCTGAAGCCAGCCTGGCCTGGGACTACCCAGTTAGCGGCTTGTAGATGCCCCCCACCCCCTGCCCCTCATGGTGCACTCCCCCTGGGACCCCCATCTCTTGCAACTGTACATCTGGGCCCCTCCGCTGGCCCCCAGCAGTCCCCACCTGTCCTGTGGACATCACAGCCCTGGCCCCAGGATCCTGTTAAGGGACTGGGCAACACAGACCACCCTCCCCTGGCCGATCCCAGAGCTGGCTCCGGATGGGCCTTCCCGCACCCCACCACCCACCACCACTGGCAGCCTCATAGCAACCACTGCAGAGAGCAGCAGATTTTGCTCGTGGAAGTGGACTAGGACAGTCTCTCTCCCTCTCCAGCCAATTTGCAAGGAACTTTGGGATGAGACAGAAGGAAGTGGGCCCAGATCATAGCAAGAGGTTCAAGCCAGACATCGGGCATGATTTGCTGACATGTGGAGGCAAAACAGGAGAGGCTTCACCTGGGATGATGCCAAGGACAGATTCGCCCCTACCTATGACACAGGCATGTGTTCAGGGGCCATGACCAGGGGCAGAGAAGGGGATGAGGCCACCTGGAAGCTGACCACCTGGATTTGCGGGGGCAGCTTCTGGATTTTCCCCTCGGTGGCCTGAGCAGCAGGGCCTCCGTAGAGGAAGGGCGGCCATCAGCAGCCAGGTTGAGGAGACTGAGCTTGCCCCGTGAGGCCACCCCACAGTGAGTCCACAGGCCCCACAGAAGCCCTCCCCTGGGCCTCTGGGAGGCCCTGACCTTGGGCTGAGCGGGGGCCAAGGTCAGATGCCCACTGGTGTCAGGCTGCCCATTGAAACCCAGAGAGGGGCAGAGACTTGCCAAAGGTCATAGTTCTGGGCACGGCACCTTCAGCAAGGTGAATGGGGCCTCCACCCAGTGCTGGCCCAGCCAGAAAATGGGGTCATACTCTTCACCCACCCCTCAAGAGTGGGGAATGTCACCTGGACACATAGGCCTGGCCAGGCCTCTGCTAGGGGCCCCTGCAGAGGGCAGGGCTTGCGTACTGTTAGCTGGTGTTAACTGAGCACTTACTGCGTGCTGGGCGCTGCGAGGAGTGCTGGCTGAGCAGCACCTGCTTCAATTTCCACACTGACCCAGTGGGGCAGGTGCTCCTCCTCTCCTGATTTTACAGGTGAAGAAACTGAGGCTCAGACAGGGGGCCCTTGCCCAGGGGCACCTGGAAAGCCCACTCCCTGGGATTGGAGGCTGGATTGCTCACCCACACTCCACATCTGAACCACAGCCACTGCCGGGACAGAGACAGAGTCCCCTCATCCCTGTCCACTTGGGCGCCTCTAATGAGAAGCCCCTCACCTCCCCACTCCAGAGCAGCCACTGTGCTTGGGGCAGAACTGGGTGTCTCTCACATCCCAGCAGTCCCTGCCGCCTCCCCAGCCTTGACGTTCAGTGCTTGTCTCCCTGCTTTGTAAGGGAGTCCCTCTACCTGGCGTGCAGTGACCAGGCAGACATGGGATCAGGTCCTGACCCCGCCACCCTGTGGCCGTGGGCAAATGAGCTAACCTCTACGGGCTTCTGTTTCCTTGTTGGTGAAATGGGGCTGTGGGGAAGGTTTACCTGGGCCTGTCCCAGGTGAAGGCTGAGGATGCTGTTCCTGGGGCACTGGCTGCTGGAGCCCTATCTCTTATTTTTAATCAGTGAAATTGACCTATCCATGAAGAGGCGGATATAAACAAATAAGACATAAGCTCTTTGTCTCTGGGGTCCTTTATGTGGTTACCGTGGGGAGGGGGGCGGGTCCAGGTCCTTAGAGACTGAGGCATCTAGGTCCATCTGCTGAGGGGAAATGGCCTGGCCTCCCCTGCGCCCCATCTTGTCCCCTCCCCATGGGGAGAGCCTTTAATCTCTGAGACTGCCCCAGGGCTGCTCAGGGGCTAAGAAGGTTCCTGGGTGCCAGGGCAGCTGGCTCTGGACCCCCCTCCACCCCTAGCAACTTCTCTGCTCCCTAAAGGGAGATCTTAGCAAGGTTTCAAGGCTGAGTGGGGGTGGGGGTCCAGGCGGTGGGAGAGCGCCCCCTTTTAGAAGACCCCCAAGGGGTACTCCAGGCATAGGTGGCATGAGTCCACTCCTTGGGACGGCTAGGAACAGCTTCCCAGGCCCCTTCACCCTGAGCTGTGCCCATTTGGGAACAGCCCACCCACAGCTTACCCACTCTTGCTTCAGCCTCTGTGGACTTTGCAAATATTTGCTTTCTCTGGACACTGGTTTGGTTGGGCTGGGAGGGGAGGGAGATTCTGAGGCCCCCTAAGCCGCCCTGTCTCCTTCCCACCCCTGCAAGCTCTCCTAGTCTGGCAGGGCAAGCCCTAGCCTGCTCCTGGGTTGCAGCCAGGCAGAGCCTCCCTCTGAGGCCCTGAGGGCCAGGGTCTCCGCATTCCCCTTTCCTCAGGAAGAGCCCCAGCCTCCATCGCCCCATCCTACATGGAAGGGAGGGTCAGAAGCCCCTGTGGGCTGGGGCTTGGCTGGCCCAGGGCTGCCCGTCAAGGGGCAAAACCTCCACAGGGCCCTTGGGCCAGGGCTGAGGTTTCTCCAGGACCCCGGGGCATGCGTTAACCAGAAAAGCCCCAAAATCAGATTGGACAACTCGGTGGCCAGGAGCCCGACCTCCCTATTGGGAAACCCCCTCCCAACTTGGAGCCTTGGGCCAGGCTGGGATAAAGGCCACACTGTTTCCCCAGGAGGGGAGGGGAGCAGGGGGTGGAGAAAGGTGGCTCTGTTGGCCGCACAAGGCCCCATTCAGCCCAGGGCCTGGTTGTCCCAGGCAGGCTAGCTGGGCCCTGCAGCAGCCACAGCCTCCTCGGCCCTGGGAGCCACTGCTGCTGGCCTGGGATGGCAGCTTCCAGGACACAGGGCAGGGGCCCCGGAGGCCCCAGTCTACACCTGGTGTGCCTTCAGCCCTGCCACCCCCTACCCTCCACACTGTGCCTCTGCCCCTGGTGGGCAGGTCAGTGCCAGTGTCCTAGGCACATGTCCGGGAGACACGATGCCTCTCATTGGGCTCAGCCCAGATCCCCTGCCAGGCCCCTGGGAAACCCCGAGGGGACAGGACCTGCCACTTCCTGCTCCATTTCCCCTGAGGGAGGATGTGAGCCCCCTGTAGCCTGTAGGGTGGATGTCCTGATGTCAGGGAGGGAGGGCTTGGCAAAGGCGCCCGTTCCCAGGGACAGGCTTTCCTCATGCTGATGGCTCTGTCCTTGGTCCTCTGCCCTCCGAGAGGACCCAGAGCCTCCCTCTCCATGGGGCAGGGCTGCTGTCTTAGAAACTGCCCCAAGTCTGGATGGAGCATGCAGGGAGCCCGGCCCAGGTCAAGCCCTGCAACCACCCCACAAGAAGCTCACTTTCTCTCCCATTTGCCCGGCAGAGCTCCTACCCTATCTGGGAGGACTTCAACTCCAAGGCCACGAAGCTGCATTCCCAGCTGAGGTGAGGTGGCCCAGGGCACCCCAGCAGGGGAGGGGCAGGCAGAGGCCCCCCCCCCGCCCAACCACCGACCATCCATGCCGTTGTCCCTCTCCCCAGGACCACCGTGCTGGCTGCTGTGGCCTTCCTGGATGCCTTCCAGAAAGTGGCTGACATGGCTACCAACACCCGAGGTGGGGAGGCGCGTGGCTGGAGGTTGGGGTTGCCCCAGGGTGGGCCTGGAGGCTGGAAAGGAAGAGTAGGGGATGGGCCAGGGAAAGGACGGGACGCCAAGCCCAGAACCTTGAGTTCTGCTCCTTAGTGGAGTGGGCTGGTTGTGGAGAGAGTGAGCCCCTCGTCACAAGAGGCATGCAAGCAGGAGTGGGTAAGTAGTGACAGGAGTGTTCCCCGGGGATTCCCTTTTTGCTGTGGGCTGTTCATGTGACCCCCCAGCACAGAGATTCTCCTTAGGGCTTCTTCCCACTCATGCCCTCGTGTCCTTCTAAGAGCACGCAGGGTCAGGTGAGCGCGCCGTTGGGCTTGGCGCCGCCTCTGCCCTCTGGTCCGAGTGGCAGAGACCTGGGGCTCCCGCTCCTTCGGGCCCTGGGCGTGCTCACACTCCCGCACCTGCATCTGGGCACACCTGGAGGGTCGTTTGGCCGGCTCCTGGAACGGTCTTTGGCGCCGGCCTCTCCCAGCTGGGAGAGAGGGGAGGCCGCCGCAGGAGGCTGGCGCGGCTGGGATGGCGGAGGAAGAGCTGGTGGAGATGGAGGAGGCCCCGAATCCCCCAGGGCCGGCGGGACTGCGGCTCGGCGGGGGCAGGGCGCGGGCTGCGGGCTCCGCCTGCGCGGCCGGGGCGCCCCCTCCTGGCCCGAGGCCGGGACTGCGCAGGCCCCAGCGGGCCCCTTCCCACCCCGCGCTTGCCTCGCCAGGGGCCACGAGGGACATCGGCTCGGCGCTCACACGCATGTGCATGCGCCACCGCAGCATCGAGACCAAGCTGCGGCAGTTCACCAAGTGAGTGGGCGCTGCGGGCGGGCAGGGGGGCGGGGGGACGGGGCGTCGCGGGGGAGCCCGGCCCTGACCTGCGCTCCCGCCCGCCCTCCGCAGCGCACTGCTGGAGAGCCTCATCAACCCGCTGCAGGAGCGCATCGAGGACTGGAAGAAGGCGGCCAACCAGCTGGACAAGGACCACGCGAAAGGTGAGGGTGGCGCGGAGCCGGGCTTCCCACCCCCCACTCCGCAGGGACCCCATTAGAGCGCTCCGCTCTCCCCTTCTGCAGAGTACAAACGAGCCCGGCATGAGATCAAAAAGAAGTCGTCGGACACGCTGAAGCTGCAGAAGAAGGCGCGCAAAGGTAGTGCCTGGCGCGGCCCCCCAGCCACAGCCCCACGGCCCCGCTCCACAGCCCCACCGCCCCGTGGGGCGCCCCAAAGCCTTCATCCCAGCCAGAGGGGCGCTGTCCCCGACACAGGACCCTCCAACCTGTTGGGTGGGACAGAGGGAGCTGCCCTTCCCCCCAAACCTGGTCCAGAACCTCCCTATGGGAGGCAGCAGGAGGCCCAGGCACCCCCGCCCCAGGAGTGGCTCTGTCCATCCGGCGTCTTTCACACATTCTTTCTTTCTCTGTCTCTCCTCCTCTCCTCCCACATCCTTCCTGTAGAGCTACTTGGTAAGTCAAATGTCGGTCCCTCCAGCTGCTCCTCCCGTCCTTGTCGCATTTGTCTGTCTCCCCCAGCTCAGGGCCATTGGAAGGAACCTCTCCAGGCCAAGGAGAAGCGAGGAAGGCGGTCGGTCCACGAGGGAGGGGCCTGGGGCACAGTCCCCCTGGGGCCCCCGGGGTCCCTGGCCAGGGATGAGTCCCGGGCCACTGCTGGGTCAGTCTGCCAGGCCAGGAGGGGTTGGCCAGGGCGGGATGGGGGCCACAGGCCCTGGCTGCCCCGCCCCCACCAGGCTGGCCTGCGTCCTTACTTGTCACCTCCTCACCTGCCATCTCATCATCTCCTCTGCATCATCCTCTCGCCTCTCTCTTTCTTGCTGCTTCTTGTGTCGCTGTTGCTGTGTGCTCTGCTCCCTGAGCTGAGTGGGGACCCACACTGAGACCCCTTCCCTGCCTCCAAGGCCCAGCCCTAGCTCTCCTGGCCCCCGCCCCCTGTGGCCTGGCCTACAGCTGAGCCCCACACTCTCTCTTGTCCCGCTTCTGCCCCACCTCCCTGGACCTTGTGAGGTGAGGGGCGCCATCCCGGGTCAGTGAGGGTACCCCAGGTGGAGGCCAGCGAGTCTCCGTGTTGGCAGAGCTCCTGGGCGCCAAGAGCCTCCCCCGGAGATGCCCCAATCCAGCGTGGCTTTGCAGCTTTGGCCTCTTTCTTGTGTGTGTGTCTGTCCTCTCTGCCTGCTTTGGTGGGACTAGCCCTTCCACAAGCCCCAGAGTCCTCACTGCCCTCCGCAGTCCCCTGGCCCCAGGGCAACACCCAGCCCAACGGCCGAGAGATGCCACCACCAGGGTCTGAGCCCATTTGTGGGTGTGGCAAGCCAGGCTGGCATCCCCAGCAAGGCCTCTCCTCCCCACCCCTCCAGGGAAAGGAGACCTGCAGCCCCAGCTGGACAGTGCCCTGCAGGACGTCAACGACATGTACCTGCTGCTGGAGGAGACGGAGAAGCAGGCCGTGCGCCGGGCGCTGATCGAGGAGCGGGGCCGCTTCTGCACCTTCATCACCTTCCTGCAGCCTGTGGTGGTGGGACTCCTGGGGACTCAGACCCCAGAGGGGTGGGCTGGGCCCAGGGTTGACCTTCTGACCTCCAAGAAGGGTCACTTCTCAGCAGTCCCTGGCTGGGGGCATCAAGGCCACATGCTCCTGGCCCAAAGGCAGGTCTCATAGCTCACCATGCACTGATTTGGTCTGGAGAGACCATCATGCCAGCCCTCTGGGCTGTGTGGGCCCCACCTGCACCAGCCCCGAGCAGCATTGGTTAGCGAGGAGGGGTGAGAGAGGAGAGGCCCGACAAGGGCTGCTGCTTCTCCAGGGGCGCTGGGCAGGCGGGCAGGTGGGCGATAGGGCCAGCAGGTCTGACTCGCTGCTTCCTCAGAATGGAGAGCTGACCATGCTGGGAGAGATCACCCACCTGCAGGGCATCATCGACGACTTGGTGGTGCTGACAGCAGAACCCCACAAACTGCCTCCCGCCAGCGAGCAGGTGCGGGAGCCCTCTGGCCAAGGGCCAGGGCCAGGGGCAGGGAGGAGATGGGCTGCCCTAGGTTGGGAACAGTAAAGGGGAAAAGAGGATGGCATTTGGGGGAGGCAGCTAGGGGCATAAGACCAGACCCCTTCTGACACCCACTGCAGGCCATCCCGGAGCACCTGCCCAGGTCGGGGAGGGTATGCCCTGGCCAGCAGCGTTCTCAGACTCAGAGTAGATGGGTGAAGTCCTGGATCCATGGAGTCAGGCCCAGAGTCTGCCTGCCCTGCTCCATGTGGGCAGACCTCCTGCCGAACCTGGAGACGCCCCACCTCCCTTCATGGCCAGAAACCCCATCCCCTCCCCTAGACCCAGGCGTACCTGGCCACCCCACCCCAGCCCTGCTGCCACTGCACTCAGACCAGTCCTGTCCCACAGCCTGCGGGCAGCACGCTCCAGAGGCACTTGTTGCATGCCCAGCATCTGCCACGTTATCTCAGGGAATCTTCCACTCTAAGACAGGAACAGGAGTAAACAAACTCAGGGAGGCGCAGGAGCAACCTGCACCCCATGGTGTCAGGGTCACTCTCGCCCAGCCCAGGCTGGGCTCGGAATCTCTACTCAGTGCATGTTAGCTGAAGGGGCTCCGAGAAGGCTGTGTCCTCTGGTGTCTCCCTGCTCCCCACATTAGGAGGAGCCTGGGGGAGGGGGCTTCAGATTTCTGGGTCTTCTCCTGGGATGTGGTTCACAATTAGAGAGTGGGGGGGGGCCTCTGGCCCTACTAGCTCTGAGGAGCTGCCTCCAGTGACCCCCATCCATGTCCCTGTCCAGGTAATCAAAGACCTAAAGGGCTCGGACTACAGCTGGTCCTACCAGACCCCACCCTCATCACCCAGCAGCTCCAGCTCCCGGAAGTCCAGCATGTGCAGGTCAGTGGGGGTGGGGTTCCCAGGGGTGTGGGGGGCGGTATCCCAAGAGGAAGTGGGGATGTTCCCAGCAAAATTGCATCAGAAATTGCTTCAGGGCCTCAAAATTCACAACTTTTACACCATCCGAGGAATTTGCATATGTAGAGGGAAAATGTGCCCTGTCATCCCAAGACTGCTACTGGCACAGGCATTTGTTGGCAGAATAGGAAGCAGGGGCAGTAGCAGCTTCATTTATGGAGCATCCACTATGTGCCAGGTGCTGTGCTAAGTGCTTTATGCATTTTTTCTCATTGAATCCTAACACTGCTGTATCAGGAATGGTGTCATCTCCATTTTACAGAAGGGGAAACTGACACATGAAGTCCCAGCATTTAACCACTGGACTCTGCCAGGCCTAGCACCGTGTGGGGTCATAGTAAGAGTCAAAGATCAGGGAGAGATGGGAAGGCTTCTAGAAACAAGTGTTGGGGCCATAAGGTATAGGACACTCCAGCCTGGCTGGCTCCTAAGAGCTGGTTCCCATGGAGGCAGCTGCCGCATTTGGAGCCTTGGCCCAGGCTAGCCCCGGGAGCCTCACACAGCTGGGGAGAGGCCAAGGATCTCGCAGTCACTAGCCAGGCTCAGGATCAGGGGCCTTTCCTTGGCTGGGCACTGGGGCTGGGTTTGGAGGAGACATTGATGGTTCAAGCTTCCTTGGGTGGGGAGGACAGTAAGCACAGAGTGAAGTGCTGGTGGGGGCCCCCCTTTGCCAGGCACCCCTCTCCCCAGAATCACTGGCTGGACATCCAGAGCTTGGGAGAAGCCAGGCACAGCAATCAGCTACTACCTCAGAGAGAGGCTCTTCAGACCCTGCGTGGGTGGCCGTCCCACAGTGAAGGGGCTGATTGCAGGGGACAGCCATGAGCAGGGGCAGAGGCTGGGAGGCTTCAGGGTCACGCTTAGCCAGGAACACCACCCAAGGGTTGAATTGCTGTGCTGAGGGTGTGAGCCATAGAGGGCTGGACACCCTTGAGGGATTGGAGAGAGTGAGGGTGATGGTGGGTGCAGGACCCACTTGGAAGGTGACCTCTGTACGCACACACACCATCACCATATGCTAGACATCCAGTTAGGACTGGATGGCAAATACCAGATTTTGAGAAGGTGGTTTAGGAATGATTGGACTCACCGGGGGCAGTCGTTCACGCCTGTAATCCCAGCAGTTCGGGAGGCCGAGGCAGGCGGATCACGAGGTCAGGAGATTGAGACCATCCTGGTAAAAACGGTGAAACCCCGTCTTTACTAAAAAATACAAAAAAATTAGCCGGGCATGGTGGTGTGTGCCTGTAGTCCCAGCTACTCGGGAGGCTGAGGCCTCAGTGATAAAGATATATTCTTTAGGATATAGGAATCTAGATTAAGATCTTTGGTGAAACCAATAGGTTTTTTGGTGGGTTTTTTGGGTTTTGTTGTCATTGTGAGACAGGGTCTCGCTCTGTCACCCAGGCTGGAGTGCAGTGGCACAATCATGGCTCACTGTGGCCTCGACCTCCCGGGTTCAAGCGATTCTCCTGCCTCAGCTTCCCAAGTAGCTGGGAATACAGGTGTGCACCACCACGCCTGGCTAATTTTCATATATTTTGTAGAGACAGGGTCTCACCCTATTGCCCAGGCTGGTCTCAAATTCCTGGACTCAAGCAATCCACCCACCTCAGACTCCCAAAGTGCTGGGACAGGTGTGAGCCACCACGCCCAGACAGGACAACTGTTTCTTGTTTCTTTTTTTTTTTTTCAAGACAGAGCCTTGCTCTCCTAGGCTGGAGTGCAGTGGCATAATCTTGGCTCACTGCAACCTCCGCCTCCCAGGTTCAAGTGATTCTCGTGCCTCAGCCTGCCAAGTAGCTGAGATTACAGGCATGCGCCACCATGCCCAGCTAACTTTTGCATTTTTAGTGGTGATGGGGTTTCGCTATGTTCTCCAGGCTGGTCTTGAACTCCTGTCCTCAAATGATCCACCCGCCTTGGTCTCCCAAAGTTCTGGGATTACAGACATGAGCCACTGTGCCCAGCCTGGACAACTGTTCTTAGTGGCAGAATAGGAGGCAGAGAGGTTGCCTCACCCTGGGCATTCCCTGACCACGGCTCCCCTCAGCACTGGGGCTGGGGGTACCCTGCTCTGGCCCTCCCCTTCCACACCGTCCCAGAACACAGCTCCTGTGTAGCACCTGGGTCTCAGGACCTCCTAGTCTGACATTGTCTTTTCCTTCCTTTGCCCCTCACCTCTTTCCCCACCCTCGTTTGTCAACCTCCCCCAAACACACACCCCTCTGTCTCCCTGTCTGGCTGCTGTGCCCTCTTCCTTCACTCCCCTAGTGCCCCCAGCAGCAGTAGCAGTGCCAAGGGTGGCGGAGCCCCATGGCCTGGGGGTGCCCAAACATACTCACCCAGTTCCACCTGTCGCTACCGCAGCCTGGCGCAGCCAGCCACCACCACCGCTCGCCTCTCCAGCGTTTCCTCCCATGACTCTGGCTTCGTCTCCCAGGACGCCACCTACTCCAAGCCCCCCTCGCCTATGCCTTCAGACATCACCAGCCAGGTGAGGGGGCGTTAGGAGGATCAGTCAGGGTGGGGTGCAGCAGCCTTATGCCAGCATCAGGCAAGCCACATGCGGGACTACTATAGCTGTTGAGACTACTATAGCTGTTGAGACTGGCCTGAAGGCCCCCAAGGCCTTTATTCTGTTCAGTATTTATATTATTATTTTCTATCTCTGCTTTTAAATTCACATATCTTTATATCTTAAATGAGTCTCTTGTAAGCAGCATAATGCCTAGATTTTCTTTTTTTATCCAATCTGACAACCTCTATCTTTTAATTGCCATTTTTAGCCCCTTTGTATTTACTGACATATTTGGACTTCTGGCTTTCTTCTTTCTATTTGTCCTGAATTCTTGTCTCTACCCTTGACTTTGTTTTTTCTTTTCTCTTATTCCCCGTCTGCTGGATTGTAAGTTATATTCTGTCTCTTTTCTTTTATAGGTTACCTTGAAATCTTACCATATGCATACTTAACACAACCCCACCTCCTGAGTAATTCAAGGCCCTTAATATATATTTTTTTACTTGTCACCCACTCCTTCTCAAACTTACAAGCTATATTATTTTCTCTTTTTTTTTACAGTACCCACAAATGACATTTTTCTTCTTAATTTCTTTATTTTATACATACAGTACTTATTTAGATTTACCCATATGTTAATACACATTTCTTGTCATTTTTTTCTTGCATCTCAAATCCTCCAAAGCTTATTTTCTTTCTTTCTGAAGTAAAAAACATCTTTTAGAAGTTCTTTTAGAATAGATCTGTAGTTGTAAACTCTCAGTTTTTGTTTGTTTGTCTGTAAACATGTTTTATTTTGTCCTCTTCTTGAAAGTTCGTTTTGCCAGGAACACTATTCTGGGGTGACAGTTGTCTTCCATCCACACTGTGAAGGTATTTTTCCGCTGTGTTCTGGCTTCCACCATTGGTTGGAAGGTCAGCTGTCAGTCACTGATGCTTCTTTCTGAGGAATCTGAGTCTCTCTCTGGGCACTTTTAGGCCTTCTCTTTAGTTTTGCTACAGCGTGTCTACAATGTGGATTTATTTTTATTTAACCTCTCCTTGTTGGTATTCATGTCTTTCATTTGTCCTTGGAATTTTCAGTCATTATTTCATTTTGTTTTGTTTTGTTTTGTTTTGAGACACGATCTTACTCTGTCACCTAGGCTGGAGCACAGTGGCGCGATCTTGGCTCACTGCAACCTCCTCCTCCTCCCAGGCTCAAGCGATCCTCCCACCTCACCCTCCAAAGCAGCTGGGACTATAGGCATGCACCACCATGCCCAGCTAATTTTTGTATTTTTAGTAGAGACAACATTTTGCCATGTTGCCCAGGCTGGTCTTGAACTCCTGGGCTCAAGGGATCTGCCTGCCTTAGCCTCCCAAAGTGCTGGGATTACAGGTGTGAGCAACCGCGCCCAGCCAGTCATTATCTCTTTACTTCCACTTTGATTCTTTCTATTCTGTCCTCAGGGATTCCAGTTGGATGCATGTCCAGCCCTCTCTTTCTATCTTAGGCATCTCTGAGCTCATATTTTCTATCTCCTTGTTTCTCCGGATATATTCTGGATCATTTCTTCAGTTTTATCTTACAATCGACTTTTTCTTTTTTTTTTTTTTTGCTATTTAACCTACCCACTGAGGGTTTTTTGTTTGGGTTTTTTTTTTAACTTTTTATTTTGAAATAATTTTAGACTTGTAGAAAAGTTGTAAAATATGTAGAGTTCCCATATACTCTTCCCAGAATCTCCCCAGTGTTGACATCTTACTTTATGTAACCACCAAAAACATTTTTAAAACCAAGAAATTAACACTGGTATAATACTAAGTAACGTACAGTCTTCTATTTTTGCCAGTTTTCTCTCTCCTGTCCTGCTGGTCCAGGGGTCCATGACCCAATTCAGGACCCTACATAATGTTCCCGGGTTTTTCTCTTTTCCTTTTTTTTTTTTTTTTTTTTTGAATTTTGCTCTTATCACCCAGGCTGGAGTGCAGTGGGGCAATCTCGGCTCACTGCAACCTCTGCCTCCCAGGTTCAAGTGATTCTCCTGCCTCAGCCTCCCAAGTAGCTGGGATTACAGGCATGCGCCACCATGCCCAGCTAACTTTTTGTGTTTAGCAGAGACGGGGTTTCACCGTGTTGGTCAGGCTGGTCTCGAATTCCTGACCTCAGGTGATCTGCCCACTTCGGCCTCCCAAAGTGCTGGGATTACAGGCATGAGCCACTGCCCCTGGCTAGGACCCTACATAGTGTTTCGTGTTGGTGTCACCTCAGTTTCTGCAGCTCGTGACAGTTTCTCACACCTGTCCCTCTTTGTTTTTCATGACTTTGATACTTTTGAAGAATATCGGTCAGATGTTTTGTAGGATGCCTCTAAATCTGGCTTTGTCTGATGCCTTTTCATTCAGAATTAGAAGCCATACAGTTTTGGCAAGAGTACCACAGAAGTGCGGTTGTCCCCATGTCAGTGCATCCTAAATGCTGCACAATGTCACTGCGTCGTGTGACTGCTGATGTTCACCTTGATCCTTAGTTAAGGTGGCGTGTGCCAAGTTTCTCCACTGGAGAGTCATTATTTCTCCCTTTTTAATTAATAAAATATCCTGTGAGGGGATACTTTTGAGAGGATGAAAATGTCCTGTTTCTCCTTGTACTTTTGCTCTCTAATTTTGGCATCCACTGATGATTCTTGCTTGTTAAAATAGGTGACTTTCTATTTCTGTCATTTCTCCTACATTTATTAATTGAGATTCTACCATAAAAAGATCTGTCCCTTCTCCCCCATTTATTTATATATTCAATTTTTAATTTATATCAATATGGACTCATAAATATTTCTTTTATTCTATGGGTTATAACCCATCACCATTGAGTCTTTCAGGAACTTTTTTTTTTTTTTTGACACAGACTCTCGCTCCATTGCCCAGGCTGGAGTGCAATGGTGCGATCTTGGCTACTGCAACCTCTGCCTCCCAGGTTCAAGCCATTCCCCTGCCTCAGCCTCCTAAGTAGCTGGGATTACAGGCACACACCACCACACCCAGCTAATTTTTGTATTTTTAGCAGAGGCGGGGTTTTGCCATGTTGGATCACTCCTAATCTCAAGTGATCCGCCTGTGCCAGCCTCCCAAGTGCTGGGATTACAGGCATGACCTGCCACACCTGCCCAAGGAACTTTTTTATTGAGGTATTCTAAACACACCGAGAACAAGAACGTAAGCAGGATAACCACCACTCCTGAAGCCAGCAGTGCTCTGTTAAGTCACTACACACCCAAGGGTAACTGCTATCCTGACTACTTTTGACTTTTTTTTTTTTTTTTTTTTTTTTTTGAGACAGGGTCTCACTCTGTCACCCAGGCTGGAGTGCAGTGGCACAATCCTTGCTCAGTGCAGTCTCAAACTCCTGGGTTCAAGCAATCTTCCTGCCTCAGCCTCCCAATTAGCTGGGACTACGAGTGTGCAGTATCATGCCTGGCTAATTTTTATATTTTTTCTTTTATAGAGATGGGGGTCTCACTATGTTTCCTAGGCTGGTCTCGAACTCCTACCTTCAAGCAATCCTTCCTCTTCAGCTTCCCAAATCACTGGGATTTCAGGCATGGCCTAGTTTTGCCCTTTTTATCCTTTCTACATGTATATATGGAATCATATAGTATGTATCCTTTATGTCTGGCTTCTTTTTGCTCAGTTATGTTTATGAGATTCAGCCATGTTTTAGGTGGAAATATAGATCATGCTCATTGCTATATGGCATTCTATTGTGTGAATATGTAATTTAACCATTTTGATGGACATTTGCATAGTTTCCAGTTTTTTGGCTATGATGTTGCTAATAGTGCTGCTGTGAACATTCTAGTATGCAGTTCTGTGGGGCACATTCCTAGGAGCAGAATTGCAAAGTCATGGGATATGCACATCTTCAGATTTGATAGGTACTACCAGACAGTAAGCCAAGTGCTCATACCAATTTACCCTCCTGTTAGCAAGATTAGGACAGTGTTTTGTTTTGTGTCGTTTTGTTTTGTTTTTGAGACAGAGTCTCACTCTGTTGCCCAGGCTGGAGTGCAGTGGTGCAATTTCAGCTCACTGCAACCTCCATCCTTGGGATTCGAGTGATTGTCCTGCCTCAGACTCCCGAGTAGCTGGGATTACAGGCGCATGCCACCACACCTGGCTAATTTTTGTATTTTTAGTAGAGATGGGGTTTTGCCATGTTGGCCAGGCAGGTCTCAAACTCCTGACCTCAGGCAGTCCACCCCCCTCAGCCTCCCAAAGTACTGGGATTACAGGCATGAGCCACCACACCTGGCCAAGATTATGACAGTTCATTGCTGTTCCACATCCTCACCAGCGCTTGGCATTTTATATTGATTTCATTTTAGCCATTCTAGTGGGTGCAGAGTAATAGTAGTTCCCTGTATATTTTGTTTGCATTTCTCTAATGCTAATGAGATTGAACACCTTTTCATACTTTTTTTTTTATGAGACAGAGTCTCACTCTGTTGCCCAGGCTGGAGTGCAGTGGCATGATCTCAGCTCACTGCAACCTCCGCCTCCCGGGCTCAGGCAATTCTCCTGCCTCAGCCTCCCGAGTAGCTGGGATTACAGGCGTGTGCCACCACACCTGGGCTAATTTTTGTATTTTTAGTAGAGACGGGGTTTCACCATGTTGGCCAGGCTGGTCTTGAACTCATGACCTCAGGTAATCCGCCCGCCTTGGCCTCCCAAAGTGCTGGGATTACAGGCATGAGCCACCATGCCCAGCTTTCATACTTTTTTATAAGAGATAGGGTCTTGCTATGTTGCCCAGGCTGGCCTCATACTCTTGGGCTCAAGCAATCCTCCTACCTCAGCCTCCTGAATAGCTGAGACTACAGATGTGTGCCATTGAACCCAGCTACCTTTTCATACCTTTAAAGACCGTTAGAATATTCCCTTTCATGAAGGACCTTTTTAAATCGTTTGCCCATTTTTCTACTGGATTATCTGTCTTCTTCTTACCAATTTATAGAACTTTTTAGTATTGCAGATAAAGTTCCTCATCGGATATCTTCTCTCCTTCTATTGGGTACCTTTTTATTGTCTTAATGGGGGTCTTTTAATGACCAGAAGTTCTTAGTTTTAAAATAGTCCAGTTTATCCATTTTTAAATTGTTAGTGCTATTTGTGTCCTGCTTGAGAGATTTTTGCCTACTGCAAGGTCACAAAGATGTTTTCCTCTAAAAGCCTTTTGGTTTTGCCCTTTTGTTTTAGATCTGCAGCTCATCTGGAATTGAGTGTGTGGTGTGTGTGTGGTGTGAGGTAGGGGTCCTTTTTTTCATATGGATATCCAATTGACCCAGAACAGTGTATTGAAAAAAAAAATCTGTCTTAGTCAATTTGGACTGCCGTAACAAAATACCATAACCTGGGTGGCTTAGACTACAGAAATGTAGCGCTCACAGTTCTGGAGGCTGGAAGGCCAGGATCAAGACACCAGCAGATTCGGTGTCTGGTGAGGACCCACTTTGTGGTTCATAGATGTCACCTTCTTGCTGTGTCCTCAGTGGTGGAAGGGGCAAACTAGCTCCCTTAAACCTCTTTTTATAAGATCCCTAAAACCTTTAATGAGGGCTCCACCCTAATGATCTAATCACCTCTCAATACCTTATCTTGGGGGTTAAGATTTGAACAGAGGAATTTGGGGGAGACATAGACATTTGGAGCATAGCATCTTCTTTTCCTCAGTGCACAGCAGTGCTGCCTTCATCATCAGTCAGGTGTCTGTAGGTGTGTGGCTATTTCTGGACTTGGCACTCTGTCCTACTTGTTGATTTCTCTGCCTTATACCAATGCCACACCATCTTAATTATTGTAACCATCTTAATTATTTATAAAAAGTCTTTTTTTTTTTTGATACAGTCTCACTCTGTCCCCCAGGCTGGAGTGCAGAGGTACAGTATTGGCTCACTGCAACCTCTGTCCCCAGGCTTAAGCAATTCTCATGCCTCAGCCTCCTGAGTAGCTGGGATTACATGTGCACCACCACAGCCAGCTAATTTTTTGTATTTTTTGTATTGGGGTTTTGTCATGTTGGCCAGGCTGGTCTCAAACTCCTACTCTCAAGCAATCCACCCACCTCAGCCTCCCAAATTGCTGGGATTATAGGCATTAGCCACTGCACCCAGCCAGACTTTATAGAAAATCTTGATATCTGGTCATGGAAGTCCCCTAGCTTGGTTATTTTTTTTTGGTACCGCTTTGTCTATTTTCGGCCCTTTCCATTTCCATGTAACTTTTAGGATCAGCTTGTCAGTTCCTACCAAAAGGAAAAAAAAAAAAAACTCCTGGGATTTGAATGGAATTGCAGATATCCCTCTGTTTGTTTAGGCTTTACTGCCTCTCAGTAATGTTTTGTAGAGGTTTTTGGTTTTTTGGTTTTTTTTCTGAGGCAGAGTCTCACTCTGTCACCCAGGCTGGAGTGCAGTGGCGCGATCTCAGCTCATTGCAACCTCAGCCTCCTGGGTTCAAGCTATTCTCGTGCCTCAGCCTCCCGAGTAGCTGGAATTATAGACATGTACCACCACGCCGGGCTAATTTTTGTATTTTTAGTAGAGACAGTGTTTCACCATGTTGGCCAGGCTGGTCTCAAACTTGTGGCCTCATGTGATCCTCCCGTCTTGGCCTCCCAAAGTGCTGGGAGTATAGGTGTGAGCCACCATGCCCAGCTTGTTCTGTAGTTTTTGTGTAAAGATCTTGCATATCTGTCATTGGAATTTTTTCCCTAGGTATTTAGTGTTTATTGATGTTATCGTAAATTACACTGATGTTTTAGGGTGGTTTTGTTTTTTTGTTTTGTGTTGTTTTCCTGTTAGCTGCTGGTATTTAGAAATGTGATTGATCTTTTTCGGATTTTGTTCTAATAATCTTGTTAAAGGGTTAACCCCTTACTAATTCTAATAATTTGTAGATTCTTTCTTAATATTCTACATATACTATTATGTTACTTGTAAATAGTGATTTTTTTTTTTTTTTTTTTTTTGAGACAGAGTCTTGCTCTGTCACGCACACTGGAGTTCAGGAGTTCAGTGGTGTGATCACAGCTCACTGCAGCCTTGAATTCCTAGGCTCAAGATATCCTCCTGCCTCAGCTTCCTGTGTAGCTGGGACCACAGGCATGTGCCACCACACCTGGCTAACTTTAATTTTTTGTAGAGTCAGGGGTCTCACTATGTTAGGCTGGTCTTGAACTCCTGGGCTCAAGTGATCCTTATGCATCAGCCTCCCAAAGTGCTGGGATTACAGGTGTGAGCCACCACACTTGGCCTTCTTTCTTTTCTTTCCAATCCATTTGTTTTTTATTTCTTTTCCTTGCTTTATTGCACTGGCTAAGATTTCCAGTGCTGAATAGGAGTGATGACAGTGGGCATCCTTGTCTTTCTCCCAACCTCAGAGGGAAAAGTATCAATGCATTTGTAGATATTCTTTATCAGATTAGCTTCCTTTCTAGCAGCTTGTGTCTTTGTATTGTTTTTCATGAGCAAGTGTTGAACTTTTTCACTGAGTTTTCCAAATACTTTTTCCATTGAGTTTTTTTACTTTAACCGTCATATTGCCAAAAGTCTGCATTTGTTATTTCCTCCAAATCCTCACAGGTGGTGCCTGGTTTCCTTTTATTTTGGTGATCTTGGTTCATTCGAATCTGCAGGAAATCTGGGGATCTAAATCCAGAATGATTCAGAGAGCTGGAGGAAGGGGGCTGCCCTGGCTTAACTTGGCTCATTCCCAGGCCAACACCTCACCGTGATCCACGTCCCCACTGCTGTGCTGAAGCTGGCGTCTGCCCCAGGGAACCCTGCCGGTCACACATGCTCAGGATTTCATGGGCCTGTGTCTACCCTGCTTTTTTCTTTATTCTTTGTAGTTGTTTAGGAGTGGGGGGCCTCGCAGAACACCTAGTCCAGCCCACTGCCCAGAGCAGGTGTGTCCCTTTCATACTTCAGTCCACTTTAAAACAGCCTTCCCCCACCCCCTTCTATGGTAGCAGTTCTCCTCGGGGTCTCCATGGACACCCTGTGCCCCAAGCCGATGGCCCCACCCAGCAGCATCAGCACAGCTGCCCCCCTTCTCCGCAGAGCAGGCTCTCCTTTACGGGACTCTCCTCTTCCCTCCCACCTGATGCGCATCAGCAGCCACGGGCCTGGCCCTTGAATCTTGTCTAACTGCACTCGCTGCCTGGTGGCCTCATCCCACCCCAAGACCACTGCACTGATGGCTCCAACCCCAACTTCTCCCTGCACTCAGCTTATGAATACGACGGCCCTCATTGCATCCATGCAGAGACCTCAGAGGCAGCTCAGCTCAGTGCTCAGCGTGGCACTCGGGGCTTCACACTTCCCCCGTGTCCTGTCTGAGAAAACTGTGACACCATCAACCCAACTGCTCAGACCAAACACCCAGCTGCCGCCCTTAGTATCTCTTTTTCCCCTCGGTGGCCATATCCAGGCCGTCAGCAGTGAGTCCTGTGGTCAGTCTTCAAAATGCGCAGGGCTGGGCTGTCAGGTGGGTCAGCGTTCACCGTGTGCACTCTGGGCTGCTGTGTGCTGCTGCAGACACTCAGCGGCCGTGGCCCTGGGGTAGGGGGGGTGGGTGCTGGGCAAGGCGCTGAATTGAACCGCCCCCCTGCATGCCAGCTCTGTGACCAAAACTGTTCTCTCCTCTCCTCCTTGCTGCCTGCCGGCCCCTCTGTCTGCAACCGCCTGCTGGCCTCTGCATGGCAGAAGTCCTCCAGCTCTGCATCTTCCGAGGCCTCGGAAACCTGCCAGTCCGTTAGCGAGTGCAGCTCCCCCACCTCGGTCAGTGCTCCCAGCCCGGCCCCAGGACAGTCACCAGCTGCCCCTCCCATCCATGCCCTCCCCACCTGGTGCCATTACTGCACAAAGGGCCTGGGTTCAGCCAGGGGTGCGTGCACACAGCACCTGTCCCCAAGAGACAAGCCACCTGGCCATTTCCTACAGTCACTGCCCACACAGCCACATCTTACCCCTGGGCCTGGTGGGACTGAGGGGCCACAGTCACACTCCATGCTCTGCCCTTGGCTGTGATTGCGAACCAGAGACCCCCTGATAGCCCTGGACACCCTGAGCCTCAGCCACAGTGACGGGCCCCCGGGCCATAGGTGGTAGGGCCAGTGGTCCCCCTGACCTGCCACACCCTCCCTGCAGGACTGGTCCAAGGTCGGCTCCCATGAGCAGCCCTCAGGCGCCACTCTGCAGCGGAGGAAGGACCGAGTGGAGCTCCTGCGAGACACAGAGCCAGGCCCTGCCAGTGGGGGCACCCTGGGCCCCAGCGGGGAAGAGGCACCGCGACCCCGGATGTCCCCTGCCACCATCGCAGCCAAGGTAGGCTGGCCAGGGCCCCCCTTCACGCCCAGGTCAGTCCCAGGAGGCCCAGCCAGTGGCCTCAGGGCCGGCTCCAACCACCTGGCAGGGCTGCCTGGAATTTGGGCAGAGGGGATTGGGGGCGCAAGGCTTCAGCCTGCACTTTCCCACCCTCAGCACGGTGAGGAGGTGTCCCCCGCCGCCAGTGACCTGGCCATGGTGCTGACGCGGGGCCTGAGCCTGGAGCACCAGAAGAGCAGCCGGGACTCGCTGCAGTACTCCAGCGGCTACAGCACGCAGACCACCACGCCCTCCTGCTCTGAGGACACCATCCCCTCCCAAGGCAGGCCCGCGGGGCTGGGGTGGGACCAGGGACAGCTGGGACTTAGCCATCCAGGAGGGCCCCGTCCTTCCCCCTCTGTGCTCACCCTGGTGGGCTGGGGGCAAGGGGCCACCTGGGCCCTGGGCCTCACTGTGTCCCGTGCCCCCAGGCTCCGACTACGACTGCTACTCCGTGAATGGGGATGCGGACAGCGAGGGCCCGCCCGAGTTTGACAAGTCATCCACCATCCCGCGCAACAGCAACATCGCCCAGAACTACCGCCGCCTGATCCAGACCAAGCGCCCAGCCTCCACTGCTGGGCTGCCCACCGCGGGGCTGCCCACGGCCACTGGCCTGCCCTCGGGCGCACCCCCCGGCGTGGCCACCATCCGCCGCACACCCTCCACCAAGCCCACCGTGCGCCGCGCCCTGTCCAGCGCTGGCCCCATCCCCATCCGGCCGCCCATCGTCCCTGTGAAGACGCCCACGGTGCCTGACTCCCCCGGCTACATGGGGCCCACACGGGCGGGCAGTGAGGAGTGCGTCTTCTATACCGACGAGACCGCCTCACCCCTGGCACCGGACCTCGCCAAGGCCTCCCCAAAGAGGCTCAGCCTGCCCAACACAGCCTGGGGCAGCCCATCCCCAGAGGCAGCCGGGTACCCCGGGGCAGGGGCCGAGGACGAGCAGCAGCAGCTGGCGGCCAACCGGCACAGCCTGGTGGAGAAGCTGGGGGAGCTGGTGGCGGGTGCCCACGCACTGGGTGAGGGCCAGTTCCCCTTCCCCACTGCTCTGTCGGCCACCCCCACGGAGGAGACGCCCACCCCACCCCCAGCCGCCACCAGCGACCCCCCGGCCGAAGACATGCTGGTGGCCATCCGGCGTGGGGTCCGGCTCCGCAGGACCGTCACCAACGACAGGTCGGCGCCCCGCATCTTATGATGGCGCCACCCTCCCCATCCTCTCAGGCCCCAGTGCGAGCAGGTGGCCTGGTCTGTGAGCCGCAGGCACTCAGAGCAAAGGCCCAGCCAGGAGAGAGGACAGAGCCAGGGCAGAGGCCATGCCACTTTATGGAAAGACACCTCACTTGGATTCCAGCATTTAAACAGGAAGTGACTTCTTAGCAAGCCTGGCCAGGACGGAGCCTGCAGGCCTGGGCCTGGTTCGGGGTCTGTTTTATGCTCTTCGGTCCCTCCTCTTCCTCCTCTGGGGCCCTGCCTCTTCCCTACCCATAAGCACCAGAGCCAGGGCCGCTGCCCATGACAGAGGGGCCAGGCTGGCCTCCCTTTCACCATCCCGGCCTCTCCCAGGGCTGGTCCTGCCTCAGCTCCTCCTGGAATGCTGGCCCCCCTCTCCCCTGCCTGAGCCCCCTCCTCCCCTCTTGCCTTCTCTCTGCCTCTCCCAGGCCCCTCTCCCTCCAGGAGGCGGGGCGGCTGTGGAGGGGCCAGGTGCACGCTGGGCTGGATGTCTGCTGGGGGCTGGGGGCCAGGGCGGCAGGTTGGAGTTGGGCGGCCAGGCCCCCCGTGTGGGAAGGGAGTTCCAGGGCCCACGCCAAGTCTCAGGGAGGAAACCAGGGGCTGCTTGGGGGGGGGGGTCTTGGGGGCCCTGTGGTGGCTCCCACCCCTCGCCTCCCCCACCCCGTGAGGCTGGCTGGAGGGGGCCAGAGCAGCTCTTTGGAAACTAGGGCAGCAGGGTTAGGAGGCCGGAGGCCCTGGGGTCACCGGCCAGCCACACAGGCACCGTTTTCAGATGTCCACTTCTCATTGGGTACATCAATCTTTTAACTTTGGGGGTCACAGTTTTAGCCACCTTTCGGGGGGTGACTGGAGCAGTAGGAGGTGTGGGGTCATTTTATGAATATAATAAAATGGAGCTGACTGTGGACGAGGACTAAGTGTGGGGGAGAGGGGACGATACAGGGTGTGTGTCTGGGAGTGCCTGGGGGACAGGGACCCCCCGGTGGTCCTATGGCAGGATGAGAAGGGAGGGACTTGGCTCCCCCAGAGCCCGGTGGAAGCTACTGTTCTCTCCAGTGTCTCGAGCGTAGCCAAAATAAGGTTGGGAGGCTCCCGGCCTGTCTGCTGTGGTCTGAGCTGGCTGCAAGCCCAGGTGGGGGAGCGAGTCTGGGAAGATTGGCTTTGACTCTCTGTTGCCGGAGGAGATGCCATCCCAGCACGGCCCCCACTGTAGTCCAGGCTCGTGGTGGCAGCGGGGGCAAGGGGAGGGGCAAGGCTGCCCCCACCCCACGCACCAAGTCACGCCAAGTCTCAGCAGGTAAAAGCACGTGAGCCTAGGGCGAGCGGAGGGAGTCCTGGTGGCCCCGCAGGTCAGGAGGGAAAGCAGGGCTCAGAGGGCATCGTGGCCCCAGGGCAGGGTCCTACCTGGGGGTCAGGAGCACCTTGGTCTTGATGATTGATTGATTGATTGATAGAATGGAGCTGGGTCTGAGCCTCCCAGGCTTGAGCTCCTGGGAGTTCTTGTGCGGTGAGCTGGGCAGCTCCTGGGTAGGTCCGGGCACCAAGCAGGCCCTGATGTGGACAGAGTCCCATCAGAGGGAGCTGATGAAGAATGGTCCCTGTAAGTAAGTCACTAGGTTCAACAACTGCCTGGCCGAGCACTCAGCCCGTGGAGCTCAGGCCAACACCAGAGCCCCGGTTTTAGGGGCCAGGAGAGCAGGTGACCAATTATTTGGGGAGTCTTGGGTAGAATTTCCGCCACACATTCTCCCCAGGGCTGCAGGGGTCTTCCGAGGCAGGGCGGTGGAGCAGGATTCAGGATGTGGTGGGAATAGAGTGAGGGGCAGTGGGTGGGCAGACCTGGGCGTCAGAGGTCCTGATGGGAAAGGAGGCAGGGGCTACCCAGAGAGGGGGGCTCGTGTGGCACAGCCCCCACCGACTCCGCCGTCCCCCTCCCCTGTGAGCCCCGGGGGCTGTACATACTCTACTCCATCCCCTTGTCCATCCCTGAGACCACCCCCGCCGCCCTTGCGTCGACTTAGCAACCACCTCATAGGCCCACCCACCTCGGGATCCGAGCCAACCATCCCACATCACAAACTTTGGTTTGGGGGACTTTACGTTCGTTTAATTTCTCATTTTGTACGGAGAAATATTCTTTTCAAAAGCGTCTTTTGACTGAAGTAACTTTCCTGGTGCTGTTGTTAACTCGTTCCTTTTTTTAATTTATTCCCCCACCCCAGGCAGCCCTCCTGGTTCCTACTCACCCTCCCCCCCTCCCCCACCCTCCGTCCCATCTGAACCATTTGTTTCTTTTCTTTCCGTCAGATTTTGGAAAAATTCTCCTCTCCTCCCCGCCCCCTCCACACCATCCTCCCCGATTTAAATATAGTCACTGCTACAAGTAACAGATGCACTGTGAAGATTCCAGTATTAATAAAGGTGTACTGTAATTAACACCCCTGCCTCTGCCTGGCTGCTTCCTACCCCATCCCCACACCTCACCTTTCCCACCCCAGATCCCAGCTGCAGGGGGACAGGCTGGGGGTTCCCAGAGGATCTCAGATCTCAATGTAGGTGCCAGGGCCAGACCTGGGTCTCTGAAATGTCCCATATGTGTCCCTGCTAGGGGCTGCCTGGGGGCAGCCAGATGGAGGGAGGGAGGGAGAGAGGGAGGGAGGGAGAGAGGGAGGGAGGGAGGGAGGATGGCAAGGGTCAAAGCCAAGGTATCAGCCCAACACCGCCTCCCCCAACCCAGGCTTGCAGAGGCCCCTGGGCTGGGCTGGGCTGGGCTGGGCTGGGCTGGGCTGGGCTGGGCTGGGCCGGAACTCCATCCCTGGCATCCCTCTCATTCCACATCCCTTGGGCAGGCTCCATCCACTCCAAATCCGCATCCTCAGCCCTGCCCCCCTCCACTTCCTGCACTTGGCCACCTCCCATCCCCGCCAGGTTCACCCCTGAAGATGCAAAGCAAAGCAAACCAAAGGAAGTGGGGTGTTTAATAGAAAAAAGAAACTGGAAGAGCATCCACTATGGCAAGATGTGGCACTTGGCACCGCCCTCTGCCCCCAGCTCCCCAGTCTGCCAGGCTGGGGGGTCATAGAATGGCCACGCCGTGCTGGCTGTCTCCCCTGCAACCCACAGCTGTGCCCTCACTGCTGCGGGCCACAGGAGGCTCAGTACCCCCTTTAGGCGGGGGGACAGTGAGGGCAGCACCAGGAGAAGCCAGGAGCTGTGTCCCCATCCACCTTCAGGTCCCCAGGTCCCCTCCGCTCCAGGTGAGGCCATGACAGCTATGGAAGGCAGGAAGCTGAGCCCTGCTGTGGCACAGAATCCCCCTCAAAGGAAAAACACCCTTCCCAGGGGTCCTCTCCCAAGGGGGGCTCCCACCACCACCCCTTGAAGTCTCAGACCCAGTTGAACTCCTGTGGGAGCTGGTCTGGCTGCCCCTATCCGCAGTCACCATCCAGGGTGCTCAGGGCAAGAGGCCCTCGCCCTGTGCCCTGACCGGCCTCACCGAGCCCGTGGAGTGAGGCGGGGAGCTGGGGGACCACGGGGGCGGAGGGTACAGCTGGGTGGCCGCATACTGCAATGAGGGCTCTGGGCTGCAAGACTGAGGACTTGGCACCTCACAGTCCTGCCAGTTTAGGACGGAGCTTTGTTTACCTGCAAGAGATAGGGGAAAAAAAAAAAGACTGCAGCAGTGTTCAAGACCACCCTCCCCACTAAGCCAAGCCGCATGTGCTTGTCCCCCACTCTACCCAGGGCCCATCCTGGCTTCCAGAAATGGCTTGTAGCCCCGGGGAGCAGAGGATATGCCCGGGAGGACGCCAGCTCTGCCAGCTGGCCTGGGTGGGCCCAGATGCCTGGCCTCCCACCCCCAGGCGCCATCCCCTGAGAGCTCCTTACAGCAGGAGCAGTACAGCAGCTCCATGACCCGGAAGCAGTTGTCCAGCAGGGCTTTGGGCCGCACCAGCTTCAGGTTTGGCCCTGGGGCATTCAAGAGGGACAACACGGATTCCACCTTGGGGCTGACCTCCACATCCTGGAAAGGAGGAAACAGTCAGGAGCGGTGGCGAGATGGGGCCGCACCCCAGGAGAGCCGTGAGGGCTGTCCAGTCACCTGGAGCTGCCCAAACCCCGGAAGAAGGACCAGACTTCCTGTGACCATGAGCCTGGATAGCTATTTCTCACCATCTTCTTCCTGTGGGCATGGGGAGGGTCCCAGATGCCACCACTCACCCATGTACAACTCAGAGGCTTCGCTTTTCCATCCTTGAAAAATGAGTAAAGGGCGTAGACCAGGACAGTGAGGAAAGTGGGGCAAACTGCACCCAGGCACGGCCACCCACCACTGCGTGAGGACCCCCTGACCTGGGGAAAACTGTCCCTCAAGAAGCAGACATCTCCATCAACTCCAAGGAACAAGAGAAGGTCCTCACAGAGACACTGAGGCTTAAGTCACATACACAGGGCAGGGTGTCCAGCTTCAAGCTGGGGTGCTTTCTCTCCACGATATGCAACAACAGGGTCATGTGGGGTGCACCGTGGCACCAAGGGAATCAAGTCCCTGAACAGGAGGTCAGGGCCACTGTAGAAAGCATCATGGGAAACGTGGGGGGTGATCTTCTGGAAGGGGGTGACAACAAGGCAACATGTCCTGGGCCAAATTGTCCCTCTCCTCCCCCAAAAAGCTGTCTTGGTCCTACCCCTTGGTACCCGTGAATGTGACCCTATTTGGAAATAGGTTCTTTGCAGAGGTAATTAAGTTCAGGATCTTAGAAGGACATCATCCTGGATTTCAGGTAGGCCCTAAATCCAATGCCTGATGTCCTTGTAAGAGAAAGGTGACAGACATGGAAACAGGGCAGAAGGCCATGAAAAGACTGAGACGGCCAGGAATGGTGGTTCAACCTGTAATCCCAGCACTTTGGGAGGCTGAGGGAGGCATATCACTTGAGGCCAGGAGTTCAAGACCAGCCTAACCAACATGGCAGAACCCCGTCTCTACTAAAAATACAGGTGTGGTGGCAGGCATCTATAATCCCAGCTACTTGGGAGGCTGAGGCAGGAGAATTGCTTGAACCTGGGAGACGGAGGTTGCAGTGAGCCAAGATTGCCCCACTGCAATGCACCTGGGCGACACAGTGAGACTCCGCCTCAAAAAAACAAAAAAAGCCACCACAGAGGCCAGGCAGGATGTAATCCCAGTCCTGTAATCCCAGGACTTTGGGAGGCTGAGGCAGAAAGATCACTTGAGGCCAGGGGTTCAAGACCAGCCTGGGCAACATAGCGAGACCCCCATCTCTAAAACAATAAAAAAGAAATAAAATGAAATAAACAGGAAAAAGAGCCACCAAGCAGATCAAGGAGTCTCCTGACTTTGTAGGAATTGACAGCCTCCCCACCAGTCTGGTTCCAGGAAAGCTCCAGGCAGCTGCAAAACAGGTGCTAGTCCCTAAGCCCTTTCACCGTCGGAAGCTCACAGTTGGCCTGGGATGTTCTCCCGACAAGCTGGGCCTTGTCAGCAGCTGGCTGGGCAGGGCAGCAGGTGGATCCCAGGGACAGGTGTGCACCAGAGTCCTGAGGAGGTCTGGTGGAGACGGGGAGAGGTCCCACCGCACACACGGCCTGCATGGGTCATCTCGCCACCTTCCTTTTTTACTACAACTCAGGCATTTTAGAGGATAATATCCCTGAGGCCTCAGATCAATTTCTCTGAGCGGGTCAGGGATGGGGGACCTCTTTTTTTAATTAACTAAAGTCCATAATTTACATTAGGGCTCACACTCTCTGTTGTACAGTTCTGTGGGTTGTGACAAATGCATGATGTCATGTATACAACATGAATGCATTATACAGCATAGTTTTTTGTTTTTTGTTTTGAGATGGAGTTTTTCGTTCTTGTTGCCCAAGCTGGAGTGCAATGGTGCAATCTCAGCTCACTGCAACCTCTGCCTCCCAGGTTCAAGCGATTCTCCTGCCTCAGCCTCCTGAGTAGCTGGGATAACAGGTGCCCACCACCAGGACTGGCTTATTTTTGTATTTTTAGTAGAGACGGGGTTTCACCATTTGGCCAGGCTGGTCTCAAACTCCTGACCTCGGCCTCCCAAAGTGCTGGGATTACAGGCATGAGCCGCCGCGCCCGGCCTGCAGCATGTTTTACTGCCCTAAACATTCCCTGTGCTCCATCCATTCTTCCCCTCTCCCCCTACCCCACCTCCAGGACCCTCGTGTTGCAGAAACAAAGAGGGTACGATGACTTGCCCAGGATCCAGAGGGAGAGAGGCAGAGCCTAGAACAGAGTCTCAGAGGCATCGCCTGCACCCCGAGCCCGGCTCTCATGACCACCACGGCTGCCTCTTCCTTCCACAGGCCTCTTTTCCTGCACCCCTCCCCCACTTCTCCCACGTCCCTCTGCTTGTGCCCATCTTTCCGTGTATTCACCCTTTCCCTCACTAGCCTTTGGCCACACCTCACACACATGTACACACGTGTGCACACACACACACCCCACCTGCCACTCCTCCACACAACTCACCGTGAGGCCCTGCTGGACATTCAGCAGCAGCGTCTCCACCTCCTGCAGGTACTTCCAGGATGGGTGGCCCTCGAGCAGCACGTCCTGCACCGACTCAGTGGCACTGAGGCTCACCAAGACCCACAGATACCGCAGCTCCCGCTCGCTCACCTGGGCCCTCTGCTGCGGAAACAGGGAAGTCACTGCAACTCGGGAGACATGGGCCTCTGGGCTCTGACCACTCCCTCACCAGGGACTTGCCCCTGCATAGGGAGCAGACGCGGGCCGTCCGCTGTGGACAGTGGACAAACATGTGCCTGGGCCAAGGGCCAGCCTGCTCTCGGGGCTGAGGAGAGGCCCCAGGCCAGCAGCACCACCTGCCAGTCCCAGCGCGCCTCTGAGGCTGGGGCCCACCGGATGTCGCAGGAGGCAGGGTCCCCCCAGCCCAGGAAGGGATTCTCACCAGCCTGGTGACGTTGGCGATTCTGAACACCCCCTCGTAAGGCACACTGATCTTGTAGTTGATGGGGAAGTAGTGTTTCTGGAGAGGCACAAGAACAAACTATGAGGCCAGAAGTAGAAATGACCAGCAGGCTCCCCAACCTCCCAAATGATGTTTTTTTTAACAGTTAGTCTCACTCTGTCACCCAGTATGGAGTGCAGGGGCAGCATCATGGCTCACGGAAGCCTTGACCTCCCAGGCTCAAGCAATCCTTCCACCTCAGCCTCCCAAGTAGGTGGGACTACAGGTGTGTGCCACCACGCCCAGATGATTTTTTTATTTTTTGTAGAGATGGGGTTTCTTCTTGTTGCCCAGGCTGGTCTTGAATCCCGGGCTCAAGCCCCTCAAAGTGCTGGGGTTATAGGTATGAGCCACCATGCCCGGCCTCCAGATGAATTTTGATGTAGGAGGAGAGAACTCAGGGCCCAGACCTTTGACGGCAGAGGTGGTCCTGTGCAGAGAGGTGTGCCTGGCTCCCAGCTGGGATAAAAACACTTCACTTTCCTCTGGGACTCAGGGTGGGTGAAACAAAATACACAGTTCCTGTTAAGGCAGAAATTTCAGGCTCAAGAGTGAGGACACGTTACTTCAAGAAAAACATGTTATTTTGTGGGTGAGAATGTTCTAAAACCTATGATGGTGATGGTTGCACAACTCTGTGAACTAAAAACTCTTTGAGTTGTGCACTTTAAATGAGTAAATTATGTCTTTTATATATAAATATGTAAATTATATCTCAGTAAAGCTGTTAAAATAAAAAAGACACAAGCCAGGTGCAGTGGCTCACGCCTGTAATCCCAGCACCTTGGGAGGCTGAGGAGAGACAGTCACTTGAGCACAGGAGTTTAAGTTTACACTGAGCTATGATCCCGCCACTACACTTCAGCCTGGACAACAGAGTGACACCCTGTCTCTAAAAATTAAATTAATTAATTTAAAAAGATACATTGGTCAGGCATGGTGGCTCACACCTATAATCCCAGCACTTTGGGAGGCCAAGGTGGGCATATTGCTTGAGCCCAGGAGTTCAAGACCACCCTGGGCAACATGGTGAACCCCTGTCTCTACTCAAAAAAAAAGTTTTAATTAGCTGGGCATGGTGGTGCATGCCTGTAGTCCCAGCTACTTGGGAGGCTGAGGTGGGAGGATCATTTGAGCCTTGGAGGTGGAGGTTGCAGTGAGCTGAAATTATCCACTGCACTCCAGCCTGGGCAACAGAGCAAGACCCTGTCTCAAAAGAAAAGAAAAGGATTTTTAGGAAAAGTTAAAAAATTAAAAAGAAAAAAAAAGGGCCGGGCGCAGTGGCTCACGCCTGTAATCCCAGCACTTTGGGAGGCTGAGGCAGGCGGATCACGAGGTCAAGAGATGGAGACCATCCTGACTAACATGGTGAAACCCCGTCTCTACTAAAATTGCAAAAATTAGCTGGGCATGGTGGCGCGCACCTGTAGTCCCAGCTACTCGGGAGGCTGAGGCAGGAGAATCACTGGAACCGGGGAGGTGGAGGTTGCAGTGAGCCAAGATTGAGCCACTGCACTCCAGCCTGGTGACAGACCAAGACTCCGTCTCAAAAAAAAAAAAAGATACATAGAGCCACACAGACATCTCCACTCTGCAAAAAGAACCAAATATTCCGATTTCTAGGTCTTTAGCTCCCTGGCTAATAAGTGCCTGGGGTTTGTCAAAGAGCTCCAGGTGTCCATTCCTGAGTCATATGGTGACTGCCATCATGGAGGTGGGATTAAAGTGAGATCGAGGAGGAGGGGTGGAGGCCCCAGGAGATGGCAGGAGGAGGGTCAGTAAGTGCAGACCAGGTGCATGGGTAGGTTTCGGAGAAAGGCAGAGAAACAGGCCATGGTCGGCTCAGGGCTGACACAGGTCCTAAGAAGGGCTCTGAATGTCCAGAGGCCTATGCCAGGTGAACCCCGGGACGCGGGGACAGGGACACAGCTGGTGCCCACGTGGTTACCATGTACTGAAGTCGGCTCCTGTACTGCAGCTTGTCCCGCAGAAAACCCGTGACAGTGCACTCCTCATTCTGCGTCAAGGGCCACATCTCCAAAGGCTCATTCCCCAAGGCCACGCCAAGGAAGATCCCAAGATCTGTGGACCACACCCGACAAGAGCACATGAGCACCCTCCATCTCATCCACGCCGTCCACAACACGCAAAGCCGAGCACAACCATCATCCATTTGCATAGGAGACAAGCACCAATGGGAAAGGTGTGGTGGGGGGCACGGGATCTGGAATGCTTTCCCTGGGGTCTGGCTCCAGAACAGCAAGGTCAGGCAGGCACTAGCAGTGCAGAGAGTCCACACCCACCCCATGCCGGCCACTGGAGCCCCCCAGGAGGCACGCCTCAGGGTCGACGTCTGGTCTCCCCGCTTCTGTCGCTCCGTGGGGCAGGCACAACCTCCCGCCCAGAACAGCCTCTGCCCCTGGTGTCCGGGTGATATGTTTTCAAAGCTCGTTGCTGGGTTTTCCAGCCCGGCATTCAGGAGATCGAATCATCCTGGATTCTGGTTTCAACTTGATAAAATGACTCTTCAGTCACCCACGCCCCACACCACTTTCCTTCCTGCTCTATCTGATCTTAGTGTCCCTCCCAGCTAACTATGCCAGCGGGTCTGTAGCGCCTTCCAGTCTGGTCATTCTAGGACGTTAAGCAGATCTCATACTTGGCTGCCTCTCTTCCTGCAACAAACGAGCCGCTGAAACATTACCATCCTTTGCCACTGGGGGTCACTGTGACTCCAAAAACAGCCTATACGATTTCCATGTGACTGAACAGAAAAAAAGGAGAGAATTCGCAACAAATATGAATAAAGGTTAAGTCCATCAGAGCAGAAAGAATAAAACAGAAGTAGGCCAGCAACTACCCAAAATATCAGACTCACTAACTAGATAAATAAATTCACATTAAAACAATCAGATATAATTTTTCTTTTTCTTTTTTTTGGTCACCCTGGCTGGAGTGCAGTAGTGGGATCATGGCTCATTGCATCCTAGAACTCCCAGACTCAAGCGATCCTTCTGCCTCAGCCTCCAGAGTAGCTAGGACTACAGTTGCATGCTACTACGCCTGCTAATTTTTGTATTTTTTGTAGAGACCTGGTATCGCCATGTTGGCCAGACTTGCCTCGAACTCCTGAGCTCAAGCAATTCTCCTGCCTCAGCCTCCCAAAGTGCTGGGATTATAGGTGTGAGCCACTGTGCCTGGCCCATTTTATTCAAATGAAAAAGTTTTTGTGTTTGTGGTTTTGGGTTGTTGGGGCTTTTTTTTTTTTTTTTTGAGACAGGGTTTTGCTATGTTGCCCAGGCTTGTCTGAAACTCCTAGTGTCAAGCGGTCCTTCCATCGTGGCCTCCTGAGTAGCTGGGATGAGAGGCATGTGCCACTACACCCAGCTTCCCAGCTTTTTCTTTTTTAGACAGAATCTTTCTCTGTCACCCAGGCTAGAGTACAGTGGCACAATCTCAGCTCACCGTAACCTCCACCTCCCAGGCTCAAGCAATTCTCGTGCCTCAGGCCTCAGCCTCCCAAGTAGCTGGGATTACAAGCAGGGGCTACTACACCCGGCCAATATTTTGTATTTTTAGTAGAGATGGGGTTTCACCATGTTGGCCAGGCTGTTCTCAAACTCCTGACCTCAAGTTGATCTCCCTGCCTCTGCCTCCCAAAGTGCTGGATTTACAGGCACGAGCCACCATGCCCGGTCATACACCCAGCTCATTTCGTTTTAACAATTACTACTTGATGTTGGCCAAGTAGTGAGACAAGTGCTGTCCTGGAAAGCAATTTAGCAATTTCTGTTATTAATCGATTTAGTAGTATCCGCACCCTTCAAACCACTAAGCCTTAAAAATGTCTATACTCTTTCACCCAGTAAATACACTTCTAGGAATAAATTGGAAGAAAAGCAAAAAAGATATAACCAATAAATTATGAACAAAGATGTACAGAGCAGCATTTATTTTATAACAGTGAAAATCTGGAAATGGCCTAGACGTTCCATAATAATGCATGTAGCCAATAAAAATCACATTGTCAAAGATGTGGCTGTGCTATGAGAACAATTAGATATGCTTAGTGAAGCTTAAAAACAGCATGACTCAACACTATCTGTGTTCATAGCATGACTACCAAATCTCTATGGGAGATTTTTTCATGTTTTTCTTTTCAAATAGGGTCTTGCTCTGTCGCCCAGGCAGACAGGTGCAGTGGCACCATCATTGTTCACTGCAATCTCAAACTCCTGGGTTCAAGCAATCCTCCTGCCTCAGCCTCCCAGTAACTGGTACTACAGGTGCCACCACCACACCCAGCTAATTTTTTTTTTAATTTTTTGTAGAGAGGAGGTCTTGCTGTTTTGCCCAGGCTGGTTTTGAACTCCTATGCTCAAGTGATGCTCCCACCTTGGCCTCCAAAAGTGCTGGGATTACAGGCATGAGCCACCACACCTGGCCTTGGCCTTGCAGGACATTTATTTTTATTTTTATTTATTTTTTTTTTGAGACGGAGTCCCGCTCTGTCACCCAGGCTGGAGTGCCGTGGCGCAATCTTGGCTCACTGCAACCTCCGCTTCCTGGGCTCATGCCATTCTCCTGCCTCAGCCTCCCGAGTAGCTGGGATTACAAGGTGTGCGCCACCACATCCAGCTAAATTTTTTTGTATTTTTAGTACAGACGGGGTTTCACCAGGTTGGCCAGGCTGCTCTTGAACTGCTGACCTCGTGATCCACCCACCTCAGCCTCCCAAAGTGCTGGGATTACAGGCATAAGCCACCGCACCCACCCAGGACATTTTTTATGTTCTATAATCCATATGTATTATTGTTACAGACAAAAGCAATAACCATCCTCTTTTTTTTTTTTTTTACAAAAGCAGTCAGGCAGGCTGAGTCACCTCCCTGAGCCACCCCCAGCTATGAGCAGGAATTACTGATTGGATTTTCCCCACTCCCCAGCATCTTGGAAGACTTTGTCCTTGCAGCCCCTCTGGTCTGGGCCACACCACCCATTTGCTACCTCCCCACTGCCTTCTCCAAACCTGCCCTGCTCAGGCCTCCTGCCTCGCCTTTGTCCCTGCAGGACCTCCCACCAGGAGTGCCCTTGCTCAGCTCAGAGCCTCAGGTCTCCTCAAGCCCTGTACCCCATATAGCCCCACATTTTTTGCTAAGTTGCAAGTCTGCAATCTATCTTGCACTTCCTCTCTCCCTCTTCCCCTGTGCCTGATACAGTATTGGGTGAGAAGAACAGATAAACATGAACTGAACCAGTGTTTGGCCCTTTAACATCTGCTTACTTTCTGTCCTAAGTCCTGAACCCCTCAGCTTAGCATCTACTCTTGCAGGTCAAGATCATCCCTGCCTCCTGGGCTCATGCTTTGCCCTGCGCTAGGTACCCTCTCACAACACAGACCTCTTTCAAAGCCTCCCAGAGACTCTTCTCTCCCCCCCATCACCACGCCAGGGTCTCCCCTTTCTGCATCAGCCCCCATCGGTCTCTGTCTCCAGCACCACCTTCCCCATTCACTCATGACCTGGGATTACAGGTGCGCGCCACCACATCCGGCTAATTTTTTTTGTATTTTTAGTAGAGACGGCGTTTCACCAGGTTGGCCAGGCTGGTCTTGAACTCCTGACCTCGTGATCCACTCACCTCGGCTTCCCAAAGTGCTGGGATTACAGGCGTGAGCCTGTGTGTGAATCCATAACGCAGTTAAACACTGCACAGCCCAGCGTGCTGAGAACTTCACATGTGCATTTGGGGATTCGCCTCAAGCAGTAGAAATGGGAGCAGACATTGTCATCCCTTGCAGAGCTCGTTAAGGCACAGGTTGTCCTGCCTGCCCCAGAGTCTCTGCTCAACCAGTCTAGGATGCAGAGAGTCTACCTTTCTAACAAGGTCCCAGGTAAAGCTGTGGCTGGGGGTCTGGAACCACAGACCTAGAGCAACAGTTGCAAGCTGGTGTCCCGAGAGCCACCTCTGGTCCACAAGGATTTCACACAACAATTCAAAATTTCAGCTTTTCTTTAAAAAAATCAGTACCTCTGTCCACACTGGGTCTTTTTTCCTGTGTGGCCATCACCATTGGCCGTCTACTTCACCTCCCAACCCTACAGCACCTGCCCTTCTCTGTGTCCCGTTCTGGGGCCCTGGGGACCCGGCAGCTGTGGCCTCAAGGCAGGGACTGTGCCTTGGAGTGACACTGAGCCTCCCAGCCTGACACGGTGGGCACACAGCTGCCCTGGAAACCCTGTCCACAGATGATCTGCCTCTCCCCCAACTGGGCAGCCTTCCTCTGAGTGCAGCCCAAACATCATTGCTAAGGGCAAGTTTCTTTTTTTGCTGCCTCCACCCACCCAGAGAAACAGGTTAACAAACAGGGACCAGGCAGGGACAGCACAGCCCCAACCTCAAGGCCACTGTCCCCCACATGCTCTGCACACCAGGAACCCCACAGCCAGTGCCACCCCTGACCTTGGTCAGGAGACCCACCCTGCCCTTGTCTTAGCCCAGAGGTAAGAACCCACAACACAGGCTGGGCACGGAGGCTCACACCTGTAATCCCAGCACTTTGGAAGGCCGAGGTGGGCGGATCACCTGAGGTCAGGAGTTCAAGACCAGTCTGGCCAACATGGTGAAACCCCATCGCTACTAAAAATACAAAAATTAGCCAGGCGCAGTGGCAGGTGCCTGTAGTCCCAGCTACTCGGGAGGCTGAGACACAAGAATCATCTGAACCCAAGAGGCAGAGGATGCAGTGAGCTGAGATCGTGCCGCAGCACTCCAGCCTGGGTGACAGAGTGAGACTCCGTCTCAAAAAATAAAAATAAAAATAAAATAATAAAACAACCTGCAAGACAGAGAGGAGGCTTAAGAAAGATCTGTGTGAGTACGGTACTCCCTTCCTGGTTCCCTGGCCCTGGGTTGACCCTATGTGCAGTGACAAGTGAGGCTTGTCACCCCCAGCCCCGGGGACCAAATCTGAACCTGTGCAGTGGGTTAAATAGCATCTCCTCCAAATCCACATTCACCCGAACCCGAGTGTGACCTTGTTTGGAAATGGGGTCTTTGTGAAGTAGGAGGTAGGACCGACTCCAGAGGCAGAGCCCTGACACTGGACCAAACTGAGGACTAGTGAAAACAGGGGTGGACGGGGCAGAAGCAGCATTCCAAAAGACATGCTCAGCAGTGTGCCATGTCAGTTTACCATTGCCATGGCAACGCCTGGGAGTTACCACCGCTTTCCATAGCAATGACCCAATGTCCCAAAAGTTACTACCCCTTCCCTAGAAATGTCTGCATAAACTGCCCCTTAATCTGCATGCAATTAAAGGTGGGTATAAATATGACTGCAAAAGGCCCCGAGCTGCTCCTCAGTACGCTTCCTCTGGCACAGCCCTGCTCTGCAGGAGCTGGCACAGAGCTATAACATCTCTTCAGTAAAGCTGTTTTCTTCTACCACCAGCTTGCCTTGAATTCTCTCCTAGGGAAAGCCAAGAACCCTCGCAGGCTAAGCCCCCTTGGGGGCTCGCCTGTCCTGTGCCACTTACAGGCATTATTAAATGAAGGATGTCAAGATTAGGCCATCCTGGATTTAGGCAGTTCCCTAAATCCAGTGACTAGTGTCCTAGGAAGAAGAGGAGAGGACATAGAGACACACAAAGGGAAAGGCCACGCAAAGACAAAGGGAGATCTGAGTGACTAGGCCACAAGCCAAGGAAGCCAGGAGCCACCAGGAGCTGGAAGAGGCAAGGGAGGCTCCTTCTCGGCACCTTTAGAGGGAACGCAGCCCTGCAGGCACCCTGATCTCACACTTCCGGTCTCCAGAACTGTGAGACGACACATTCCTGTTGCTCTAAGCCACCCGAAGCTTTCTAATTGGTTATGGCAGCCCAACTTCCTCAGCACCCCAGCCCCTGGGCACCAGCCCCCACCTCAATCTGCTGCTCTCCCTCTCCCTCATCCCCCAGCCAGTCTTTGCCTGGTCCTAAGACCCACCCCTCCTGGAGCTTTTTCCCCTCTCCCTTGCTTTTCTTTCTCTCTTTTTCTTTTCTCCTTTTTTTTTTTTTTTTTTTTTTTAAAGACAGGGTCTCACCCTGTTGCCCAGGCTGCAGTGCAGTGATGCGATCCTTGCTACTGCAGCCTCAACCTCCTGGGCTCAAGTGATCCTCCCACCTCAGCCTCCTGAGTAGCTGGGATTACAGATGTATGCCACCACACCTGGCTAATTTTCCTTTTTTTAGAGATGGAGTCTCGCTATGCTGCCCAGCCTGGTTTCAAACTCCTGGCCTCAAGCCGTCCTCCTGCCTTGGCCTCCCACAGTGCTGGGATCACGGGCGTGAGCCACCAGCCCAGCATCCCTTGCCTTTCATTCGCACCTCCACCTCCAGAATGACCCTCATTCCCTCCTGCACAGACGGTGACAGCAGTAACTCCTACAAACACCACCAGACTGATCTTCAAGAGCAGAGGAACTCCCAATCACGATTCCACCCCCGCCGGGCTCTCAAATCCTCCAGGGCTGCCTGCTATGGGGAGGGAGGCACACTTTGCTTGGCTCTCAAGGCCTCAGCCAGCCGGGTCCAAACCAGCTCCCAGCCTGGCCTCACCATCCCACCGCCAAACCTTTGCTCACACTGGCCCCTCTTCCTGGAACATGGGCCTCATGACCCCAGGTCTACCTGTGTGACCACCACCCCACCTTCTAGACCATTTCCAGTAGCCCCTCCCCCATGCTGCACCCCTGCTTCTCATGACCTAGGGGTTTCCAGAACATTGGGTCCAGCTGGGTCCTTCCACCCATCCTTAATGTCCCAACCCTTTGTTGTATATTTCCACAAGGGCCAGGGTGGACCCAACTCTTCTTTCAATCCCTCGCAGGCTCATACCCCAAACCTCCAACAGTTCCTGAGCACTCAACCCTGTGCCAGGCGTTGGAGACAGAGGCACGAGACAGCAAGGTCCTTGTTGTCATGGCAGTGACTCTGCAGTGGGCACGTGGGAGGCACCGGAAAAATGTGTTGAATTTGAGTCAATTGAACTGGATCTTGGAGACTGAGGGGATCTTGGTCTGGCCTCCCAGCCAGCAGGCATAAGAGGCTTCCAGATCCTTTTTTTCCTTTCTGTCCTCATTTCAACTTATTTTTCTTTTTACCAACAGTGTTATCTTTCTGCTTTTTAATTCTGTTCTGTTATGGAGGGAGGGTTGGAGGGGAACAGGCTGCCTTCTCCAGGCATCTGGCTGCTCTTCTGCCGTGGGTCTTGGGTCCCTAGACACTTTCACCAGCCCCTGCCCCCCTCCACCGGCCATACCCAGGACTGGGCCGCTGCTGCCCGCCCGGGGCTCCCCAACACCCACAAGCCTGGAAAGGTGAGATGCTGCCACCTACCCCCAGTGCCTGCCCCGACCTAAGACCACCCTGAGGACCATGCCCACCCAGCCAGAACTGCCCACCCAGCTTGCCC
Source organism: Homo sapiens (assembly GCF_000001405.40). Lineage (NCBI taxonomy): Eukaryota > Metazoa > Chordata > Mammalia > Primates > Hominidae > Homo > Homo sapiens. The sequence continues at coordinate 70,647,166 of NC_000016.10, read as the reverse complement.
GTCGGAGCCCGAAGTGAGCGGCAGACAGGGCAGACGGCGGCCGTGGGAATCTCAGAGGGTGTCTGCAGTCCGGCTGGGAAGCATCGCAACTTCTCACCAGCAAGAATGCCCTGGTTGCTATGGTTACGGCAGATCCTGGATCTAGGCCAAGGCCTCCCAATGCAGGTCCCTAGGGACCCCCCAGTACTCACAGCGCAGCCAGGTGAAGCCCCGGGGCATGGTGGTGTTCCTCGTCCCCCTGAGAGCTCAGGCGCCGTCCCCAGCAGTGTGTCCACAGAGGCCTAAGCACGGCCTACATGGCCTCGGGGCAGCAGAGGTGGTCACTCAGTCAGGGAAGGGCTGGCCCTGGAGGAGTGGCTGGGCTGCGGGAGTGAGCAGGTGCCCCAAGGGCAGCAGCTGCCCTTATCTGCCCGGCAGCGTGGAGGACAGCCGGGGGGCGGTGGCCGCAAGTCCCATGGCAGCCCAGAAGCAGGTCTGAGCCGGTGGCTTGGGGGTCTTTCGGGGTCTTCCTTTCCAAGGAGCAGGAGGAGAGAGTCCCTGGCAGGCCCCTCGGAATCTGGGGCTGGGTGACGCTTTCTCTGATTTCTCCGACTGCAGCTGCTCAGTGTGAAATCTGGCTCTAGGAAGAGAAAGGAGGAGAGAAACTGATTATGTAAGAGCAGCGCTGCCACTCAGCCATCAGCCACAGCGCACACCGCACCCACGGCCTGCACAGGACCACCCGGCCCTGGCAGCTGGACACGGCTCACGTGAGAAATGACTTCAGGATGTCCGAACGGCCCTGGCCCATGAGTGAGTTATGATGACACCAGCTGGCAGCCTGGGGCCTGAACAAAAGCAGGACCAAGGAATGAACAGGTGGTTTGAGTTCACACATCGAGAGCCATGGTAGAGTCCATGAATGACTCAGGCTAAAGGACAGGTTAAAAAAGCAGACGAGCTCCCACTCCGAAAACAAGCCGGACGCAATGGCTCATGCTTGTAATCCCAGCACTTTGGGAGGCCAAGGTGGGAGGATTGCGTGAGCCCAGGAGTTCGAGACCAGCCTGGTCAGCATAGTAAGACCTCAGTTCTATTAATAAAAAAAAAATTAAGAAAAAAAAAATTTTTTTGAGACGGAGTCTCAGACTCTGTCATCCAGGCTGTAGTGCAGTGGCGTGATTTTGGCTCACTGCAGCCTCCACCTCCAGGGTTCAAGCAATTCTCCTGCTTCAGCCTCCCAAGTAGCTGGGATTACAGATGTGCACTACCATGCCTGGCTAATTTTTGTATTTTTAGTAGAGATGGGGTTTCACCATGTTGGCCAGGCTAGTCTCAAACTCCTGGACTCAAGTGATCTGCTGTCTTGGCCTCCCAAAGTGCTGGGATTACAGGCGTGAGCCACCGCACCCGGCCAGGACTAAGGTCTTTACATTCACTGAATCTCTCACAACAATCTCATGGAAGTGCAAAATCTCAGTTTATCAATGAGGAAACTGAGGCCCAGAAAGGTTAAGACACTTGTCCAAGGTCATACGGCTTGTAAGAAGTGTGACAGGAATTCAAACCCTGTGGGCTGGTGGCTGCTCCCAAAATTCGACAACCACACAGGGCTCAGCGTGTGTGCGTGGTCCTCCCATCTGCCCCTCTGGACTCTGCAAGGTCTGGACCATTGTGTCTGCTCTGCAGATCAGGCTGGAATTCCGTCTCTGATTTAGTTCTCTTCCATCCCCTCGCCTCCTCCCTGTCTCCCCTCTGGTGGGGGAAAATGGCTACAGAGTGACACCATCGGGGGAGAGCAGGTATGACTTGGGCATCTTCTTCATTGTGTGATCCATGGTGTCACCAAAGAATGCTGGCCCTTACCCTAAGAGGTGCCCAGCAGGCAGGCAGGGCCTTATAGAGAGAACACGGGTTGTTCAAGTTAATCCCTTATGCAGTCACCCTGAATCTCAGCCCCAGTCGCTGCCTGCTGCTGCTCCTCTTTTCCTTGTCCTTCCTCCTTTTCCTCCTTCCTCTTCCTCCTTCTCTTCCTCCTCCTCCTTCCTCGTCTTCCTCCTTCCTCCCTCTTCTTCCTCCTCTTTCCCCCTCCTCCTTCCTACTCTTCCCTCTTCCTTTCTCCTTCCTTCTCTTCCTCCTTCCTCGTCCTCCTTCCTTTTTCCTTCTCCTCCTTCCTCCTCTTCCTCTTCTTCCTCCTTCCTCCTACTCCCTTTCTCTTCCTCCTTCCTCCTCCTCTTCCTCCTTCCTCCTCTTCCTCCTTCCTCCTCCTTCTCCTCCCTCCTCTTCCTCCTTCCTCTTCCACCTCCTTCCTCTTCCTACTTCCTCCTCTTCCTCCTCTTCCCTCCTTCCTCTTCCTCCTTCCTCCTCCCTTCCTCCTTTTCATTCCTCCTCCCTCCTCCTTTTCCTCCCTCCTCCCTCCTCCTTTTCCTCCCTCCTCCCTCCTCCTCTTCCTCTTCCCCCTCCCCCTCCTCCTCCCCCTCCTCCTCCTCCTCACCCTGGCAATTCCCCTGCTGTTACAGCATCACTACAAACACTAACGTATCTAGAACATTTAGTTGTCATTAGTTTGGGGATTTTTTTCAGGTTTATTGAGGGCTAATTTACATATACTACATTTTACCCTTTTCAGTATACATTTCTAAAAGTTTTTAGCACATTTATAGAGCTGTGTAATTACTATAATAATCAAGATACAAAACATTTCCATCTACCCAAAAAATTCATTCCTTTATAGTGGAAGTTGTCTAAACAAACTGAAACAAGGTAGAATAGTATAACAGACCCCCATATAGCAGTTACTCAGATTCAAAAATTGTCAATCTGGCTGGGTGCAGTGTCTCACACCTGTAATCCCAGCACTTTGGGAGGCCGAGGCGGGTGAATCAGTTGAGGCAGAATAAACTCCAAGGAGAAGGGGAAAAAACAACTTCAAATACCAATAGAAAAACAAAAAAGTTATTTCCACAGAGTTGTCCATAAAAGGTCAGGACTTTGAGACCAGCCTGGCCAACATGGTGAAACCCTGTCTCTACTAAAAATACAAAAATTAGCCAGGTGTGGTGGTGCATGCCTGTAATCCCAGCTACTCAGGAGGCTGAGGCAGCAGAATCACTGGAACCCAGGAGGCGGAGGTTGCAGTGAGCCAAGATTGCTCCACTGCCCTCCAGTCGGGGCAACAGAGCGAGATTCTGTCTCAAAACAAAAGAAAAAAATGATCACTCTTCTGTCATTCCAGCTTCACTCATCCCCCAATTTTTTTTTCCAGGAATATTTTAAAGCAAATCTCAAACATGCCATTTCACCAGCATGTAGGGATTTTTAAAATATATAATCACAATATTGTCATCACACAACCCTCAAATTAATAACTCTTTAATATGATTTCATATAGAATCCACGTTCAATTTTCCCTGGTTATTTTTTAAATCTCTGATGTGCATCTTAAGTCTTTTTTCTTTTTAAAAATCAATATATAATTTGCATGCCATAAAATTTACCATTTTAAAGTGTACAGGCTGCGTGTGATGGCTCACACTTGTAATCCCAGCACCTTGGGAGGCCAAGGCCGGGGGATCGCTTCAGCCCAGGGCTTTGAGACCAGCCCGGGCAACATAGTGAGAACCCGTATCTACCAACAAAAATTTTTTTAATTAGGTGGGTGTAGTGGCACGGGCCTGTGGTCCCAGCTACTTGGGAGGCTGAGATGGGAGGATCACTTGAGCCAGGGAGGTCAAGGCTGCAGTGAACCATGATCACGCCACTGCACTCCAGCATGGGTGACAAAGCAAGACCCTGTCTCAAAATAAATAAATAAAGTGTGCAACAGCCAGGTGCAGTGGCTCACTCCTGTCATCCCTGCAGTTTGGGAGGCCAAGGCAGGTGGATCACCTGAGGTCAGGGATTCGAGACCAGCCTGGCCAATATGGCAAAACCCTATCTCTACTAAACATACAAAAGATTAGCCAGGCACGGTGGTGCGCACCTGTAATCCCAGCTACTCAGGAGGCTGAGGCAGGAGAATCACTTGAACCCGGGAGGCAGAGGTTGCAGTGAGCCGAGGTAGTCCCACTGCACTCCAGCCTGGGTGACAGAGTGAGATCCGTCTCAAAAATAAATAAAAATAAATAAAAATAAATAATAAAGTGTACAACTTTGTGGGTTTTTAGTGTACTAAGTTGTGCAACAGTCACCATTATTTAATTACAGAACATTTTCATCACCCCCAAAATAAACTCTGAACTCATTAGCAGTCACCCCCTATTCCCTCTTCCTCCCAGCCCCTGGCAGCCACTAATATTCTTTCTGTCTCTATGGATTTGCCTATTCTGGACATTTCATATAAATGGGATTGATTATGCAATACGGGACCTTTCATGTCTGGCTTCTTTCACTTAGCATGTTTTCAGGGTTCATTCATTTTGTAGCATGTTATGAACTGAATGTTTGTGTCTCTCCAAAATACATGTGTTGAAGTTGTAACCCCTAATGTGGTGGTTCCTGGAGATGAGGCCTTGGGAGATAATTAGGTTTGGATGAGGTCACAAGGATGGGGTCCTTATGGTGGGATAATGCCTTTATAAGAAAAGAAATCAGGCCGGGCTCAGTGGCTCACGCCTGTAATCCCAGCACTTTGGGAGCCCAAGGCGGGAGGATCACAAGGTAAGGAGTTCAAGACAAGCCTGACCAACATGGTGAAACACCGTCTCCACTAAAAATACAAAAATTAGGCGGGCGCAGTGGCAGGTGCCTGTAATCCCAGCTACTCAGGAGGCTGAGGCAGGAGAATCGCTTGAACTCAGAGGGCAAAGTTTGCAGTGAGCCGAGATCATGCCACTGCACTCCAGCCTGGGTAACAGAGTGAGACTCCGTCTCAAAAAAAAAAAAAAAAAAAAAGACATCAGAGTACGCTCACTCTCTCTGTCTCTGTCTTTGTCTCTCTCTCTCTCTGTCTCTTCCCATACTCACACAAAGAACTGGTCATGTGAGTACATAGTGAGAAGGTGGCCATCTGCAACCCAAGGGAAGAGCCCTCACCGGAAATCAATCATGCTGGTGCCCTGATCTCAAAGTTCCAGCCCAGAGAATGGTGAGAAAACAGATTTCTGTTGTTTAAGCCACCCGGTCTATGGTATTTTTTTATGGAAGGCCAGGTAAACTAAGACACAGCATGTATCCGTACTTTACTCTTTTTATTGTCAAATAATGCTCCCTTGCATGAATATCCCACATTTTCTTTGTCCATTTCAGATTGTATTGTTTTCTGGCTTCCTCCAAAATAACTAATGAGGATTTTTAGTGTCATTTTGAAATTATTAATTTTGGCCAGGCGCAGTGGCTCATGCCTATAATTCCAACACTTTGGGAGGTTGCGGGGGGGTGGATTGCTTGAGCCCAGGAGTTCAAGACCAGCCTGGGCAACACAGCAAAACCCTGTCTCTACAAAAAATACAAAAATTAGCCGGACAAGGAGGCATGCACCTGTACTCCCAGCTGCTAGGGAGGCTAAGGTGGGAAGATCACTTGAATCTGGGGAGGTGGAGGCAGCAACAGGCCATGATCATGCCACTGCACTCCAGCCTTGGCAACAGAGTGAGATTCCATCTCAAAAAGTAAAAAAAAAAAGAAAGAAAGGCAGGAAGGAAGGAAGGAAGGGAGGGAGGGAGGAAGGGAGGGAGGGAGAGAGGGAGGGAAAGAATTTTTTTAATTTATGTATTTCAATCCATTGAAGTTACTTTAAAGTCAGGCTTATTGAGGTGTAATTGATGGACAGTGAAGCTCACCTTCTTTAAGTATACAGTGCCCTTGGTTGGTGAACTTTTGGGCTGTTTCCACCTTTTGGCCATTATGAATAATATGGCTATGAAAATCCATGTGCAAGTTTTTGTGTAGGCATAACATTTTCTTGTTGTTGTTTTGAGATGAAGTCTCGCTCTGTTGCCCAAGCTGGAGTGCAGTGGTGTGATCTCAGCTCACTGCAACCTCTGCCTCCCAGGTCCAAGTGATTCCCCTGCTTAGCCTCCCAAGCAGCTATGATTACAGGCGTGCACCACCACTTCCGGCTGATTTTTTTGTATGTTTAGTAGAGACAGGATTTCACCATGTTGGCCAGGCTGGTCTCAAATTTCTGACCTCAAGTGATCTGCCTGCCTCGGCCTCCCAACGTGCTGGGATTACAGGTGTGAGCCACCACGCCCAGGCAACACTTTCAATTCTCTTGAGTATATACCTAGGAGTATATACCTATATACCCTGTATGTACATTCAGCCTTTTCTGGAAAAAGCAAAACTCCAGGGACAGAAATTATATCGGTGACATCCCAAAATGGGGAGTGGGGAAGGGGATTGACTGAGAAGGGGCGCAGGGGAATTTTGGGAGGTGAAGGAAATGCTTTAAACCCTGAATGAAGCGTTGGTATATTATTTGTTGAAATTTATCCAACCGTATGCTTAAAGAGGATGAGCTTTACCATACATCAACTATACTGCAAAAGGCCTGACTTAAAAATAACTTTAATTGATTGAAATATATATATTTAAAAACTAACTTTTTTTTTTTTTTTTATTGAGACGGAGTCTTGCTCTGTCGCCCTGGCTGGAGTGCAGTGGCAAGATCTCGGCTCACTACAACCTCCACCTCCCGGGTTCAAGAGATTCTCCTGCCTCAGCGTCCCAAGTAGCTGGGATTACAGGCATGCACCACCACACCCGGCTAACTTTTGTATTTTTAGTAGAGACAGGGTTTCATCTTGTTGGCCAGGCTGCTCTTGATCTCCTGGCCTCATGTGATCCACCCACCTCGGCCTCCCAAAGTGCTGTGATTACAGTTGACACAAGGTAATATAGCAAGAGGCTGTCCCTACAAAAATAAAAAATACAAAATTAGCCGGGCATGGTGGTGTGCACCTGTAGTCCCAGGTACTCAGAAGGCTAAGGCAGGATGATTGCTTGAGCCCAGGAGGCCAAGGCTGCAGTGAGCCACGATGGCACCACTGCACTCCAGCCTGGGTGATAGAGTGAGACCCTGTCTCAAAGCAAAACAAAAGAAAACAAAACAAAAAGTCTAGCACATACAATTATGTACAGTACCTAATACTTGATCATGATAGTAAACTATTAAATTTATTCTTTCTAAAGTTTTTCTTTTAAAAAGTGTCCCTGGTCTACAGCCTAGAGTTTCCTGATTGCAGATCCATGGTCCACTTCAACATGTTCCTCTGTCTTTTTTTTTCGGAGACAGGGTCTCCCTTTGTCACCCAGGCTGGAGTGCAGAGGCGTAATCACAGGTCACTGAAGCCTCTACCTCTTGGGCTCAAGTGATCCTCTCACCTTAGCCTCCTGAGTAGCTCGGACTACAGGCATGCACCACCACACCTGGCTAATTTTTATTTTTAGTTTTTGTAGAGACAGGGTCTCACTATGTTGCTCAAGCTGCTCTCAAACTCCTGGGCTCAAGCAATCCTCGACCCCGGCCTCCCTAAGTGCTGGGATTAGAGGCGTGAGTCACCACGCCTGGACTCCTCTGTCTTGTCTTTCTGCATGTTTGCAGTGGGAACAGGGTCAAGCTCAAGCCCTTCGTCACGATACAAGCGGTGCTGTGTTCTTTCAACAGAAGGCACGTGACAACTGCACTCCACTCTTTGCTGATGTTGGCAGGCAATGCCACTTAATGCCTAGATCCATTAATTCACTGAGGGCTGCTAATTGTGATATTCTAATTCATCATCTCGCTTTCTGATCAAGCGTTTCCCCATGAGGCAAGCAGAGGCAGTAGCAGATCAACAGCTTTGCCAAGATGTCTGATATAAACGCAATATTGTGCTTTCCTCCTATTTCTGGCCTCTGCCTGAAATCAGACAGTCTCCAGGCCCGTGTAATTTGTTTTCAAATGCCTGCTTCTCAAACAAGATTGGCTGGGTTCTGGACGTGCATTTTCCCATTATGACCCAAAGACATCTGAATGAATTTGATCAAATACACTCCTGGATCCGGGCTGTACATTTCTGGTGGGTGCCACCTATCTGTGATCAATGTCACCACATCTGGAAAGCTCAGTGCCACACCATATCCCAAGGGCATCTCCCAAGCTGGAGTGTTCTCAGGTGAAATAAAACATGAAAATCCATGCCAGCTTTACAAGCCACAGAATCACCAAAACAGGGCAACGCCTTAGTCAGCATTTCCTAACTAAGAGCCAGGTGTCTACCACAACACCCCTGAACCAGATCTACCTACATGGAGATAGATTTCCCTGCATTCACTCACTTTTTTTACTTAAACCAGTTTATTTGTTTAAAAACAAACAAACTGGGCTGGTGCGGTGGCACACACCTGTAATTCCAGCATTTTCGGAGGCTGAGGCAAGAGGATCGCTTGAGCCCAGGAGTATGAGACCAGCCTGGGCAACATAGAGAGACCTAATCTCTACAAATAATTTTTTTTTAATTAGCTAGATGTGGTGGCATACCCACAGTCCCAGGTACTCAAGAGGCTTGACCCCGGGAGGTCCAAGCTGCAGTGAGCCGTGGCTGACACAGAAAGACCAGCCCGGGTGACAGAGAAAGGCCTTGTCTCAAAAAAATAATAAATAAGTATAAAATATCATGGGAAAGCATATGCAGATATTGGGAGGATAAGAAGCCACCAACCAGGGGACCAGAGAGAGAGTGGGGGGGTCAGAAGGCAGGAAAGTTTCCCCAGGGAAGGGGATGACTCCAGTTCTTTTCTTTTTTTCTTTTTTCTTTATTTTTTTTTTTGATAGGATCTTCACTCTGTTGCCTCAAACTCCTGGGCTCAAGATCCTTCTGCCTCGGTCTCCCAAGTTGCTGGGACTATAGGTGTGCACCACCATGCCTAGCTAAGTTTTACAGTTCTTTTGTAGAGACAAGGTCTTGCTAAGTTGCCCAGGCTGGTCTTGAACTCCCAGGCTCAAGTGGTCCTCCTACCTTGGCCTCCCAAAGTGCTGGGGTTACAGGCATGAGCCATCGCGCCCAGTCTGATTCCAGTTTTTAAACCTCCCAGAGAGCTCCCTCTGGTTGGAAGCAGGGCTAATTCAAAAGCAGCCCATGGCTTCTGGCAGAGTGCATGGGTCCACTTTTTACACTGATTTGTAGTATGGAGAAAGACCCAGAAATATACTCTAAAATAATTTTAAAGAAGACAACAAAGCTGAATGCCTGGGATATCCATTGCACTGCTGTTTACACTTGAAGCAAAAAACAAAACAAAACAAAACAAAAAAACCTGGAAACCACCTAAATGTCAAACCACAGAAAAGCAGTTAGCAAAATCTGAGAACTGGTATATACTGAGTGCTGACCATGTGCCGATTGCTTTAAATAGAGCATAGCAAAATAATTATACCTTTTTATCCTTGCAGCAACTATGAGAATCAAACCTCCCAGTCTCTGAAAAAAGTCAGATTCAAAGAAGACAGAGGAAAGAAGTCTCTTCAATCAACACTGGGGAAACTATCTGACATCCTTATATATGTATATAAAAAATTAAACTCAACCCTTATCTCATACCACATATAGAAATTAACTTGGCCAGGCGCGGTGGCTCACACCTGTGATCCCAGCATTTTGGGAGGTCGAGGGGGGGCAGATCATCTGAGGTCAGGAGTTTGAGACCTGCCTGGCCAACATGGTAAAACCCCGTCTCTACTAAAATATAAAATTAGCCGGGCCTGATGGTGTATGCCTGTAATCCCAGCTGGGGAGGCTGAGGCAGGAGAATTACTTGAACCCGAGAGGCAGAGGTTGCAGTGAGCTGAGATCACACCATTCCAGCCTGGGAAACAAGAAAATCATCTCAAAAAATAAATAATAAAAAGAAATTAACTTGACATGGACCATAGAATTAATTGTAAAACCTAAAACTTCTAGGACAAAATCTTGGTAACTTTGATTTGATTCTTATATATGACACCAAAAGCACAAACTGCTTTAAAAAATGGGGAAGGATCATCCATGCAAAGCTAGAGGCAAAAAGAAAAAATAAACTGAAAAAATTAAAAATGGGGAAGGGGCGGCCAGGCACGGCAGCTCACACCTGTAATCCCAGCACTTTGAGAGGCCGAGGCAGGCAGATCACGAGGTCAGGAGATCGAGACCATCCTGGCTAACACAGTAAAACCCCGTCTCTACTAAAAATACAAAAAATTAGCCTGTAGTCCCAGCTACTGGGGAGGCTGAGGCAGGAGAATGGCATGAACCTGGGAGGCGGAACTTGCAGTGAGCCGAGATTACGCCACTGTACTCCAACCTGGGCGACAGAACGAAACCCCGTCTCAAAAAAAAAATAAAATAAAATAGGGAAGGGGCAATAGGTGCTATTTAGAATCATGTTATGTTGTTATATTAGAGTATTCTTCTTCATTCTGTTTTGTTTTGTTTTTTGTTTTGTTTTGTTTTGTTTGTTTGAGACAGGGTTTCTCTCTGTTGCCAAGGCTGGAGTGCAGTGGCACAATCAGGCTCACTGCAGCCTCGAACTCCTGGGCTCAAGGCATCCTCCCACACTGCTAGGACCACAGGTACACTCAATCATGCCCAGCTAATTTTGTGTGTGTGTGTGTGTGTGTGTGTGTGTGTGTGTGTGTGTGTGACAGGGTTTGCTATGTTGTCCAGGCTGGTCTCAAGCTCCTGGTCTCAGCCTCCCCAAGTGCTGGGATTGTAGGCATGAGCCACGACACTATGTCAGAGTATTCATTTTTTACAGTTACTATCTATGTCAAGCAATGTGGATCTTCCATTTATGCTAGTGATACAAAGTTTCCTTTTTAAATAAATGTGGTTAAGTTTCTAGACTGTAAATGAACCAAAGGAAAACATGCAGGTATAAAATACAGACCCTGGGCCTGGCACAGTGGCTCACACCTGTAATCCCAGCACTTTGGGAGGCTGAGGCAGGGGGATCACTTGAGGCCAGGTGTTTGACACCAGCCTCAATATGGAGAAACTCTGTCTCTACTAAGAACACAAAAATTAGCTGGGCGTGGTGGCACACACCTGTAATCCCAGCTACTCAGGAGGCTGAGGCAAGAGAATTACTTGAACCTGGGAGGTGAAGGCTACATTGAGTTGAGATCATGCCACTGCACTCCAACCTGGGCAACAGAGCGAGACTGTCTCAAAAATAAAAATTAAAAAAAAAAAAAAAAGATACAGACCCTGAAGCTACACCTTTTGGGTTCAAACTCTGACTCCACCTTGCCTTGGGCAAGGTGAGGATCCTCTTTTGCCTCAGCCTCCCCATCTGTAAAATGGGCTTGATATGAGATTCTGACCTCAAAGGGCTATGTAAGGATTTACTGGATTTCTATATACAGAAAACTTAGAACATGAGCTGGCATACAGTACATGCTATCTTGGTATTTGCTATTGTTATAATTACTCACTCGTATTACTAATAGTAAAAAAATGGGTTTTGGAAAAACGTAGGCTTTTTCTTTTATATTTGAATCATTTCCCCTTTTGCTGTTGTTTTTGCACTATCAATAGAGGTCTGTGAGCAAAATACTTACTTGATTGTGAAAGAAGGCAAGAAAGAAACCCAGCGTGGGACCAGTCAATGGGACCCTTGAACACTGGAAACAGCTCCTGCTCAAGGAAGCTGCCGATGTTCTGCTGAAGGACTCCAGCTTCCGACCTCTGACCTCTGACCTCCAACCTCTGACCTGTGACTAGCAAGGGGACTCAAGAGCACAAGAACAGACTGTGGAGCATCCACACTGGTACTGGGACAGTAGACAAAGGGCCTCCAACAGGCCTTTGTGCTTCCTGAGAGCAGCAGGAGACAAAAGAAAACAAAGCAAAAACTAGCAGGGTAGGCTGCAGCAGCTGGAGGGTGTTTAGCTTGACAGCTCTGTGATGGAAACCTCTGCAGAGGGGTTATCCCCTCTATGGAGCAAAGAAAATATCTGTCGCCAAGAAAATCACTGTTTGAGTTCTCAGGATGCATGGTAATGGGGCCCTCCACGTTACCCTTGAGAGTATAAGCTGGGATTGTCATTTTGGAAGACTGGCGATTCTAACAAAGTTAAACACATACCTAGACTCTGACCCAGCAATCCCACTCCTAGAATTTAACCTAGAAAAATCAAACTCTATGGCCATAAGACGAATGACCAAGAATGCCTATTGCTGCTGTATTCATACTATGAATCATAGGCACTTCTAAAACTGAAAACCATCCAAATATCTGCCAACAGAAGACTGGACGTATGAACTGTGCCATAATCAGACAGTGGAATATTACTCTGAAATTAAAAGGAACTGCTGATCTGTGCAGCAACATGGATGAATCTCAAAAACATTATTTTGAGCAAAAGCAACCAGACACAAAAGCGTGCACACTACATAATTCCAGCTATTTGAATGCAAGAACAGGCCAATAAACTAATCTATGGTGATAGGTATCAGAACTGTGGCTATCCCAGGTGGCTGGTGGTGGTAAGGATCTGACTGGAAAGGGGCATTAGGGAACTTTGGAAATTTTTTTTTTTTTTTTTGATTCGGAATCTCGCTCTGTCGCCCAGGCTGGAGTTCAGTGACACGATCTCGGCTCACTGCAACCTCCGCCTCCTGGGTTCAAGGAATTCTCCTGCCTCAGCCTCCTGAGTACCTGGGATTATAGGCACGTGCCACCACACCCAGCTAATTTTTGTATTTTTAGTAGAGATGGGGTTTCACCTTGTTGGTCAGGCTGGTCTCGAACTCCTGACCTCAGGTGATCAGCCTGCCTTGGCCTCGCAAAGTGCTGGGATTACAGGCATGAGCCACTGCGCCCAGCCTGGAAATGTTCTATCTCTTCTTTGTTAGAGTGGTGGTCACATGGGTATATATAATTGTCAATAAAACATATCTGTACTGGGTTGAACAGTGCTGCCTGCCCCCAGTTCATATCTTACCTGGAATCTCAGAATATGACCTTGTTTGGAAACAGAGTATTTGCATACATCATTAGTCAAATTAGAGTGAGGTCATACCAGATTAGTAGGCCCAATACAATGACTGGTGTCCTGATAAGAAGAGAGAGATTGCAGGGCACGGTGGCTCACACCTGTAATCCCAGCATTTTGGGAGGCCGAGGCGGGCAGATCACTTGAGGTCAGGTGTTTGAGACTAGCCTGGCCAACATGGTGAAACCCCGTCTCTACTAAAAATACAAAAATTAGCTGGGCGTGGTGGTGCACGCCTGTAATTCCAGCTACTCCGGAGGCTGAGGCAGCAGAATCGCTTGAACCCAGGAGGCGGAGGTTGCAGTGAGCCAAGATCACGCCACCGCACTCCAGCCTGGGCGACAATGCGAGACTCTGTCTCAAAAAAAAAAAGAGAGAGACTCAGGGAGAAGACCACGTGATGATTGAGAAACTGCAGTGAGGTCCACAGGCCACACAGCACCAGGAATTGTACACCAGAACCTGGGAAGAGACAGGAAAAGATCCTCCCCTCAAGCCTTCACAGAGATCATGGGCTTGCCAACACCTTGATCTTGGATTTCTAGCCTCCAGATCTTTGACAGAATACATTTCTGTTGCTTTAAGCCACCAATTATGGTACTTTCTTACAGAAGCTCTGGGAAACTACTATACCACCCACCTGAACATTTAAGATTGTGTATTTTGGCCAGGCACAATGGTTCACACCTGGAATCCCAGCACTTTGGGAGGCCGAGGTTGGAGGATCATTTGAGGTCTGAAGTTTGAAACCAGACTGGGCAACATAGGGAGACCACGTCTCTAGAGAAAAAAATAATAATTTTTTTTAATTAGCCAGGCATGGTGGTGCTCACCTGTGGTCCCAGCTACTCAGGAGGCTGAGGCAGGTGGATCGCTTTAGCCTGGGAGGTCAAAGCTGCAGTGAGCCATGATCCTGTCACTGCACTCCAGCATGAGCAACAGAGTGAGACCCTGTCTTAAAAGAAAAAAAAAAATCAGTCTGGGCACTTGTAATCCCAGCACTTTGGGAAGCCAAGGAGGACAGATCACTTGAGCTCAGGAGTTTGAGACATGCCTGGGCAACATGGCGAAACCCTGTCTCTACTAAAAATACAAAAATTAGCCAGGCATGGTGGCATGCACCTGTGGTCTCAGCTGCTAAGGAGGCTAAGGTGGGAGGATCACTTGAGCCCAGGAGGTCGAGGCTGCAGTGAGCCATGGTTGTGCCTCTGCACCCCAGCATGGGTGACAGAGACGCTGTTTCAAAAAAAAATATGTCCTGATAAGACACATTTTAAGTAAGAATTTTATTTTAAGTAAGTTATACTCCAATTTTAACAATAGAAAATTGCTGGTTGGAAACAGCAAGCTGGTGACAAAGGCTCCAACCTGGCTCGTGCTTCATCAAATAAGACAAAACCCCCAAAAGAAGGCCAGCCCAATGCTACTCTGAATTCACCTTGAGAGGCAGTACTTGGCCACTGATCAGACAGATCCCTCCCCATAGCTCTCCCTTCTTGCTCATCTGTCACAAAAAAACTGTCCCTTCTGCCCACAGCAAAAATACCCCCTTCACTCTCTCAAACACAAACACCACATGGTCTCTGTGCAGCACCACCCCAGAGACCCACTTTGCAGATGCTCCATTGGAAAGCCACTGGCCCGCTTATAAGAGCACTCCCTTCCTTGGAGTTTAAGCCCTCAGGACCACCTGGTCAGGAGCCGAAAGCATTGGCCCAGCTCCTCTTCCCATTCATTCACAGATGTGTTCCCCAAAATGCCCACCTGAAGGAATCTTCAGCTCCATTCCTTTGGTTCCTATAGGCTAAACACCTACAAAAGGAGATTTTGTTTTTAACTTCATTATTTTGCTTCATGGTAGAAGCCTAGACCTTGAGAACAGGCCCGTCATTTGTCTAAGCACACCCTGCAGATATCTGCATGAGGATTAGGGTCAGCGAAGGTCAGAAATGGCCGCTGAATGCTAAGACCACCTGGCCCAATCCCTACAGCATGATCTCATCCCCACAGGCTCCTCCATATTCACTGGTGCTTACCATGTCCCAAGGAACTTTCAAGCATTAACTAATTGCCTCCCAACAAGGCTGGAGTTGGGAACTATTATCTTCTCTTTTTTTTTTTTTTTTTTGAGACAGGGTCTCACTCTATCACCCAGGCTGAAGTGCAGTGGCACGATCTCCACTCACTGCAGCCTTGACCTCCCCAGGCTCAGGTAATCCTCCTACCTCAGCCTCCCAAGTAGCTGGGATTACAGGTACACAACAGCACACTCAGCTAATTTTTTGTATTATAATTTTTTTTTTGTAGAGACAGGGTTTTGCCATGGTACCCAGGCTGGTCTTGAACTCCTGGGATCAATATTATTATCTTCTCTTACTGATGAGGAAATGAAGGACCAGAGGGATGAGGTAACTTGTCTGAGGTTACACACAACAGTAAGCTGCACAGCAGGGACCGTCTTAACCACTGGGCTATCCCGCCCAGTGTATACCTGCTTCTAGGGATTAAGTACCATATTCTCCAGTGACCAAGAACCTAAAGGTTTTTCTTTGTTACTGGCCAAAACTATTTTAACTTTTTTATTTTTCCACTCTTCTTGAGAAAAACTAGGGAAGTGAGTCCCAAGTTTAGTTTTATAACAGCCCAGAGACTCTAAAAGGTCATTGGGACATCCTCCAAAACATTATATAAACAAAGCTGAGTATAACAGGATAAAGATTCTTTGGTTTTGTTTTTAACATATTAAAAAAACATTTAATATGTTTTGTTTTGTTTTAAAAGTTAATAAAAACAAGAATAAATTGGAAAAGACTGTAGTTTTTTCTAACTCCATGGGAAAACCCAATTTCTATTCTCCCTGACAACAGAAAGGACTTTGAGCTGGGTTTCTCGAAGAGAATCAAACCAATAATTTACTGCAGGAAAGGAGACTTAGGCCTATGGGTACTGGCCCTGTCCATGTCCACAGACCATGTCCACAACAGTCCACAGTAGCTATTGGCTCAGTCAAAGGAGCTTCTCCAGCTGGGGGCACAAGACACTGGAAAAACCAAAGAGACTTTATTCCAAGAGTGCAAGGATGGTTCAATATAAGGAAACTTCTTAATATAACATAACACAGTCAGTCTTCTGCGTCCATGGATTTTGCATCTTCAGTTTCAACCAACCACAAATTGAAAATGTAGTTTAGGCTACCATATGATCCAGCAACTTCACTGCCAGGTATATACCCAAAAGAAAGGAAATCAGTATATTGAAGACATATCGGCACTCCCATGTTTATTGCAGCACTATTCACAATAGCCAAGATTTGGAAGCAAACTGAGTGCCCATCAGCAGATGAATAAAGAAAATGTGACCCGAGCTTGGTGGCTCACTCCTATAATCTCAACACTTTGGAAAACTGAGACCAGAGGATCACTTGAACCCAGGAGTTTGAGGCCAGCCTGGGCAACATGGCGAAACCCCGTCTCTACAAAAAAATATAAAAATTAGCCAGGCATGGTGGTGTGCCTGTAGTCACAGCTACTTGGGAAGCTGAGGTAGGAGGATCAATTGAGCCTGGGAGACTGAGGTTGCAGTGAGCCATGATTGCACTGATCATGCCTGGGTGACAGAATGAGACCCTACCTCAGAAAAAAAAAAGAAAAAAGAAAGAAGAGGAGAGGAGAGGGGAGGGGAGAGGAGGGGAAGGGAGGGGCCAGGCGCAGTGGTTCATTCCTGTAATCCCAGCACTTTGGGAGGCCGACGCTGGCAGATCACCTGAGGTCAGGAATTCGAGACCAGCCTGCCCAACATGGTGAAACCTCGTCTCTACTAAAAATACAAAACTTAGCCAGGCATGGTGGTGCACACCTGTAATCCCAGCTACTCGGGAGGTTGAGGCAGGAGAATCGCTGGGGAGGCAAATGTTGCAATAAGCAGAGATCACGTCAGTGCATTCCAGCCTGTGCGACAGAGAGACTCCATCTCCAAAAAAAATTAAAAAGAAAGAAGGAAAGAAAATGTAGAACATATACAGAATGGAGTACTATTCAGCCATTAAAAGAATGAGATCCTGTCATTTGTAACCACATGAGTTCATCATTATGTTAAGTGAAATAAGCCAGGCACAGAAAGATAAACATTACATATTTTCACTTGTATGTGGGTGCTAAAAATTAAAACAAACTCATGGAGATAGAGAGTAGAAGGACAGTTACCAGAGGCTGGAAGAATTGTTGCTGGGTGGGAGGAAGTGGAAATGATGGTTGGTTGGTACAAAAACATAGACAGAATGAATAAGAGCTAGTATTTGATAACACAACAGGGTGACTAGAGTCAATAATGTAATTGTACATTTTTTAATTACTGAAACAGTATAACTGAATCATAACACAAAAGATAAAAATGCTTGAGAAAATGGAGACCCCATGTACACTCATGTGATTATTAAGCATTGAATTCCCGTATCAAAATATCTCATGTACCCCATAAATATATATATCTACTATGTACGCACAAACATTTCAAATTAAAAAAAAAAAGAAAAAAATGTAGTGAGGTCTACAATGATTGTTTCTGTACTGAACATGTACAGACATTTTTCTTGTCATTACTCCCCAAACAATATAGTATAACAACTATTTATACAGTATCTACATTGTATTCGTTATTATAAGTAATTTAGAGATAATTTTAATTACACAGGAGGGTGTAAGTAGGTTATATGCAAATACTATGCCATTTTACATAAGGGACCTGAGCGTCCATGGATTTTGGTATCTTTGGGGGGTTCTGGAACCGGTTCCGCAAGTATACAAAAGGACAACTGTAGTAGGTTCTGGAGATCTGTAAATGTTAGATAAAAATCAGGAAAAGAAGGAATTGATGGATAATTACCTAACATGATAAAATACCTCAACCTCAGATAAAGGCCAGCATTTTGCATAACTTAGAATCACTAGAGGCATTCCCACTAAAGAAAGAAGCAATACAAGTATGCTCACTACCATTACACAGAAGGTAATAGCCAATGCAATTACATCAGCAAACAAAATTAGAGATACAAGAGTTAAATAGGAGGAGGTGAAGTTATTTCCACTTGTACATGAGATGATTATAAATCTAGAACATCCAAGAGAATCAACAAACTACTATAAACAATAGCCAGGGGCCAGGTACAGTGACTCATGCCTATAATCTCAGTGCTTTGGGAGGATCACTTGAGGCCAGGAGTTTGAGACCAGCCTGGGCAACATACCAAGACCCTGTCTATACATTAAAAATACAAAAGTTAGTTGGACACAATGGTACATGCTTGCTGTCCCAGCTCCTCGGGAGGCCGAGGTGGAAGGATCATTTGAACCCAGGAGTTCGAAGCTATAGTGAGCTGTGATTGAGCCACTGCACTTCAGCCTGGGCATACAGTAAGACCCTGTCTCAAAAAAAAAAAAAAAAAAAAGACCAGGTGTGATGGCTCATGCCTGTAATCCCAGGACTTTGGGAGGCCAAGGCGGGTGGATCAATTAAGGTCAGGAGTTCAAGACCAGCTTGGTCAACATGGTGAGACCCCATCTCTACTAAAAATACAAAAATTAGCCAGGCATGGTGGCGGGTGCCTGTAATCCCAGCTGCTTGGGAGGCTGAGGTAGGAGAATCGCTTGAACCCGCGAGCCGGAGATTGCAGTGAGCCAAGATCATACCATTGCATTCCAGCCTGGGCAACAGAGCAAGACTCTGTCTCAAAAAAAAAAATAAATAAATAAATAAATAAATAAAAACAAACCCACACACTAGCCAGTTAGAAAAGAGACCACTTACATAACAACAAAAAATGTAAAATACCTAGAAATAAACTTATCAAGAAATGTGCAAGATATATACTAAAAAACTGTAAACAATGCTAAAGGACACAGAAGAGTTAAACAAATGGAAAAAGATATACTGTGTTCTTGGATGGGAAGATTTAACATCATAAGTAGGTCCAATTCTCTGAAGTTAATGTATAAATTTAAAGCAATCCCAATGCATTTCACAAGACAGTATATTTAAATGGCCAATAAATATATAATAAGGTGCTCGACCACAATTAATTACCACTACACACACACCCTAGAGTGAATAAAATTAAAAAGACCAAAAAAATCCAAGTGTTGCAACAATGTAGAATAATTGGAATTCTCAGACATTTCTGGAAGGAAGGTAAATTGTCACATATCTACTTGGAGAACAGTTTGGCAGTATTTTCTGAAATTGAACGTGTGCATATCCCACAGCTTAGCAATTTCTTTCGTAAGTAAATATCCAACAGAAATCTGTATACATGGGCACCAAAAGCCATGTGTTACAATATTCATGGCATGTGGATAAATAAACCTCACAAATAAAATGTTGAGCAAAAGAAACCAGATACAAAAGAATACACGTGTTTAAAGTTTTTTAAAAAAACACAGCAAAACCAATCTGTGACAAGAAATAAGGGCCAGGCACACTGGCTCACACCTGCAACCCCACCACTTTGGGATCTGAAGTAGGCAGATCTCTTGAGCCCTGGAGCTCGAGACCAGCTTGGACAACATAGTGAGATCCCATCTCTACAAAAAAATAAAAAGATTAGCCAGGTATGGTGGCTTGTGCCTGTAGTCCCAGCTACTTGGGAGGACTGCTTGAGTCCAGGAGACAGAGGCTGCAGTGAGCCTAGATAGCACCACTGTGCTCTAGCCTGGGTAACAGAGAGAAAGCCTGTCTCAAAGAAAGAGAAAGAAAAAGAAGAGGGGAGGGAAGGGGGAGGAGGGGGAGGGGAGCGGAGGGGGAGGGGAGAGGAGGGATGCACCTTTGGAGGGAGGGAGGGATAGTGAGTGTTTGGGGATCTGGTGGGGGGCTTCTACACGCTGGTAATAGTTGCAAGGGTGTGTTCACTTTGTGATAGCTCATCAAGCTGTATACTTCCAATTTATTTACTTTGCTATATGTGTGTTATACTTCAGCTTTCCTGTGTGTTTGTGTAATTAGATATTAGATGTTAAAGTTCAAATGGAAAAAAATGAGCAAGAATAGCCTGAAAGAGCTCAACATATAAGGGGAAGAACATCCCTTTCATATATTAAAATATATTTTTTAGGGCCAGGCTTAGTGGCTCAGGCCTGTAATCCCAGCACTTTGGGAGGCTGAGGTGGAAGGATCCCCTGAGTCCAGAAGTTCAAGACCAGCCTGGGCAACATAGGGAGACCCTGTCTCTATAAGAAACATATATATTTTTAAATATTATCAACCTTAATAAACAAAACAGTGGGAACTTGAATGAACATGAACAGAAAGAGAAACTAATGGAAAAGAGTAGCAAGTTCTGAAATAGACTCAAATACATACAGAGAAAAGAGCTCATGATAAATGGCTTATGATAAAATAGCTTCTCAATTTAGCTGAAAAAAGTCATCTGGAAGAAAAAATAAAATTAGACCTACTCCTCAAAGCACACATCAGGATAAATTCCAAAAGGATCAAAATTTGAATATAAAATAATAGAAGAAAACATAGGAGACATCATGTTTTTGGCCGGGTGTGGTGGCTCACACCTGGAATCCCAGCACTTTGGGAGGCTGAGGTGGGCAGATCACCTGAGGTCAGGAGTTCCAGACCAGCCTGATCAACATGGTGAAACCCCATCTCCACTAAAAATACAAAATTAGCCGGGCGTGGTGGCGCATGCCTGTAATCCCAGCTACTCGGGAGGCTGAGGCAGGACAATCACTTGAACCTGGGAGGCAGAGGTTGCAGTGAGCCAGGATTGCACCATTCCATTCCAGCCTGGGCAACAAAAGCAAAACTCTGATTCAAAAAAACAAAAACAAAAACAAACAAACCCACACACATCGTGTTTTCTTAAAGTGGGAAGGTTTTGGTACCTATGATTAAACATTCAGAAACCATAAAAGACTGATAAATTTGACTCCATAGAAATAAAAACTTGTATATACTAAAACAAAAAATTAATAAAATAAAAGAGACACACTAAACTGAATGCAATTTATATCAAAGGCACAAAAGACTGATCTCACTAATATGTAAACAGCTCATAGAAATAAAAAAGAAAAAGCCAACAATGTAATTTTAAAAATAAGCAAAACAGGCTGACTCTCTTTTTGGACTCAGCCCACCTGCACCCAGGTGAAATAAACAGCCATGTTGGTCACACAAAGCCTGTGTGGTGGTCTCTTCTCATGGACGCGCATGAAATTCGGTGCCGTGACTCGGATCGGGGGACCTCCCTTGGGAGATCAATCCCCTGTCCTCCTGCTCTTTGCTCTGTGAGAAAGATCCACCTACCACCTCAGGTCCTTAGACAGACAAGCCCAAGAAACATCTCACCAATTTCAAATCCGGTAAGTGGCCACTTTTTACTCTCTTTTCCAATCTCCCTCACTATCCCTCAACCTCTTTCTCCTTTCAATCTTGGCGTCACACTTCAATCTCTCCCTTCTCTTAATTTCAATTCCTTTCATTTTCTGGGAGAGACAAAGCAGACACGTTTTATCGGTGGACCCAAAACTCCAGCGCCTGTCACGGACTGGGAAGGCAGCCTTCCCTTGGTGTTTAATCATTGCAGGGACACCTCTCTGATTATTCACCCACGTTTCAAAGGTGTCAGACCACGCAGGGATGCCTGCCTTGGTCCTTCACCCTTAGCAGCAAGTCCCGCTTTTCTGGGGGAGGGGCAAGTTCCCCAACTCCTTCTCTCCCTCTCTACCCCTTCTCTGCTTTTCTGGGGAAGGGGCAAGTACCCCTCAACCCCTTCTCCTTCGCCCTTAGCGGCAAGTCCCGCTTTTCTAGGGGGCAAGAACCCCCAATCCCTTATTTCCGCACCCCAACCTCTTATTTCTGTGCCCCAATCCCTTATTTCCATGCCCCGACCCCCCTTCCCACTTTTCTGGAGGGTAAGAACCCCCGAACCCCTTCCCTCCATATCTCTATGCTCTCTTTTCTCTGGGTTTGCCTCCTTCACTATGGGCAACCTTCCACCATCCATTCCTCCTTCTCCCTTAGCCTGACTTCTCACGAACTTAAAACCTCTTCAACTCACACCTGACCTAAAACCTAAACGCCTTATTTTCTTCTGCAATGCTGCTTGACCCCAATACAAACTCAACAGTAGTTCCAAATAGCCAAAAAATGGCACTTTGAATTTTTCCATCCTGCAAAATCTAAATAATTCTTGCTGTAAAATAGACAAATGGTCTGAGGTGCCTGATGTCCAGGCATTCTTTTACACATCAGTCCCTTCCTAGTCTCTGTGCCCAATGCAACTCGTACCAAATCTTCCTTCTTTCCCTCCCGCCTGTCCCCTCAGTCCCAACCCCAAGCGTCACTGAGTCTTTCTAATCTTCCTTTTCTACAGACCCATCTGACCTCTCCCCTCCTCTCCAGGCCAAGCTAGGTCCCAATTCTTCCTCAGCCTCCCCTCCTCCACCCTATAATCCTTTTATCACCTCCCCTCCTCACACCCTGTCTGGCTTATAGTTTCGTTCAGTGACTAGCCCTTCCCCACCTGTCCAGCAATTTATTCTTAAAAAGGTGGCTGAAGCTAAAGGCATAGTCAAGGTGAATGCTCCTTTTTCTTTATCCCAAATCAGATAGCGTTTAGGCTCTTTTTCATCAAATATAAAAATCCAGCCCAGTTCATGACTTGTTTGGCTGCAACCTTGAGACGCTTTACAGCCCTAGACCCTAAAAGGTCAAAAGGCCATCTTATTCTCAAAATACATTTTATTACCCAATGTGCTCCCGACATTAAATAAAATTCCAAAAATTGGAATCTGGCCCTCAAACCCCACAACAGGATTTAATTAACCTCACCTTCAAGGTGTACAGTAACAGAAAAAAAGTTGCAATTCCTTGCCTCCACTGTGAGACAAACCCCAGCCACATCTCCAGCACACAAGAACTTCCAAATGCCTGAACCACAGCAGCCAGGTATTCCTCCAGAACCTCCTTCCCCAGGAGCTTGCTACACGTGCCGGAAATCTGGCCACTGGGCCAAGGAATGCCGGCAGCCCGGGATTCCTCCTAAGCCGCGTCCCATCTGTGTGGGACCCCACTGAAAATCGGACTGTTCAACTCACCTGGCAGCCACTCCCAGAGCCCCTGGAACTCTGGCCCAAGGCTCTCTGACTGACTCCTTCTCGGCTTAGCGGCTGAAGACTGACGCTGCCTGATCACCTCGAAAGCCCCGTAGACCATCACAGACGCCGAGCTTCGAGTAACTCTCACAGTGGAAGGTAAGTCCGTCGCCTTAATCAATACGGAGGCTACCCACTCCACATTACCTTCTTTTCAAGGGCCTGTTTCCCTTGCCTCCATAACTGTTGTGAGTATTGACGGCCAGGCTTCTAAACCTCTTAGAACTCCCCAACTCTGGTGCCAACTTAGATGATACTCTTTTAAGCACTCCTTTTAGTTATCCCCACCTGCCCAGTTCCCTTATTAGGCCGAGACACTTTAACTAAATTATCTGCTTCCCTGACTATTCCTGGACTACAGCTACATCTCATTGCCACCCTTCTTCCCAATCCAAAGCCTCCTTTGCATCCTCCTCTTGTATTCCCCCACCTTAACCCACAAGTATAAGATACCTCTACTCCCTCCTTGGCGACTGATCATGCACCCCTTACCATCTCATTAAAACCTTATCACCCTTACCCTGTTCAATGCCAATATCCCATCCCACAGCATGCTTTGAAAGGATTAAAGCCTGTTATCACTCGCCTGCTACAGCATGGCCTTTTAAAGCCTATAAACTCTCCTTACAATTCCCCCATTTTGCCTGTCCTAAAACCAGACAAGCCTTACAAGTTAGTTCAGGATCTGTGCCTTATCAACCAAATTGTTTTGCCTATCCACCCTATGGTGTCAAACCCATATACTCTCCTATCCTCCATACCTCCCTCCACAATCCATTATTATGTTCTGGATCTCAAGCATGCTTTCTTTACTATTCCTTTGCTCCCATCATCCCAGCCTCTCTTCGCTTTCACTTGGACTGACCCTGACACCCATTAGGCTCAGCAAATTACCTGGGCTGTACTGCTGCAAGGCGTCACAGACAGCCCCCATTACTTCAATCAAGCCCAAATTTCATCCTCATC